>NC_000003.12:161281331-161584361 GCF_000001405.40 Homo sapiens
AGTGCATTCCCCCTGAGAATTAGAACAAGACAAGGATGCTCACTTTCACTGCTTCTATTTAACATAGTACTGGAAGTCCTAGCCAGAGAAATCAGACCAAAGGAAGAAATAAAGGGCATCCAAATCAGTAAAGAGGAAATCTAACTGTCGCTGTTCATAGATGATAAGATCGTATACATAGAAAACCCAAAGGACTCATCCAAAAAGCTTCTGGAACTGATAGACGAATTCAGTAAAGTTTCGGGATACAAAATCAATGTACATAAATCAGTAGCACTGCTATACACCAATAGCGACCAAGCTGAGAAACAAATCAAGAACTCAACCCCTTTTGTAATAGCTGCAAAAACAAACAAACAAACAAAGAAAAAAAAAACCTAGGCATATACCTAACCAAGGAAGTGAAAGATCTGTATAAGGTAAACTGCAAAACACTGCTGAAAGAAATCGTAGATTACACAAACAAGTGGAAACACATCCCATGCTCGTGAATGGGTAGAGTCAATATTATGAAAATGACCATACTGCCAAAAGCAATTTACAAATTCAATGCAATTTCCATGAAAATACCATCATCATTCTTCACAAAACTAGAAAACACAATCTTAAAGTTCATATGGACCAAAAAAGACCTGCATAGCCAAAGGAAGACTAAGCAAAAAGAACAAATCTGGAGGCATCACATTATCCAACTTCAAACTATACTTATAAGGCTATAGTCACCAAAACAGCATAAGTACTGACATAAAAATAGGCACATAGACCAATTAAACAGACTAGAGAATCCATAAATAAAGCCAAATACTTACGGCCAACTGATCTTCAACAAAGCAAACAAAAACATAAATTGGGGGAAGGACACCGTGTATTAGTCAGGGTTCTCTAGAGGGACAGAACTAACAGTATATATGTACATATGAAAGAGAGTTTATTAAGGAGAGTTGACTCACATCATCACAAGGTGAAGTCCCACTATAGGCTGTCTACGAGTTGAGAAGCTAGGAAGCCACTCCGAGTCCCAAAGCCTCAAAAGTAAGGAAGCTGACAGTGCAGCCTTCAGTCTGTGGCTGAAGGCCGAAGAGCCCCTGGCAAACCACTGGTGTAAGTCCAAAAGTCCAAAAGCTGAAGAACTTGGAGTCTGATGTACAAGGGCAGGAAGCATCCAGCAAGGGAGAAAGGTGAAAATTGGAAGACTCAGCAAGTCTGTTCATTCCACCTTCTTCTGCCTGCTTTATCTTGCTGTGCAGGCAGCCGGGGGGATGGTGCCCATCCAGATTAAGGGTGAGTCTGCCTCTCCCAGTCCACTGACTCAAATGTTAATCTCCTCTAGCAACACCCTCACAGACACACCCAGAAACAACTTTGCATCCTTCAATCCAATCAAGTTGACACTTAATATTAACCAACACAACACGCTATTCAACAAATAGTGTTGGGATAATTGGCAAGCTACGTGTAGAGGAATGAAATTGGATCCTCATATCTCACCTTATACAAAATTCAACTCAGGATGCATCAAAGACTCAAATCTAAGACCTGAAACCATAAAAATTCTAGAAGATAATGTCAGAAAAACCCTTCTAGACATGGGCTTAGGCAAAGAGTTAATGACCAAGAACCCAAAAGCAAATGCAACAAAAACAAAGATAAATTGATGTGACTTAATTAAACTAAAAACCTTCTGCACAGCAAAAGAAATAATCAGCATAGTAAACAGACAACCTACAGAGTGGGGGAAAATCTTTGCAAACTATGCATCTGACAAAGGACTAATATCCAGAATCTACAAGGAACTCAAACAAATCAGCAAGAAAAAAAGCAAACAATCCCATCAAAAAGTAGGCTAAGGACATGAATAGACAATTCTCAAAAGAAGATATACAATGGCCAACAAACATGTACAAAATGCTCAACATCACTAATTATCAGGGAAATGCAAATCAAAACCACAATGAGATACCACCTTACTCCTGAAAGAATGGCCATAATTAAAAAATTAAAAAATAATAGATGTTGGCATGGATGTGGTGAAAGGGGAACACTTTTATACTGCTGGTGGCAACATAAACTAGTACAACCACTATGGAAAACAGTATGGAGACTGGCTGGGCATGGTGGCTCACACCTGTAATCTCGGCACTTTGGAAGGCCAAGACAGCCAGATCACTTGAGGTTATGAGTTTGAGACCAGCCTGGCCAACATGGTGAAACTCCATCTGTACTAAAAATACAAAAATTAGCTGGGCATGGTGGTGTGCACCTGTAATCCTAGCTACTCAGGAGGCTGAGGCAGGAGAATCACTTGAACCCGGGAGGTGGAGGTTGCAGTGAGCCAAGATCACAGCACTGTACTCCAGTCTGGGTGACACAGCGAGACTCTACCAAAAAAAAAAAAAAAAAAAAAAAAAAAAAAAGAACTAAAAGTAGATCAGCCATCCCACCACTGGGTATCTACCCAGAGGAAAAGAAGCGATTATATGAAAAAGACACTTGAACATACATGTTTATAGTAGCATAATTCACAACTGCAAAAATATGGAACCCGCTCAAATGCCCATCAATCAAGTGAATAAAGAAAATATGGTATGTATGTATACCATGCAATACCACTCAGCTAAAAAAAAAAAAAATAGTCATTTGCATTCTAGATAGAATTGGAGACCATTATTCTAAGTGAAGTAACTCAGGAATAACAAACATCGTTATGTTCTCACTTATAAGTGGGAGCTAAGCTATGAGGACACAAAGGCATAAGAATGATACAGTGGACTTTGGGGACTCAGGGGAAGGCGGGGGCAAGATGAAAGACTACACACTGGGTACAGTGTACATTAGTTGGGTGATGGGTGCACCAAAATCTCAGAAACCACCACTAAAGAGCTTATCCATGTAACCAAACACCAACTGTTCCCCCCAAACTATTGAAATAATAATAATAATAATAATAATAATAATAATAATAAAAGACATGGTTGTGTTATGGTGTCTAGGCTGAATTGCAATAGTTATTCACAGGTGTAATCATAGTGCACTGTGGCCTCATACTCCTGACCTCAAGTGATCCTCCTGCCTCAGCCTCCCCAGTAGCTGGGTGTATTTCGTTTTGTTTGGAGCTTTGCCAAAAATTGTTTCTTCTTTCAGAAAGGCATATCGTGAACAGACACCACTAGTTGTATTTGAGTAGCTGATACAGCACAACTGTGTAGCCTGTGTTTGTAAGCTGTCACATTCACAGTTATTCTGCATATAGATGCAAGCATATGACTACTTGTTTTTTGGTTTATACGTGACCAACATTTGCATATTAAAATACACATTATGTTGTTGTTGTCAGCCTTTCTGGAAATTACGTTTATATAGGACATATCTGTGAATTTTGTTTCAGGATGGTAAAGGAGGTGGTGTTACATTTCTGTACTGCTGGTGCATTGAGAGACCCAAGCAAGTATCAGGCTTTTCATCCGTGGAACACATGCTCCAGAACCTTCTAGCTGTTCACTTGTGATGGATACTCTGTTAGCCTTCACTATTGAATGCACTTTTAAAAATGATCAAAACCAACATTTCCCACAGTATGAAATGTTTGCAAAAAAGGTATGTTGGGTTTGTTAGGGCTAGAAATTGTTATTCTAAGTAAAGAAACCTGGAGAATTTTCCTAAGCCAGCTAAATTTATTCGACAACAGTACAGTTTTATTTGATGCCTGCTGCTAAGTTTAATTAAGTTATTTGCTGGGTTTTCCATTTGTCCCTCTGACTTTAGTGTAAACTTATTACTCATCCAAGATGTGGGCCAATGCTTCTTTTCAAACTTGTGCTAACTAATAACAGAGACCAGAGCTGGAACTTAGTCAAGGCAAAGCTACAAGCCAAACAGTGGTGGAGAAGGGTGGAACATGTCGTGACTTGAGGTAATGATGAGCATGTGGGTGAAGTGAGGGGCAGTAAGACCATATGGGGAACGCTGAGGCCAAGTGGGTGTGTGTCAATGGAGGGCATGCATGCATAGGGTTGGGCACTGGGCACTCCCCGTATAACCACTAACAGATTAAAAACTCTGGTACTTTTGCTGATTCCTTAAATAAGGGAATATATGGAATTTTGTATAAGTCTCAGTTGTGATGAATTGTTCCTCAGTTGTGATGAATTGTTTCTGCAGTTAACCAAATTGGGATTTGGAACATTTAAAAGCCTGATATACAATGTACAAAATTCAGTAGCACTTCTGTACTTCTTTTTTTGTTTTTTTGAGTCAGGGTCTCACTCTGTCACCAGGCTGGAGTGTAGTGGTGCGATCTCAGCTCACGGCAACCTTTGCCTCCCAGGCTCATGTGATACTCCCAACTCAGCCTCCCAAGTAGCTGGGACTACAGGCATGCATCACCACGTCCAGCTAATTTCTGTATCTTTTGGTAGAGATGGGGGTTTTGCTATGTTGCCTAGGCTGGTCTCGAACTCCTGAGCTCAGGCGATCTGCCTGTGTCAGCCTCCCAAGGTGCTTGGATTACAGGCGTGAGCCACTGTGCCCTGCCAAAAATCAGTAGCACTTCTAGATACCAACAACATCTAAGCTAAGAACCAAATCAAGAATGCAATCTCATTCACAATAGCCACAAGAAGAATGAAATACCCAGGAATACAGCTAACCAGGGAGTGAAAGATCTGTACAATGAGAATTACAAAACACTGCTGAAAGAAATCAGAGATGACACAAACAAATGGAAAAATGTTTCATGCTCATGAATAGGAAAAATCAATATTGTTAAAATGGACATATTGCCCGAAGTGATTTACAGATTCAATGTGATTCCTATCAAACTACCAATGACATTCTTTACAGAATTAGAAAAAGTTTTTTCTTATTTAAAATTCATATAGAAACAAAAAAGAGCCTGAATAGCCAAAGCAATTCTAAACAAAAAGAACAAAGCTGGAAGCATCACATTATCCTACTTCAAACTATGTTACGAGTCTACAGTGACCAAAACAGCATGGTACTGTACAAAAACAGACACATAGACCAATGGAACCAAATAGAGTGCCCAGAAATAAAGCTGCACACCTGCAACCATCTGATCTTTGACAAAGTCAATGAAAACAAGCAATAGGGAAAGGACTCCCTGTTTAATAAATCATGCTGGGATAGCTTGCTCGCCATATGCAGAAGATTGAAACTGGACCCCTACCTTTCACCATATAGAAAAATTAACTCAAGATGGATTAAAGACTTATATGTAAAACCTAAAACTATAAAAACTCTCGTAGAAAACCTAGGAAATACCATTCCAGACATAGGCCCTGGCAAAGATTTCATGATGAAGGTGCCAAAAGCAATTGCAACAAAAACAAAAATTGGCAAATGGGACCTAGTTATACTAAAGACCTTCTGCACAGCAAAAGAAACAATCAACAGAGTAAACAGATAATCCACAGAATGGGGGAAAATATTTGCAAACTATGAATCTGACAAAGGTCTAATATTCAGGATCTAAAAGGAGCTTAAACAAATTAACAAGCAAAAACCAAGCAACTCCCTTAAACAGTGGGCAAAGGGCATGAACGCTTTTCAAAAGAAGGCATAACAAATGGCCAACAAGCATATGAAAAAATGTCCAACATCACTAATCACTAGAGAAATGCAAATCAAAACCACAATGAGATAGATACCATTTTCCACCAGTCAGAATGACTATTACTAAAAGGTCAAAAAATAACAGATGCTGGTGAGGTTGTAGGAAAAAGGGAACGCTTATGCACTACTGGTGGGAATGTAAATTAGTTCAGCCCCCATGGAAAGCAGTTTGGTGATTTCTCAAAGAACTTAAAACAGAACTACCATTCAACCCAACAATCCCATTATTGGGTATATACCCAAAGGAATATAAATCATTCTACCATAAAGACACATGCATGCATATGTTCATTGCAGCACTATTCACAATGGCAAAGACATGGAATCAACCTAGATGCCCATCAACAGTAGACTGGATAAAGAAAATGTGGTACATATACATATGGAGTACTATGCAGCCATAAAAATTAATAAGATCATGTCCTTTACAGCAACATGGTTGGAGCTGGAGTTATTTTAAGTTATTCTAAGAAAACTAACCTAGGAACCAAAAACCAAATGCTGTGTGTTCTCACTTATAAGTGGGAGCTAAACATTG
Source organism: Homo sapiens (assembly GCF_000001405.40). Lineage (NCBI taxonomy): Eukaryota > Metazoa > Chordata > Mammalia > Primates > Hominidae > Homo > Homo sapiens. Next base: position 161,287,501 of record NC_000003.12, read on the forward strand.
GTACATATGGACACAAAGAAGGGAACAATAGGCACTGGGACCTACTTGAGGGTGGAGGGTGGGAAGCAGGTGAAGATCAAAAAACTACCTTGGATACCATGTTTATTACTAGGTGATGAAATAATCTATACACCAAACTCCTGCAACATGCAATTTACATATATTACAAACCTGCACATATACTCCTGAAACTAAGTGTTTTTCTTAAAATTAATGTAAAGATAGTTTGCTTTACATTCCTCTTACCACATGCAACAGGTCACATGCATCATAAAGAAAAGAAATAGGCCGGGTGTGGTGGCTCATGTGTGTAATCCTGGCACTTTGGGAGGCTGAGATGGGCAGATCGTTTGAGCCTGGGAGTTCGAGATCAGCCCGGGCAACATGGTGAAACCCAGTCTCAACCAAAAAAATAAAAAAATTAGCCAGGTGCTGTTGCATGCACCTGTAATCCCAGCTGCTTGGGAGGCTGAGGCAGGAGAATTGCTTGAACTTGGGAGGTAGATGCTGCAGTGAGCCTAGATCGCTCCACTGCTCTCCAGCCTGGGTGACAGAGCAAGACTTTGTCTAAAAAAAAAAAAAAAAAAAAAAAAAAAGTTAAGTGCTTTAAATGCCAAACAGTCAGCTATAGGATTTTGTTACCGAAGAAAGTCAAATGGAAGCACCTGACAGATGAAATCTGGAGATGGCTAAATAAAAGCAGTGACTGTAGAGATTTTCCCAGTGACCATACTTGACCAGGATCAGAAAACCTCAGGATCGGGAATCAGGCTTTCTTGGTCTTGCCTCCTGCTTTGCTGTGAAACCTGGGAATGTAGTTAGCCTCTCTGTCTTAACCTGTTTTTCTGTCTACCTCAATAGGGATTATGAATATCATACACAATGACAAATGGTAAAGTATCTTGAAAATGGAAACTTCTGTACTATTTAAGATGTTGTAGTTACTAATTAATTCTGGTTTATGATGCAGTTTAAATGAGGTTCATTTTTTATTGAAAATTGATTATTTCCTCTGTTATGATAGTATTCTATTGATAATATTTATTTAATCAAAACATCATTATTTGTCCACAGACAAATAGTAACAGTGCTGCCACTGGGGTCTAGGCAACCTGATTCACAACCTGGGGTACTTCTCCAGGGTCTTCAGGTCAACTGAATTTAGTGCTGCCTGGAACCTCACTTCCTCTTTAATTTTGCATAACTAGACTCTTGCCTAGTAGTGTTGCTATTATCTCTTCGAAATAGTGGAGAGACATGACTTATGGCTCTAATGTATTCTCATAGCTTCCTTACTGGTCATGGACTTTTTCTTCCCATATAGGCATAAGTATCTGGGCCCCAGCCTATATCCTAGAGATTATACAGATGGCTGCAGGTAAGCGGGTGTTCCCTAGTTAATGTCTACAACCATTTGTGTAGAATAGCCTGGATCTCCAGGGAGGCTCTCTTCTCTGGTGGCCTTGGGAGCTGGCAAAGTTACCACGGAGATCCTTGCCTGGAGTGATCGTGAGAGCCAGCCACACCAGAGGCTCAGGTGGTTCCAGGTTTTTTTTTTTTTTTTTTTTTTTTTTGAGAACGGAGCCTCGCTCTGTTGCCCAGGCTGGAGTGCAGTGGTGGTATCTCAGCTCACCACAACCTCCACCTCTCAGGTTCAAGCGATTCTCATGCCTCAGCCTCCTGAGTAGCTGGAACTACAGGCACGTGCCACCACACTTGGCTACTTTGGGTATTTTTAGTAGAGATGGGGTTTTGCCCTGTTGCCCAGGCTGGTCTGGAACTCCTGGCCTCAAGTGATTCGCACAAAGTGCTGGGATTACATGTGCGAAAAACCACACCCAGCTGGTTCCAGGCCCTCTCTAAGGCACCAGACTTTTCCATCTGCATTCTGACTCACATAGTCAGACTTAAATCCCCAGGGCCCACCAAGAATAGCCCAGAACTCCTTGAGGGAGCCCTAGAACTGACCAGTGTTCTGAGGCATCTTCCAGGCTGAGCTACATGAGCCATTAGCAGACCTTGGGTGAGAGCTAAAATTATCATAAGCCATGTGCTCCCCACTTATGTCCCGGGGTTCCTCTCGGGCATCTCCGGTGTGTTGTGGAGCATCTGTGATAGAGGACTGTTGTCAGCAATCAGCTCTGTCTGCCAGAGGGGCACCAGCAGCTCTTTTCTGAGGAGGAGGCTGTCCCTCAAAGAGTCTTAATTGTGAGGCCAATTTTATTCTCATCATTATACTTTCCTTTGAAATGGCTGTTTCCTATTTCAAGACCCAGCTCAAATGCTACTTTTTCCCCTGTAGGCTCCCAATTTGAACAGAATAATTGACTCCATAAAGTGCTGTCTGTGTGCCATAGCATTTTTTTTTATTTTGATATGGAGTTTCACTCTTGTTGCCCAGGCTGGAGTGCAAGTGCCATAGAATTTTATCTACATCAATAGTGAAACTAGCATTTTATCTACATCAATAGTGAAACTTAACACACAAGTATCTAAAATGTGTCTGCCTATGTCAATAACACGTTTATTGACTTAATTCCCTCAAAAAACAGTATGATGGAGATAAAAGACAGACATTCTATTTCTAATTATTTCCACAAATTTATTGAGAACCTACTAACAGGTTAGACACTGGCATGACCTGAAGATGCAATTATGAATAAGACACACATAATGCTTGCCTTCAGGGAGCTTTCAGTCTTTTCTACTTTCATGTCTTGATTCCTCAATTCATTTTTGCTTTCCCTGATAAATCAAATGTTGCTTCAGGTGGTGGTGAGCCAAGTCGGACTATTCCTTCTTGCTTACCTGAGAGGTGAATGAACATCCAGGGGAAGGGGCTGCTGCTGCTGGTGGTAGGAGAAGCAGCAGGTGGCTTGGCAGAATTATGTCCTCCTTCTGACTGCACTCATGATGATTGTAGCATGCCCAGTTTCTTCAGTTCTCTCCAACAGGAACCACAGATGATCTCAGTGGTGGCCTTGTGCATCTTGCTAATCACAGGTTGGGTCTTGTGAGTGTAGGCTTGATCTCCTGGAGTAGGTACCCAGAATGGATAGAGCCAGGGGGCAACAGGAGGCCAAACCAAAAAAGCCAAGTCCATTTCAGATCCAATGGGATGAATAGTGAGGGGCAAATTTCTAAGTTTAGAGGTGATATTGGACAAGGATGAAGCTTGTTGTTGTAGGAGAAGCTGGAGATTAAGAGTTAGGTAGTTAGTGGATCCAAGAGTTTTGTGGTAAAAAGAACTGGGATGTCCAGAGCTCTCTGTTCTTGAATTTCTGGGATTACTTAAAGAGACAGGGCTATGGTCAGGCACGGTGGCTTGTGCCTGTAATCCCAGCACTTTGGAAGGCCGAGGTGGGAGAATCGCTTGTGCTCAGGAGTTCAAGCTCAGCCTGGGAAGCATAGCAAGACCTGGCCTCCACAAATAATTTACAAAATTAGCTGGGCATGATGGCATGCGCCTGTAGTTCCAGCTACTCAGAAGGCCGAGGCAGGAGGATTCCTTGAGCACTGGAGGTCAAGGCAGCAGTGGGCTAATACTGTGCCACTGCACTTCAGCCTGGGTGACAGAGCAAGACTCTGTCTAAAAGAAAAAAAATACAAGGCTAGGTCAGACAGTGGTGTGTAGTTCTGTGGGCACAAACAAAGAATCATAAAATGTAGTCCTTGCCCCTTAAGGAACCTATATTCTAGCTGTGAAAGAATAATCACACTTTTAAAAAAAGAATGGAGTAAGATGAGATTACATTTAATCAAAGACTAGAGTACTAGAGTACAGGTGTTTGTAGAAGAGGGTTGGGTCAATGTGAGCTAAAGGCTTGGGAAGGTCTTGTGTGCCTCAGGGCACAGGCAGGGTTCAGAGATCCTGGCTCATTCACAGCCAGCAATACATGTCATATAGTCACCTCCCATGCTAGAAACCGCAGTGAAGTCTGTGCCCAGGCTACAATTAATGTGAACAAAGCTAAGGACAACAGTAGAATGCTCAGAAGAATGCCATCTTGACCTCAGTCAATTCAACTTTCTCTTTCTGAATACTGTACGAAGAAATCTCAATTATCATGAAAATATTCCCGGCTCTCATAGTTGAGTATGGGAAAGCCAAGAGCTCCCCAAACCCTATTGTGTGGCAAGGAGTGGTGGACAAAAATGGTTGCCTCAGATGCAAGGTTGGCATTTTGCCACATTTGGATGGCACAGGTGGATAGGCCTTTGGGTCTGGGCAAATTTCCCAGCTCCACCTGGGGTCTGACTCACGCTGCCTGCCTGCAATGCCCTTTCTGTGGCATGTTTTCTGTTCTGCTAGATTACCTTTCACTGGTTGAAAAGACAACCTCTCATCACTGAGATTGAAATGTTTAAAAAGACGACATCTCACCACTGAGACTGCAGGCATGCATCTCTTGGTACTAGATGGAGCCCTGTGTCTCCTGGTGTCTCTCCTCAGAGCACACACCTCCCCCAGTTGTGCACATGTCATTCTTGCACTTGTGTTAGGAGGCATGGAATTTTGAGTTTCTTGAGGCATGAAGGAAGATGTGCTCATCAATAACTGTCTTCCCTGCCTTTGCTTTGCCAGTAGGAGAGAGCTGGATAATAAAACTTGTGATTTATTTGGACCAACTGCATTAGGAATTAACAGTGGTGATTTAATTCCAGTAATGCTTGACCTCTTCTTCTGCATTTTGTCTGTTTCTTCAAGCTGTGCCCCTGCTATAAGTGACTGATAATCACTAATTCTAAACTTGCTTAAAGAGTATAAAAGGGGCTGTGTGCAGTGGCTCATGCCTGTAATCCCAGCACTTCAGGAGGCTGAGATGGGTGGATCGAGACCAGCCTAACCAACGTAGTGAAACCCCGTCTCTTCTAAAAATACAAAATTAGCCTGGTGAGGTGGCGCATGCCTGTAATCCCAGCTACTTTGGAGGCTAAGGCAGGAGAATCGCTTGAACCTGGGAGGCGGAGGTTGCAGTACCGGAGATTGTGCCATTGCACTCCAGCCTGGGCAACAAGAGTAAAACTCCATCTCAAAAAAAAAAGAGTATAAAAGGGTACATGTCACCTGAAATCTCAATAGAATTTTATTTGTCACCACATAATTTTGTAAGACTTTCAAAATATTTCCTGAATTATTACCACATGATTGAAAAGTCCAGACAACTGGCTGGCTCATTTTTTGACTGACTGACTTACCTTTACAAGTGTTTTGAGGGGACCTTGCAATTGTAAAGTGATGAGTTTGTTGGTCAATTAATTAATTATTTTAACACGTTTATTGAGTATCTATTCTGTCATGCTCTGTTCTAGCTGTTGGGAATAGAGCAGTGTATAATACGGAAACCTGCCCTCGTTTAGGGGAGACAGATAAATAGAAAACAAAGGAAAGAAAGTAACTGGTGATTTGAGCATGAGAAGTACTGTGGAGAAAAATCAGGGAAGGGCATGTAGGCTGCTTGTTTGGGAAAGCAAGTAGGAAAAACATTTCAGTTTTGAATATTGTTGTATGGAAAGGCATTGCTGAGAAAATGACATTAGAGCTGTCAACCTAAATAACAGAGAGGCTTTCTAAGAGAAAATGGTATTTATTTGGGAAGAGAGCATTGCAATGGGAATATAACTGCCATGGTAAACTATGTGTGCATTCAGGAGATAAAGGCAGACATGGGTTTTTTAAGGGAAAAATGAGGAGGGTTACATAATTTTTTTTGCTTGTTTTTTGAGACAGAGTCTCACTCTTTTGCCCAGGCTGAAGTGCAATGGCCCAATCTATAAAGTAGTTATAACTACCTTATATCCTTTTAGAAATGGGGAGTGATGGATGAATACAAACACAATTTAAAAGAAACTGCAGTGTACTTAGTAGCCTGGAACTGGGAAGAAAGTAGCCATGGCTTTGGAAAAAGCCACCCTCCAGCTTGACCTTGCAAGATGAGGATTCCCATTTCTTCACTCTCCCTGCCGCAGCCTTTCTCCTCTTGCTTGTATTCAGGGTTCCCTCTGGAGCTGGGGGAGGAGGAAAGAAGCAGGATTCTCTGAATCCTCAGCCCTGACTACTGCAGCCCATGTGGCCACATAGCATGGTGGTTAGGAGCACGGACTGAGATCAGACAAACAGTTCATACCCTGACCACCTGGGGTCTGAGTTCTCAGCTCCATCTGTAAAATGAAGATAAAAAATAATAGCTACCTATTAAGAAGGAGGAGGATTAAGTAGGATAATGTCCACAGATAAAATGCATAGCACAGAGCTGATACATATAGACACTATGAATGTCTTGCCTGTTATTTTTATTATTTGACATTCTTTAATTTTGAAAAGACACACTGGACTTGATTAAGATCTGGCTCTTCATTGTCTCCAGTCAAATGTCCTGTGGCGACTCTCTGTGGTACTGACCCTTCACATCTTGGTTTGATATGGCTTACTGCAAATAAAACAAAACCAATATGAATAGTGAATAAATCCAACAACCACAGCCAGCTTTCCACTTCCTAAAAACCTCAGTAATGCTAAGGATGGGGCCACACAGAGATGCAAGGAAGAGAGGACAGTGAGGAGGGAGCTGCATCAGGAACTACCTGTACTTTGTAACCTCATCCCCCTCCTCCCAATACCTGTGAGCACTTCTTCAGGTTCTGTTAGTAGAAAATGATGTAGCCAAAGAGGATTGAAAAGTCCAATTAAATATATTTTACTTAATTGTGTTAGAATAAAAGAAAGGTTTTTTCAAAAAGCTCACGTGTTTGGTAATTTTTTTTTCACCATATAAACATGTTGAACCACTGACCTTTGTGCAGAGAGAGGGTACAGTGGAGGGAGTGTATGGCGGTGGACTCCCAGGTGCAGGCTGTATAAACTTTGGTCAAGTCTGAAGCTTCTACATCTGTAAAATGGGGAGAACATTTTCCTCACAAGGCTGTTGAGAGGATTGAGGCACGTGGTGTGTGGGAAGGGTCCTAGCCAGAATAGGTTTTTAATGATGTTAGTGTGATTTTTTTGAAGCCCTTTCTTCAATTTTTTCACTTTTTTTGCCACATCATTGGAACTGCTTAATTATTCAGGATTTTTATATCGAGTTTATGGATTATGGAAGCCCTTTGCTAATAGGTTTATCTCCTGATGACTTTTAAAACTGCAATATAACTGCATATCAGCATGTCAATTATGAGAAACAGCAAACAATTCAACATCGATACTGCTGAATGCCTTGGTAAAATGGTTTTTATAAAAAGGAGTTTGAAAGTATAGTTAAAATATAACTTCATGTTTTTAATGTTTATTTGACCTATGGACATAGTTTGCAAGTTGATAGTTTTTCTCACTTTTAAAGTTTTTTTTTCTGATTATGCACTTATCACAAAAATGTGAAGATCAGAATAAAATCACCCATAATCTTATTGCCAAGAAATAACCACTTGTAACTTAATTTTTTCCCTTTGATATGCATAGCTCTTTATATGACTTTTTCCACTTAAAAGTATATCTTAAGTATTTTCCCAAATTACTAACATTGAAATTGCTTTCATAATGGATGTACTGTGATCTACATAATTATTTTCCTAATTTAGACAATAAAGTTTGCCTAAGCTTCTTCACAAGAAATGCTTTTGAATGTGAGCTTTTGTCTGCATTTCTAATTAATACCTGAGCGTGAATTCCTAGGAGTAAAATTATTGGGACAATCTTATTTATTAATTGTGGTGTAACAAACCACCTTAAAACTTAGTGACTGAAAACAACACTAATAATTTATTTGCTCCCAATTTTGCAATTTGGGAAGGGCTCTTTGGGGACAATTTGTCTCTGTTCCACATAATGTTAGCTGAGGTGACTTCACTGGGGCTGGAGACCCACTTCCAAGATAGCTCACTGATACAGCTGACAAACTGATGCTGGTTGGTGGCTGGAGGCATTGAGTGCCCTCCAGATGGACTTCTCTACTGGGTTCCAGGAGAGAGGAAGTGGAAGCTGTTAGTTCTCTTAAAGGCTAGGCACAGAACTGGCAGAGTGCCTTCCACCATGCTCCATTGCTCAAAGTGGTCACAGGCCAAATTCCAGAGTGTGGTTAAAATAGGCCACACCTCTTTCCAGGGGATGGGTCAAAGAATTTGTGGCCATAATGAATTTACCACAAAGAGCATATTGTTGAAGGGTCTTTATGCATATTAGCAAATCACTTTCCAGAAAGGTTGTCTATCATTACACTCACCTACATTAAATATTAAAAATTTTAAAAATCTCTACTTATTCATTTGGTGAAATGTGGGATCTCATTGTTTTACTTTGAACTTACCTAGTGCACTTACACAGACTTGATAAAAATTTATATTTCTTCCTTTGTGTAAGAAAGAAATATAAATTTCATTTTTGGAGTCAATTTGTTTAAGTGTTAACAATCTTATAGAATTACAGGAGTTGTTTATATGTATTATTGACATTAAGAATGTGTCACAGTTGTAAGTATTCCTTTCAGTTTTCTTAATTAAAAATAAAAAACCTCTTCCTCTTAATTGAGAAAAAATTAGACAAAACAATTTCCTATTAAATTCACATGATCTTATGAGTCCGGCTGCCGTGCATTGATCTCAAAACAATGATATATGTTTTACATTTTAATAGAATCTTTTAAGTCAATTTCAGTTTTACTCATCTAACATGTCACCAGAAACCCAGAAATTAGTATGATTTATTAATTATCTTTATTTTGGAGGGACTGAATCCAGAAAGTTTGGATAAGTTTATCAGAATAAAAATGGAGGAACAAAAAACTGTGTCATCATCCCTTAATTTGCTCTTTGTACCTTAACTGGTGGGAAAGCCTCTAAACCTCCCTGAGCCTCACATTTTTAAACTGTAAAGTAGGGTAATAGCAGGGACACTGTGAGGCTTACAGAAGATATTTATGAGGGGCCTAACATGTAATGGTATGTAGTGGGCACCATCATTACTCACCTAAGTTCTCCGTTGTGAACCTAGGAAACGCCTTATTTCCAGAATATCAGAGTAAGTTCTACAGATGGCTTTCCAGGGGGGAATTTGGGTTGTATGAGTGCTGTTATCCAGCCCACCTCAGTTGGTGTCCATTAGTCGGTGGTAGTCGGCACCACATGGTGTGTTGCACAGGGATGCAAACTCGATGCCTTGCCCTAATGGCACATCACTAATGTCAGGCCACAGCTGGAGCAACTGTCTCTGGGATTGTATGATACACTCCTTGAGAATGACTCTTGAGGAGCTTCTTGGAAGAATTTGATGTCCAATCTTAATATTCTGAGAGTTCCATGCTAGTATTGTGACTAATTATACCTTATACCACTTGCGTGCCACTTGATAGTTTTCACAGGACTTTATGTGTTTTTGTCTTCTTTGATCTTCACAGCCATCCTGGGAGGCCAGCCATTCAGATATTATTTCCCTGTTTTACTCACGAGAAAGTCAAGGCTTGAATGGGTTATGACTTGCCTAAAGTTACAAAGTGAGGAAGTGCCAGTCCCAACACCAGATGGCTCCCACAGGCCCCATCCAGAGCATTTCTATTTGATTGTATGCTGCCTAACTCCCCACCGAGGACATAGTAACAGATGGCCCTGAAATGAGGAGGTCTACAGGATGGATTGTTTTTCTCTTTTGCATTAAAATGGGTTTGCAGAGTGTAGTAGCCAGTGTGGATTCTGGAGTCATCTGGAGTCATTGTCTGCATTTGGATGCTGGCTTTATCACTTAGCTCTGTACCCTTTCTTGCAAAAGGAACTCAGATAAAACAAATGTAACTTTCTGAAGTTTTAAGACCAGAAAGGTCAATTTCTATGTTTATTCAAAAGAAACTTAACCTCTCTATGCCTCAGATACTCCATCTGTAAAATGAGAATAACACTGGTAGCTAACTCATAGGACAGTTGGGGGATTACATTAGAACATCTATGCAAAACAAAAGCACAAGGCCCAGAACCATAGTAAACACTAACTAAAGCCTCAGTTCTTTCTTGGTATGATCTGTGAAACCTTCAAAATGTCTGTGCTACTGGCCTTTCACTATGCTTTGTACTTCAGGCATTGGCTTCAGGAAGGCTCTGTTAAAAGAGAACCATCCTCCATGAGACAAGACCTGTCCTTTCCATGGGAGAGGCAGTCATTGACAAGTGTCCTCCAACACATTTTCCCAGTTTATCATATTGGCACTGAAGGAACACTCAGGTAAGTATTAATTGCCTTGAGATTAAAAAAGGAATTCAGCCATTAACCACTCTTAACATTTTGTTGTATTCACTGCCCATTTTATATAACCACTTAAAACTGGAATCATATCGTGTAAAGATTTTTTGTCACTTGTTTTCTTTACTTCGTGTTTATATTATCTTTACATCTTCTTACTAATAAAAAAAACTTGCTTTCACAGTTGCATTGGATTCCATATGTGGAGTTACTATTATTTATTACCAATTTGGTATATGGGACAGTTAGTTTTATTTTCCTGTTGTAAGTAATGCTATAGTAAACATCCTTCTACACACATCTTTGAGATGTTCTGTCTTTATATCCTTAGAATAAATTTCTAGAAGTGTAATAACTAATTCAAAGAGTATATGCAGTTTGAGAAATATTGCTGAACTGCCTCTTAGAAAGTTTTAATTATTTACTACTCCCACCAACAGTATATGTCAGTATCAGGGAGCAATTCATTCCAGCCCTTCCACATTCTCTCATAACCAACTGTTCTTCCCACCCTTCATTCTAAATGTAGTCCTCTATGAAGCCTCTACTTTAGATCAGCCCTTGGTTCCAGCTACATTGTTTCATTTAGTGTCTCCTAAACATCCTCTGTGGGCACCCTCTCTAGGACTTTGCCTTTTTTTTTTATTTCTGGAAATGTCTTCTTCCTCTTATCTCTGCATCATAGATCCTTAATTCAAGTCCTAATTCATATGTAAACTTTCCTGATTGTCTGACTTAGTAAATTACCTCACCCCTGAAATCTCTCAACCCTACATTGTACTCTGTCTTCATCAGTCATTTGGTACTCATCACATGCTGCCTTATCTGTGAATTAGCTTTGTATGCATTCCTATATTGGTTTCTGAAGGACTTGTATAGAACAGAATTACACTTAAAAATTCTTTGTATTGGCTGGGTGCGGTGGCTCACACCTGTAATCCTGGCACTTTGGGAGGCCACCTGAGGTCAGGAGTTTGAGACCAGCCTGACCAACATGGAGAAACCCCATCTCTACTAAAAATACAAAATTAACCAGGTATGGTGGTACATGTCTGTAATCCCAGCCATTCAGGAGGCAGAGGCAGGAGAATCACTTGAACCCTGTTGGTGGAGGTTGTGGTGAGCTGAGATCACACCACTGCACTCCAGCCTGGGCAACAAGAGGGAAACTCCGTCTCAAAAAATAAAAAAATCCCTCGTATTGTTACTGAAATGCCAGGGGTTTGTTCTAGGTCCTACTGCTCACTGCACAGAAAGCTAGTCATTGAGACCATGAGTATTGCCAGGGAAGAAGGCTTAATCAGGTGCTGCAGCCGAGGTGATGGGAGATCAATCTCAAATCCATCACCTTGACCAACTAAAATCAGGGGTTTATATAACATGGAAGAAATGTAACTACATGCAGGAAAACATGAACTCAGGAGGCATAAAGAAGAGGAGTTGGTCAAGAGGCAGCAGGTGGTCAGTTAGGCAGTCATGATGAGTGAAGGGACTGGCTTCTCATTGTTTGGCTGTGTTGATCTGGTAAGTGTCAGTTCCTTGATACCATCTGGGAGGACTTATGGTTGGTTTCTTGTGAAAGGAACTCAGATAAGACAAATGTAACTTTCTGAAGTTTTAAGACCAGAGAGTCAATTTTTATGTTTATTCAAAAGAAACCATAAACATAAGTTCTGTGGGGACAGTTGGGCCGGTTTCAATATCACTCATAACATACATAAACGTGGCTTTGTGTATAACTACACTGTAATATATACGCATGTATAATGTGTATAATAGAACTCCAATGAGGGATCATAATGAAAACTTAAATTGCCTTTTGGTTAACTGCCCTACCAGATCAGACCCTTTCCATTGTTCCAGTCATCAACAAAAAACAGACATCTAGGAGGCTTAGATACTCAGTCTTCTTGAACTTAAACCTCCAGTGTATTATGCTTATCTAAATAAAAAATGATAGGGACTCTTTTTCACATAGCACTTAGGGAATAGCTGGATTCAATTTTAAATCATAAAATTGTAATAAGAATAATCTGGTCAATGTCTAGAATCAGGAATCAAAGCCAATTTGACAAAGGACATATGTACACAAACAATGAAACTAAATATCAATCTTATAAAATATTTAACCTGAAAGATGTAGGAAATCTTAATACTGTTAGTGATAAAAAATGATAGCTCTTTCAAGAAATGCTGAGATTGGGCCAGGTGTGGTAGCTCACGCCTGTAATCCCAGCACTTTGGGAGGCCTAGGAGAGTGAATAACCTGAGGTCAGGAGTTCAACACTAGCCTGGCCAACATGGTGAAACCCTGTCTCTACTAAAAATACAAAAAATTAGCTGGGCATGGTGGCGTGTGCCAGTAATCCCAGCTACTTGGGAGGCTGAGGCAAGAGAATCGCTTGAACACAGGAGGCGGAGGTTGCTGTGAGCCGAGATCACGCCGTTGCACTCCAGCCTGGGCAACAAGAGTGAAACTCTGTCTCAAAAAAAAAAAAAAAAAAAAAAAGGAAATGCTGAGATTGAACAAATGTTCAATAAGTCACATTATGTATATAAGTAGGTACATAATGCAAACATGCCACAAGAAGCTAAAAATTCTATAATTCCATTAATTCCACAGTGCATTTAGAGATAACAATTGCTCTTCATCATTGGTTTTAAATGATCTAGTTAATATTACTGTCAATCTTATAAGATAAGGAATATGAAAAGGTAGTTATGTGACATTTACAATCTTACAGTTTATAGACACAGTTTATAGAGTACATCATCCCACTGGAGTATCATGACCATGCTTTCAGCTAGGCATTAATTGTACAAATAAATAATTGGAAATTCAAGGTGGTTAAAAACTTGGTTAAAGCCATACAACCAATAAGTGGGGTCCCCAAATCTTGCACCTGGGTTTGTTTGGTTCTCAGTGTAGTATGCACTCCCCTGTAACCTGTGCTTCTACTGCATATTAAGAGCGAGTTTCAGGTTCAGAAGCCTTGCCCTGCATCAGGGTCTTTACAGTGGTAGTTCTCTCTGCCTGGACTGTTCAGCATGCAGATGTACACATACTTGTCTCACTCCCTTACGTCCTTAGTTCTCTGCTCAAATGTTGCTTTATTTGTGAGTTCTTTCTTAACTAGTTACGATACTAATAATCCCCATCTCTCCACACTTACCTAAGAATTTCTTCACTTTTTTTCTTGCTTTATTTTTTCTCAAAGCACCTATCACCATATGACATATTATATATTTACTTGCTAACAATAGCATGTAAGATCCATAAGGACAGGAATATTTATTCTGTGCCCTACTGTATCTCAGCCCTAGAGCAGTGTGGGCACTTAGCAGGCATTCAGTAAATATCTGTAGGATATAAGCAAGTTAAAAAAATAAATTCATGTACTTTCAAGTTTGAATTTGTAGCAGAACATTGGTATTGGTATTGCAGTTAGTCAGGTATGAATTCAGAAATGAAGCAGCAATTGAGCAGGGAGCTAAGGAGGTTGAGGGAGTGAGACAAGACATAGATGTCTGCGTGATGAACAGTCCAGGCAGAGAGAACTGAAAATGTAGAGATGCTGAGCTGGGATAAGGCTTCTAGGGCAGTGTAGTCTGAACTGCCTGATTTCTAGCTCTGAGTTCTTCATCCATCCATTTATTCATTCACCATGCTTTGCTTTTCTTCATACCCCTTATCACCACCCAAAACTTGATTTTATATATATATAAAAATGATGTATTTATACATCATATATATATACATATGTATTCTTATTTGTCTTCCTCCTTATTTCATTCTAATATAAGCTCCAAGAGGGCAGGGGCTTTGCCTTGTAAAATGCCACACCTTCACATTGAGAACAATGACATAAAATAGGAGTCCAATAAATATCTTTTATTAAATAAATAATTAATTAATATATTAATTTAAAAACATTTGTTGAGCACCTACTATATGCCTGGCATAAGCTTTGTCTTTAATTTCACGAGAGAGAAAAATGAGTCAACAGAAAATTGCAGCACAGGTAAGATCTGCCATGGAAGGGGGAACACTGCTATAGGGACTCCTAACCCAGCTGTGAAGGGTCAGGAGAACTTTAAAGGCAGGATTATCCTGAGCTAAGCTTGAAGAATGACAGCACTTGCAAAGGGGCCGGGCCAAGCAAGGACAGGCAAAATCTTAGAAGTGGAAACATTTTGATATGGTGGCAGGCTGGGACTCAGGGTTGGAGGAGAAGTGTCCAGAGGAAGCCGGAAAGCCAAGGGGTTCATATGACATGCAGGCCCATTGGACTTTATTCTGAGCTCAATGGAGAAATCTAAGCAGGGATTCGACATGAGCAGATTTTCTTTATTATCCCACTGTTAGCATTTGAAAGGAAGGACAAGGTAGCAAAAATCAATCTTCATATCAGATCCACAAAGTCAGTAAATTGTAGGTTTGACACAACGAATGAGCTCTTCAGTTGGTTAGGCACAGGCATGAGATGGGACTTTACTTCCCAATTAACCTTTAGCCTGGCTGGCGAAGAAACCCACTCCTAGGCCCAGCCTTCCATAAATGGGGACTGAAATGTCCTATGATCAGGTGGAGACAGCCTAACCCCTGTACAAGCTCTTGGTGACAGTTTGTGGGTGTCTTTGAAAAGCTTGACAGAGGCTTTCTCTCTAATGTAAAAAATGAAGTGAAGCTGTGAAATTGAAATATCTTGAAAAGCTAGTAATTCATACGCTAGATAATTCTAGAGTAACAGAAAGATAAAACTCCTTTCTTAAATTATGCATATGATTTAAAATAATACATGCAAATATTACATTTAATACTTAAAATATTTTTTTTTTCTTGATTGCCCTCCGTTGCCAGGCTGCGGTGCAGTAGCATAGTCTCGGCTCACTGCAACCTCCGCCTCCCAGGTTCATGCCATTCTCCTGTCTCAGCCTCCAGAGTAGCTGGGACTACAGACGCCTGCCACCATGCCCAGCTAATTTTTGTATTTTTAGTAGAGAAGGGGTTTCACCATGTTGGCTAGGATGATCTCCATCTCTTGATTTTGTGATCTGCCCATCTTGGCCTCCCAAAGTGCTGGGACTACAGGCGTGAGCCACTGCGCCCCGCCAGAAGATTTTTTTAAGCAGTAAGGTGGGTAAGCAGAAAACAAAAGTGGTAATATAAATTGACTTTCATCAAATGTCTAGTTTCTTGAGACCTTATGCCAAATATGTGTCAGCAAGGTCGACCTCTACTTGAGTATAATAGAGAGAGAAATATTAGGGGGCCTGAGAATGTATGTTAGGGCAGGGAGATATGTGCCTATGGGGGAAAACTCCAGCACAGTGAGAGAAAAGACCTGGTGAAGAGTAGGTATCCATTTATTCAGCTCACCTTTGGTTGGATGTTGGCCCTATGTGTGAAAAGCACAGTGTTAACTATATACCTACCAAGATAAAGGGTGTGTAGTTGAATGGTTGCATATATTTGTACATGCAACTATTTTTTTTACATTCAACTTTTTTTTTGATTGAGTGCAACTCACATAACATAAAATTAACTATTTTAAAGTGAATAATTCAGTGGCATTTAGAGCATTCACAATGTTGTACAACTGCCATCTCTATTTCCAAACACTTTTATTTCCCTAAAGGAAATCCTGTATCTGTTAAGCAGTTGCTCCCTATTCCTCCTTCTTACCTGGCCCTGGTAATCATCAATCATCATTCTATCTTTATGAATTTACCTATTCTGGATATTGGTTTGCCTCTGTGTCTCCACCCAAATATCACCTTGAATTGTAATAATCTCCACATGTCAAGGGCAGGACCTGGTGGAGGTAATTGAATCATGGGGCAGTTTCCCCCATGATGTTCTCGTGGTAGTGAGTGAATTCTCACAAGATCTGATGTCTTCATAAGTGGCACTCATTTTTCTCTCCTGCTGCCCTGTGAAGAGGTGCCTTCTGCTGTGATTGTAAGTTTCCTGTGGCCTCCCCAGCCTTGCAGAACTGTGAGTCAATTAAACCCCCTTTCTTTATTCCACTGAATGGAATAATTCAGTGGCATTTAGTACATTCACAGTGTTGTACAACTGCCATCTCTATTTCCAAACACATTTACTGCCCCAAAGGAAATCCTATATTTGTTAAGCAGTTGCTCCCTATTCCTTCTTCTCTCCCGGCCCTCGTAACCACCAATCATCATTCCATCTCTATGAATTTACCTATTCTGGATATTTCAGACAAATAGAATTACATAATATGTCACCTTTTGTGTCTGGCTTCTTTCTCTTAACATAATGATTTTGAGGTTCATTTACCTTGTAGCATGTATTAGTACTTCATTCCTTTTTATGGTTGAAAATATTGCATTGTATGTGTATGCCACAATTTGTTTTTGCATTCACCTGTTGATGGACATACATGCTGTTTCTACTTTTTGGGTATTGTGAATAGTGCTGCTATGAACATATGTGTACATGCACTTATTTGAGTACCTGTTTTCAATTCTTGCCAGTATCTACTGCCCAACTGATTTTGTTTGACAAAGAAGTGAAGCAATGGAGAAAGTGTAGTATTCTCAACTAATGGTGCTAGAGCAATTGGGCATCTATAGACAAAAAAATAAACCATGACCTAACCATGATACCTCATATTAATATTAATCCAAAATGGATCATGAATTTAAACATAAAATGTAAAACTATACAAACTCCTAAAAGAAAACATAGGGAAAAATCTTCTAGACCTAGGGCTAGGTGAACAGTTCTTAGATATGACATCAAACACACCATCCATAAAAGGCAAAGTTAGTAAATGGGTCTGTAAAAAATTTAAAATGTTTGTGCAGCAAAATAATCTGTTAAGAGTAAGAAAAGACAAGTTACATAGAAAACATTTACAAACCACAAATTTGACAAAGATCTTATATCTAGACTGTACAAAGAACTTTCAAACTCGACAGGGAAAAACCAAACAGTCCAACTGGAAAATGCACAAAAGACTAGAACAGCTATTTCACCCAAGAAGAGAAACAGATGACAAATAAGCTCATAAAAAGATGTTCAACATTATTAGCTGTTAGGAGAAGGCAAATTAAAACCACAACAAGATATCACTATTCACCTGTCAGATGAGGCAAAATAGTGATCCTACCAAATGCTGGAGAGAATGCAGAGAAACTAGATTTCTCATACATTGTTAAGAATGTCTAGTGGCACAGCTACTGTGGAAAGATATTTGGCAGTTTCTTGTAAATCAAAACATGTACTTACCATAATGACCCAGCAATTGCACTCTTGAGCATTTATCCCAGAAAGATGAAAACTTAGGTTCACACAAACATCTGTAAACAAAAGTTTCTAGCAGCTTTGCGATAGTCTCAAACTGGAAACAGCCAAACTCTAGTAAATCTATACAGTAGAATATTACTCAGCAATAAAAAGAAATGAACTGTTGATACATGCAACAATCTGGATGAATCTCAAGGGCATTATGCTGAGTGAAAAAAGCCAATTGCAAAAGGTTACTTACATACTGTATAATTCCATTTCTATAACATTTTCAAAATGACAAAACTACAGTGACAGGCATGGGGAGTGGGTGTGAAGATAAAAGGAGAATATGGGGGATTTCTTTGTGGTGATGGAACAGTTCTGAGTCCTGATTGTGGTGGCCATATAAATATATACATGGGATAAAATTGCACAGAACTAAACACACACACACACATGCACACACACACACAAAAATAAGTGAGCACATGTAAAAACTGGTGAAATTAAACAAAGTCTATGGTCTAGTTAACAGAATTATACCAAAGTCAATTTCATGTTTTGATATTGTATATCAGCTGTCACCACTAGGGGGATGCTGGGGAAAGACTGCAATGACTATTTTGCAACTTCCTGAGAATCTATAATTATTTCAAAATAAAGAGTTAAAAAGAAACTAAGTGGTGCTTGGGGATGATGGGATCACACTTGTAATCCCAGCATTTGAGGAGGCTGAGGTAGGAGCATTACTTGAGGCCATGAGTTCGAAACTAGCCTGGGCAATATAGTGAGGTCTGTCTTTATAAAAACAAACAAAAAACCAAAACAAACAAACAAAAAACAAAGCCAGGTGTGATGGGGGCACACCTGTAGTCCTAGCTACTTGAGAGACTGAGGCAGTAGGATTACTTGAGCCCAGGTTTTTTTTTTTTTTTCTTTTTTTTCTTTCTTTTTTTTTTTTGAGATAGAGTCTTGCTCTGTTGCCCAGGCTAGAGTGCAGCGGTGGGATCTTGGCTCACTGCAACCTCTGCCTCCTGGGTTCAAGTGAATCTTGTGCCTCAGCCTCCTGAGTAGCTGGGATTACAGGTGCATGCCACCACACCTGGCTAATTTTTTTTTTTTTTTGTACCTTTAGTATAGATGGGGTTTCACCATATTGGCCAGGCTGGTCTCGAACTCCTGATCTGAAGTTATTCACCCCCCTTGGCCTCCCAAAGTGTTGGGATTACAGGCGTGAGCCACCGCGCCCAGCTGTGCCCAGCGGTTTGAACCTGCAGTGAGCCATGATTGCACCATTGAACTCCAGCCTGCGTGACGGAATGAGTTCCCATCTCAAAACAAAACAAACTAGAAATTAGGTGGCGAGTTAAAAATGCTCATGAGGCTGGGCGCGGTGACTCACATCTGTAATCCCAGCACTTTGGGAGGCCGAGGAGTGCGGCTCATTTGAGGTCAGGAGTTGGAGACCAGCCTGACCAACATAGTGAAACCCTGTCTCTATTAAAAATACAAAAAAAAAAAAAAAAATTAACCGGACATGGTAGCACATGCATGTAGTTCCAGCTACTTGGGAAGCTGAGGCAGGAGAATTGCTTGAACCTGAAGGCCGAGGTTGTAGTGAGCCGAGATTGAGGCACTGCACTCCAGCCTGAGCGACAGCAAGGCTCCATCTCAACAACAACAACAACAACAACAACAAATTCTTATGAAAGTTCTAGGATATACCTGTATTTTATTAATACTTTGAATAAAGGCAACAATGATTTTGAACATAAAAACAGAAGTGTGATATTAGGCTTTGCTGAGCTTTCTCGGTAAGAGGAAGTCCTTGTCTTTTGAGTGCCTGGTGGAGTAGGGAAGATAGTTTGGTAAATGGCACATTGTCTACTGGGAGGTAAGGAGATATAAGCAAACACTTATGATCCCTGAATCAAATGAACTGAGTAATTCCAAGCAAAGTGTGGCAGGAATTTAGAGGAAGGAGATTTTATAGTGGCCTGAATGGCCAGGGAAATATTTCCTGGAGGAGGTGACTTTTAAAGTGACCCTTAAAAAATGGATTTGATTTAGAAGATGAGAAAGAGAATAGGGAAAGCTTCCATGGATGTCTTAGATTTTTTTGGGTTACTATTTTCTTATCAAACTTCTACTTTATCTCAAAGCTTATTCTTTTATGCCTTTAGCCTCTGAAGCTGGATGTATCTAGGCATACAGCTTCAGAGGAGGTGTGCAGGCATACCTTGTTTTATTGCACTTCACAGATGTGTTTCTTACAAATTGAAGTTTTATGGCAAACCTCCATTGAGCAAGTCTATTGGTGCCATTTTCCCAACAGTATGTGCTCACTTTGTGTCTCTGTGACAAATTTTGGTAATTCTCAACATATTTCAAACTTTAAAATTATTATTGTATCTGTTATGTTGATCTGTGATCAGTGATCTTAGATATTCCTATTATAATGATTTCGGGGCACCATGAACTGTGACCGTATAAGACAGTGAACATAATTGATAAATGTTATGTGTGCTCTGACTGCTCCATTGACTGGCCCTTCTCCTATCCCTCTTCCTTTCCTCAGGCTCCCTATTTTCTGAGACAAAACAGTAATGAAATTATGCCTGTTAGTAGCCTTACAATGGCTGCTAAGAGTTCAAGTAAAAGGAAGAGTCCCATCTCTCACTTTAAATCAAAAGCTAGAAATGATTACACTTAGTGAGAAAGGCATGTTGAAAGCCAAGACAGGCCAAAAGCTAGGCCTCTTGAGCCAAACAGTTAGCTGACTTGTAAATGCAAAGGAAAAGTTCTTGGAAATCAGAAATGCTACTCCAATGAACACAAACGATAAGAAAATAAAATGCCTGATTGTTGATATGGAGAAAGTTTCAGTGGTTTGGATAGAAGATCAAACTGGCCACAACATTTCCTTAAGCCAAAACCTAATTCAGAGCAAGGCTCAAACTCTCTTCAATTCTATGAAGGCTGAGAGAGGTGAGGAAGCTGCAGAAGGAAGGTTTGAAGCTAACAGAGCTTGGTTCAAGAGCTTTAAGGAAAGATGCCATCTTCATAACATAAAAGTACAAGGTGAAGTAGCAAGTGCTGATGTAGAAGCTGCAGCAAATTACCCACAAGATCTAGCTAAAATCACTGATGAAGGTGGTTACACTGAACAACAAATTTTCACTGTAGACAAAATAGCCTTCCATTGGAAAAAGATGCTTTTATAACTAGACAAGAGAAGTCAATGACTGGCTTCAAAGCTTCAAAAGACAGGCTGACTCTTGTTAGGGGCTAATGCAGCTGGTGACTTTAAGTTGAAGCCAATGCTCATTTACCATTCTGAAAAACCTAGATCATTAAGAATTATGCTAAGTCTACTCTGCCTGTGCTCTATAAATAGGACAACAAAGCCTGGATGACAGCACATCTGTTTACAGTGTGATTTACTACATACTTTAAGTCCATTGTTGAGACCTACTGCTCAGAAAAGAAGATTCCTTTCAATACACCCAATACACCCAGTCATCTAAGATTTCTGATGAAGATATACAAGGAGATGAATGTTGTTTTCATGCCTGCTAATATATTTATTCTTCAGTCCATGGATCAAGGACTAATTCAACTTTCAAGTCTTATTATTTAAGAAATACATTTTGTAAGACTATAGCTGCCATAGATAATGATTCATCTGGTGGATCTGGGCAAAATACACTAAAAAGCTTCTGGAAAAGATTCACCATTCTAGATGCCATTAACAACATTTGTGATTCATGGGAGGAAGTGAAAACATCATTAACAGGAGTGTGAAAGGCATTCATTCCAACCCTCATAGATGACTTTGCAGAGTTCAAGATTTCAGTGAAGGAAGTAACTGCTGATATGGTGGAACTAGCAAAAGAACCAGAATTAGAAGTGTAGCCTGAAGGTGTGACTGAATGGCTGTAATCTCATTATCAAATTTTAGCGGATGAAGAGTTGCTTCTTACAGACGGGCAAAGAAAGTGTTTTTTTGAGATGAACTCTACTACTGGTGAAGATGCTGTGAGCATTGTTGAAATGACAACAAAGAATTTAGAATATTACATAAACTTGGTTGATAAAGCAGTGGAGGGGCTTGAGAGGATTGACTCCAATTTTGAAAGGAGCTCTATGAGAGTAAAATGCTATAAACAGCAACACATGCTACAGCGAAATCTTTCATGAAAGGATGAATCAATCGAAGTGGCAAGCTTCATTGTTGTCTTATTTTATGAAATTTCCACAGCCACACCAACCTTTAGAAACCATCATCCGGCTTGGTCAGCAGTCATCAACATTGAGGCAAGACCCTTCCCCAGCAAAAAGATTGCTACTCAGTGGAGGCTCAGATTTTTTTTTTTAGCAATAAATTATCTTTTAATAAAGTATGTACATTGTTATTTTAGACATGGTGCTATTGCACATTTAGTAGACTATAATATAATGTAAACATAGCTTTTATGTGCTCTGGAAAACACAAAATTTATGTGGCTAATTTTATGGCAATATTCACCTTATTGCCATGGTCTGGAGCCAGACTTGCAATATCTTTTGGGTATGCCTGTATGATAAAAATGGACCATGGGGACTGGCACAAAATGTGCTTGCTTTGAAGCTTAAAGAGAGTTTAGAGTTAGTGTGTAGTTCTTCCAAGGGAACTTCTCTTTGGAATGGAGAGTACGACTTTAAGTTTTGAGTCCTACTGCCATTTCCTGGGAGGTAGTAAGCTGAAGTCATATAGCTGGAAACTCTGCCAAAATAAGATTATTTCTTCCACTATAGTGTTTTGTCAGGAAGAACTTGAAAAATGAATTGAAACTGGAAATCAAGTACAACTGACAATAAAGAATATTGCCCCATTAGGAACACAACAAACCATTTGCAGTTAATGGAGTCTTGATTCTGTATTTTCTTGTGTTTAAGTATTGGGCTCTAGCCCAGAGAAGCCAAATTCAAAAAAAACTAAATGCCAGATATGAATAGACCCTTGATCACAAGCAATTTATTTCAACATTTGTTGTAATGATGGACTTACATTTTACTTGGTCCTTTTTACTTAATTGGCAATTATTAACTCTCACATATTATTAACTAATAAAGTTATACGATCTTTCCAGTAACTAATTCATACTTTAGGAGAACATTGAAATAGCCATTTAAACTGTCTGTGGAGAAAATATGGCCTCACTGAACCAACTACTTGGGTGCCCTTTCAATTACAGCAAGACTCCCAGCCATTTAGGCTAAAAAGAGCTCTGGAGATTCCCTTATTCAATAGCCTCATTTCACAGATGAGGAAAACAAGACCAGAAGAAGATGCTCCTCTTTCAGGGAATAAGTGGTTTTCAAGCTGTTCGTTCATTCAGTTGTTTGTTACTTGTTCAATCTAAGCACCTATGAGCCAGATATGTATTGTTCTGAGTGCTGGGGATATTGGGACCTGCTCCCAGGGGTCTTACATAGTGTGTATGTGGAAGAGGAATTAGAAAAGACTACACTTTTGGATTAACTAGCAATTTCATCACAGTGGTAAGTGCACTAAAGAAAAGAAGAACAAAGAAGAGAATTCTGATTGGGAGGAAGGGGGTGTTCAGGGAGAATTTTTTCAAGGAGGTGACATTTAGGCTGAGGCCTGAATGATGAAAAGTACTCATCATCTTTGTTATGATAATGGAGGAGGTTCTCACAGGTCGAGGAAGAGCCAAGCCCTGAGGTAGGAGGATGACTAGTCAGTTCAGAGTAGAACACAGCTCAGTGTTAGGTGAGGGCTTGGCATGGCATATTCTGCAGGCCTTGTGGGCTGAGTGAAGACCCTCAGTCTGTGAAAGGTCTACAGAGGACCTGAGGGATACAATTTATATTTTTAAAATGTTTTGTTGAATGTGATGTGGAACGGTGTGGAAAAGGTGGCTAGTTATGGGGCCACCACAGCCAAACCATATGAGAAGGATGTGGTCTAGAGTAGGGTTTGTGGCAGGGCTCAGCAAGAGAAGTGAATGTGTTTAGGATATATTTTAAAGACAGAACTGGCAGGGCTGTGGTTAAATTGGATGTGGGGGTGAGGGTAAATGAGAGAGTGATTAGAAGGACTGAAGCTTTTGGTTTAAGCACATAGGTAGGGCCATTTCCTGAAATGGGAAAGTCTTGAGAGGCGCAGGTTGGAGGGGGTACAGTGAAGAATCAAGGGTAATGAAGAAATAAATTGGTACTGTACAGAGACTGGAAAAAAGAAGAGTAGGCTTATTTTGATAGGGCAGTCGATGAAGGCCTCACTCAGGAGTTGACATTTAAGGTGAGAACTGAAAGGTGTGAAAAGTCAGAGAAGAACATTTCAGATAGAGGGAACCGCAGGTGCAGAGGCTCAGGGGAGGAAGTGGCTTCACAACTCAGAGGGAACCCAAGGGAGAGAGGTAATCAAAGGAGTGGTTTCCGTGTTTCATATTATAACTTAGATGTGATGGAAGAAATGTGCCTTTTTTCTCTTTTTAGCTGACCTGATTTTTCTCATAGGAGTTGAGATTGAAAGAAGGTACCAGGACTTTAAACCTGCCAATGAATCCACCTCTTTCAGATGACTCCATCACCTTTACACCCATGGCTTCCTTTATCTGGAATATTTGGATGAATTGAAAGTCTGTCTCTTAGATGTATTCAATCTAAGAGTTTGTCCCTGGATATTTGTACTAAAATATACTAAAACCAAAAGTCAAAACATCATATTAGTTAATAGAAAATTGTTCTGATATGTGAAGTAAAAGGGAATTGAAAGCATTATTTTCAAATTGACTGTGGCACATACATTTGGCCAAACATGAGTCCAATATATCTCAACCAACTCCAGTCATTGTCTTGCACTTTGCTTTACATTTGTTCCAATAGGATTACATGCTTTGGGTGTGGACGCCAAGAAGTGACAAAAAAAGGAAGTTGGGATCATTACGGTTAACCCAAGCATGTTGGAAACCAGAGAGAGGCTGAGTGCTATCATACACAGACCCATGAATCGGAGTAAGTTTGAAGCATTGACAATAATGGGTTGCAGTGTGTTTTGAAATAAACTATCCATTGGGAGAGGTGAAATGAAATAAAAAATTTATCAGAAATAAAACTACTAAAAAGATTAAATTTGAATTTGACCTACAGGGATTGATCATAATTGAGGAATTTGACCTGTAGGGATAAATTGTTAAACTGAAGAAAGAATTAAAGAATTTGATCCACAGGAACATATTGGTCAATTAATCTGAATGTTCTTTCCTGGCTCTTCACACATTTTAGATCTCACCCTAAATATCAACTCCTGAGTGAGGGCTTCATTTAGCGCTGTATCAAAGTGGCTTTTTTTTTTTTTTTTTTTGAGACAAGGTCTTGCTCTGTCACCCAGGCTGAGAGTGCAGTGGTGCAATAATGACTGACTGTAACCTGCACCTCCTGGGCTCAAGCGATCCTCCTTCCTCAGTTTCCCAAGTAGCTGGGAATACAGGCACATGCTGCCATGCCTGGCTAATTAAATTTTCTTTCTTTTTTTTCTTTTTTTTTTTTTTTTGGTAGAGATGATGTCCTCCTGTGTTGCCCAGGCTCGTTTCAAACTCCTGGGCTCAAGTGTTCCTCATGCCTTGGCCTCCCAAAGTGCTGGGATTACAGATGTGAACCACCACATCTGGCAGGATTATTTTTTTTTTTCCTGATCTCCATATCTATTTATTTTTTCTTTCCGTTTTGAGACACGGTCTCACTCTGTTGTTGCCCAGGCTGGAATGCAGTGAAGCTATCATGGCTCACTGCAGCCTCGACCTCCTGGGCCCAGGCGATCCTCCCGCCTCACCCTCTAATGTAGCTGGGACCAAAGGCATGTGCCACCACATCTGGCTAAGTTTTTAAATTTTTTGCAGAGACAGGGTCTCACTGTATTGCTCAGACTGGTCTTGAACTCCTGGCCTCAAGCATTCCTCCTGCCTCAGCCTCCCAAAGTGCTGAGATTATAGGTGTGAGCCACTATGCCAGGCCTATTTTGTCTAATAAATAAATCCTCACCCTACCTATACTCTCCCCAACCTGTTCCTCTCTAGACTTCCCATCCTAGGAAATGGTCCTACCTAGTTGCTCAAGTTCCCTCCTTGGTCGTCTCTTCCTTAGAGAACTTTCAGATTTTTATCTCTTCAACTGCCCCTCTCCTAGATGGATTGGGAGGCTCATGTGACCTCAAGGTGGCAGAGAAGAGAGGCCAAGTTGTTCTATTGCACTCCAGCTGCACCAGTCTCCATGGTGATGCTATTTGTCTGTCTAGTCAGGTGGTGGAGTTTGGGGGTGCTTTGCTGCCCTGACTTTGGAGAACTTAGTCTGTTCTCTGGGCTCAGTTGGCCTGGACTTCCTTTCTGTAGACTCATTCTCTCCTCAGTTTTCTTGGTGCTGCTGTTCTTTCTTTCTAAGGTCTGAGGGGCCCTGGGACCCCCAGCTTAAGATTCTTCAGGGTCACCTCACTAATGATGTGTGGCATCTTTGCAAATGGAAATATCAGCTTCTTTCCACCACCTTCATGATGCAGGCAGGAACCTGTAAGTCTCTTCCGTGACACCCGAGAGCCAAAGAAGACTCTGGGTAAGCAAGCCCTCTTACTATCTACCCATACTGTGTTGCCTATTTTTACTTTGCTGTGGCCATTCATTGTTGTCCCTCTATGTGATGACATCTTTCCAGAGTGAATCTGAAAGTGGCAACAGCACCTCTACTCTTGGCTTTCCTCTTGACCCTTGTCCCACCTGATACTTCTTTGATCTTATGAGCTAAGGAGGTTTGGTAGTGATCCATAACACATACACATCTGACAATTTGCTTTCCCTAAATCTCCTTTCTCTCTTTCTAGCAAACTCCCTGAGCTGGAAGGGGTATATTCTCCTCTTTCTCCTTATGGTGGTTTTAAAACAAGTCTGAAAAATTTTTGAAACTAAAAAAGGTGCAGTCCATGTCACCTCCCTTGACCCTGGGTGGGCCTTTGTGACTTTCTTGATGAAAGGAATATGGCAGAAGTGATGCTGCATGCTATGCTTTGAGTTTGTCCCCACCGAAACTTATGTTGGAATTTGGTCCCCGAAGGCCAGGCGTGGTGGCTCACGCCTGTAATTCCAGCACTTTGGGAGGCTGAGGCAGGAGGATCACGAGGTCAGGAGATCGAGACCATCCTGGCTAACATGGTGAAACCCCATCTCTACTAAAAATACAAAAAAATAGCCAGGCGTGGTGGCAGGCGCCTGTAGTCCCAGCTACTCAGGAGGCTGAGGCAGGAGAATGGCGTGAACCTGGGAGGCAGAGCTTGCAGTGAGCCAAGATCACGCCACTGCACTCCAGCCTGGGCGACAGAGCCAGACTCCATCTCAAAAAAAAAAAAAAAAAAGAAAGAAATTTGGTCTCCTATGTGGTGGTATTGGGAAGTAGGGCCTAGTGGGAGGTGTTTGGGTCATGGGGGAAGATCCCTTATGAATGTCTTGGTGCTACCTCAAAGTAGTAAGTTCTTGCTGTGGTGATATTAGATTAGTTGCTGTGGGAGTGGGTTGTTATACAGCCAGGATGTTTCTTAGATTTTGCCTTTTCACTCATACCCACTTACCCTTTGACCTTCCATGATGTTTTGACCTAGTTCAAAAGTCCTCACCAGAAACTGAACAGATGCTGAGACAATAATTCTTGAACTTCCCAGCCTAGAGAACAATGAGCTAAATAAACCTTTTTTCTTTATAAATTATCTAGCTTCTGTTATTTTGTCACAGCAACGCAAACTAAGATACTGTGTGATGTTAGGTTGAACTAGGAAAGGCCCCGCCATTTCCACCAGTTTCTCTTAGGACTTGCTCTCAGAGCTTTCCGATCCCATGTAAGGAGACCAGCTGTCCTGAGACCTCCATTTGGGGAGACCACGTGGAGAAAGAATGAGACCTGAGGAGTGTGTGCTATCAGCTGTTCAGTTGCATCCAGCTCAGGAGCTGATGTGAGCTAAGAATCCTTAAAGATGATGCCAGCTCAGCCACTGTCTGATGGCAACCACAAGAGATACTCTGAGTGAGAACCACCTGGCTAAGCCATTCAATGCCCAGATTCACGAGCAAAATAAATGCTTGCCCTTGTTTTAAGTCATTCATTTGGAATAGTTTGCTAATAGGTGACTGAAGCATCCACACTCCCTACAGCTCACATTCTTACCATCCTGCTTCATTTCTTAAGTTGTCACTATGCTATGACTCATCATTAAACCTCCAAGTAGGGTGACCAGTCACCTGATTTGCATGGGACTGAGGGAGTTCTCAAAATTTGAGACTTTCATTGATAAAACAGAAAGTCCTGGGCAAATCAAGATGAGGTGGCCACTCCAACTCCAAGATTTGCTTTTTTTAAAATAAAAAGGTAGCTGAAAGAATTTAGAGATTTCAGAATTATTACTTCACTATAAATTTTTAAAATAGGTAGTGTTGGGCATAGAGGCTGACCCTGTTTTCTAAGTGGTATCTGCCCTCCTAAAGGAATAGATGCTATGTAAATGAGTGGGCTAGCAGAGTCAAAGATAATTATAGGATGTGAAAATACACTTGAAAGTATTTCAAAAATATATCATAACATAGAGATAGGGAAATGATCCAGACAGAGTCACTGACTTGCCAAGGACAAACAGTGACAAGGTCATGATTTGGAATGCAGATATTGGAACTTCAGTCTGGGGTACTTATCTCCAAATTATATCAGTTCTCATTCTTACCAATATTCACCATGTAAGTAGGGTATAATATTCAACCATAGAGAATATTTAGACTGAGGGAGAGATGTCTTTGCTGTAAAATAGTTCACCATCTTCCCATCTAGGTAGCACAGGTTAGACTGAAATCCAATCTCAACCAAGACTGAGTAAACGAAGAACAAGAAAATACATCTTACTTAAAACAAAACCCCAAACCAACTTCAGGTCTATTTTTGAAATGGAGGGTTTGACAATTTCATTATAAATGTTAGTGCAAAATTGTAAGCCCTGGTACTGCTGTCTCAGAAGAAGCCCAGTTAACTGTGGGTTAACTTAGGGCTCTTCAAGGAAGTGAAGGATAGGGAGGCTTCCAACAAGCAGCAGGGCTGGTATAACTGGATACAGGCAAAGGAGCCTTCCTGGGTGTGGTTTTTTGGCAAAGAAACCCAGACTGCCTTGGCAAATGAATAGTAGGCTGGAAATTAGTTGGGGGAGTGGGAGGAGATGGGTGGAAAGGAGGGTGGGGAAGGAGAACATTACCTTGAGGTCTGATGTGGCAGGAAAGTCTACTACCTGCTTGCCCCACCTCTGTTCAGAAAATGTGTGTGGTGCGTTTGCGTATGGGTTCTGAGTGTACCTAAAAAATAGAGTAGAACTTTTCTCAAAGAAGGCAAATTGCTTACTACTATTACTGCAGTGCCATGGCTACCCAATCACCAAGCCCATCTTTTCCAAGAAGGCCAGGAGGAAACTGTCTGACTAGCACAGCTAATACAATGGTGAGGCCATGAGTCAGACACTGATTAGATTCAGCTGATATGTGAACAGCTGTGAGTTGCATTTCATATTATGATTAAAGAAAAATTTCTATAATTTTACACAACCTTTGGACTCATTCATGCAAAACTGAAAGTTAAAAAAAACAATGAGTGAAAACTCTTGGGGCGGGATAACATTTCAAAATTTTAAACATATGCTTTTATTCTGTATTTCCTCCTTTCCTTTCCTTCCACTCAAATAGGTAGTTAAGCCTGTTCTTTGCTTCCATGGAGGAATATAGTTGGGGCAAAAAGGTGAAATAGTCTACATGTTTTTCCTGGCATTGGAAGAATAGGTGAGGCCAACATATTGGCCAGAAACCCGCAAGGGAAAAGATTCCTCTGAGACCAGGGCTGGAAGATTTCCTGGGGTTGGAAGGAGGAAACACAGAAGAACAGAGAGCTCTGAAGTTCTGGGGCAGAGAAGAAACATGCCCTTGTGAAAGCTGTCAGACTCAAAATGGAGTCACTAATGTTAAAACAGCAATAGCAACAATAACAACCCTGGCAAATAGAGGTGGGGAAGGCTGTGAGGAGAGGGTATTCAATCTTGTATGCCTGATAACAAAAGTATCATAAAAGACTGCAAAAACCTCGCACAAAGGTCATTGCAACCTTACACACACAAAAATATTTTTGCAAGGACATCTGCCCAGCAACTGCCTGTTTAACCTTGGGTTGGTATCACCTTTTTGTTTGTTTGTTTATGTTTTAGAGATAGGGTCTCACTGTGTTGCCCAGGCTCAAAATCCTGGGCTTAAGCTAGTCTCCTGCCTCAGCCTCCAGAGTAGCTGGGACTACAGGTGCGCACCACTGAGCCCAACTAATCTTTTGTTATTGATCTTTGTAGATAAGGATAATTTTTTTTCAAAACAATTATGTAATCTTCCTAATTTTTTCCTTTAAAAATCTTTGTCTTCCTTTACCTCCCTGAATATACACATAGTTTACTATGGCAGACGTATTCCCATTGCAATTCTCTATTCTCAAATAAACATCATTTTTTCTAATAGAGCCTCTCTTAATTTGTTATTTAGGTTGACATTCTGAATCTTTCAACATTCATTCATTCAACTTTTTTTACACCAGGCACTGTTTCAAGAGCAGTGAACAAATAGATAAAATTAGAACAAATGCCCTCATGAAGCTTACATTTTAGTGAATATCAAAACGTATGAGATTCTTACGTCAGACATTATTCTAAATGCTTGGTATGTTTTCTTCTCACAACAACCCCTTGAGTTAGATACTATATTCCCAGCTTACAAATGAAGAAAGTGAGACAGAGAAAGAAGATATAATTTGCTGATCTCACAGCTAGTAAGTAGCAGGGCTGGAATTAGAACCCAGATAAACCAGCTTCATTTATTTTAACTGCTATGGTACTCTTGCTAAACTTTTAGGCAGGGTTTTGGGAGGGTGGCAAGACACTAGAGTTGCGAAGGCTGCTTGCGGCAGTTTTACAGAGAACTTCATGCCCCAGATAGGTCAGGGTAGGAGTGGAAAGACCCTGAAATTCCAGGGTCCTCCACTGTGGATGATAAATGTCTCAGAGGCAGCCTACCTTTCCCTGAATGTCTTCCACTGCCTGAGTCTGAGACAGCAGCTTGACCAGAGGGGAAGAGCCCTGAGGTCTGAGGTTGTGTTTCCTCCCTGCTTAGCAGGATGTGCACTCAAAATAGAAATTAGACTGTGTTAAAATAATAGAGATAATAAAATAGAAAGAATTGTTAAAGTAAGATGAAATTGCGGGGCACAGTGACACATACCTGTAGTTCCAGCTCCTCAGGAGGCAGAGGCAGGAGGAACACTTGAGCCCAGAAGTTTGAGTCCAGCCAGGGCAACATAGTGTGAGACCCCACGTCTCTTAAAAAAAAAAAAAAAAAAGATAAAACAGAATAATTTCTTTTTTCAACTCTGAGTTTGCTGATTAAGATCCTCCGGGAAGCATGGGATTAGAGAGCTATGTGTGGATAGTCCCAATCTCAATCTCACATTTCTCCCTCTAGTATTATGGCATTGTTAAAGGAGGATCTAGGATTTCAATGTTGCTAAAGATGAAAGCTTAATCAAATAAGACTATTAACTCCTTTTTACAGAGAAATTAGTTTGAATTTACATGACTGTGGCAGACTATGTAACTGTCAACATGTCACTAAAAAATACATGTACACTCTATGGATGTGGACCAAGATGGTGGACTAGAAAGCTCCACTAATTTCTCCCCCTGCAAGGATACCTAATTAACAACTATCTGCATGGAAAAATCACTTTAATGAGAACCAAAAATTAGATGAGCACTCGCAGTACCTAGTTTTAACCTCATGTCTCTGAAAGAGGCACTGAAGAGGTAGAAAAAACAGCCTTGAATTGCCAACACCTGGCCTGCCCCATCTCCTAGCAGTGGTGGCATGGTACTGAGAGCCTTTCTGTGAGCTAGGGAAAGGGGAACACAGAAATTGTGAGGCACTAAACTCAGTCTTGCTCTGTTATAGCAGAAAGAAAAACTGTACCAAACTCAGCTGATGCCTGCCCATGGAGGAAGCATTTAAATCAGCCATAGCCAGAGGGGAATCACTGATCCCAGTGGCTAGAACTTGAGTTCCACAAGCCCCACCACTGTGGGCTAAAGTGTTCTGTGGCTCTACATAAGCTTGAAAGGCAGTCTAGGACACGAGGACTGCAACACCTAGGGAAGTCCTAGGACTGAACTGAGCCCAGGTCAGTGGACTGGGCGGGGGAAGTGGGGTGGGGGGGGGGGCATGTGACATACTGAGATACCAGCTGGAACAGCCAAAAGAGTGCTGGCATCACCCTTCCCCTAAACCCACGCTGCACAACTTGCAGCTCCAAAATAAACACCTTTCTTCCACTTGAGGAGAGGAGTGGGAAGAGTGAGGAAGACTTGCATCTTGGATGCCAGCTCAGCCACAGCAGGATAGGGCACCAGTTAGAGGTGTGAGGTCCCCTTTCCAGGCCCTAGCTGCCTGATGACATTTCTAGACACACCCTGGGCCAGAAGGGAATCCACTGCCTTGAAGGGAAGGACTCAGCCATGGCAGGATTCACCACCTGCTAACTGAAGAGCCTATGGGCCCTGAATAACCAGCAGCAATGCTCAGGTAATATTAATACATCCAGGGCCTTGAGTGAGCCTCTGAGACTTGCTGACTTCAGGTGATACTCAGCACATTCCCAACTGTGGTGCCTATTGGGTGAGACTCCTTCTGCTTGAGAAAATAGAAGGAAATGTAAAGGGGACTTTGCCTTGCACTTTGAATACCAGTTTGGCCACAGCAGGGTAGAGTACCCAGAGGGGTCTTGAGGTCCCTGATTCTAGGATTTGCCTATTGGATGGCATTTCTGGACCTGCCCTGGGCAGAGGGGAGCCCGCTACCCTGAAGGGTGAGGCTGATGCCAGGCAGCATTCACCACAAGCTGACTGAAGAGCCCTTGGGC
Source organism: Homo sapiens (assembly GCF_000001405.40). Taxonomy (NCBI): domain Eukaryota; kingdom Metazoa; phylum Chordata; class Mammalia; order Primates; family Hominidae; genus Homo; species Homo sapiens. The sequence goes on from NC_000003.12 coordinate 161,319,996, forward strand.
CTTAAGGAAACATCAGTGGCAATCTGGCTGTACTCTCTGTGGGCCTGTGGTAGTAGTAGCTATGAGGTAAGGCTCGTCTGCCTTTGCAAAGGAGAAGGAAAAGTGGGAAGAACTGTGTCTTGTGGTTTGAGTGCCAGCTTAGCTGCAGTACAATAGAACACCAGTTATATTTCTAAGGTTTTTGACTGTGGTCCCTGGCTCCTGGATGGCACATCTGGACCTTCTCAGGGACTACGGGAACTTACTGCCCTGAAGGGAAGGATACAGGCTTGGCAGCCTTTGCCATTATGGATTGTAGAGCCCAAGGGCCTTGAGTGAACATAGACAGTAACCAGGGAGTGGCTAGAGTAGGCCTTGAGTGAAACACAATGCTGTGCTGCTTAAAGTCTGATGAGGCACAGTTTTAATGGTGGTGGCCACAAGGGTGCCTGTGACATGTCACCTCCAGTTCCAAGTGGATCAGAACAGAGAGAGACCCAGTGTCTTTGGGAGAAAGTAAGAGAAAAGAGCAAGAGTCTCTGCCTGATGATCCAGAAAATTATTCTGGATCTTTTCTAAGACCAGCAAGTTGGTACCTCGACAAATCTGCAAGAACCACAGCCTTACTGGGCTTGGGGTGCCCCCTAAAACAGATACAGCTTAGTTCACAACACCCAAGTCCTTTCAAATATCTGGAAAGCCTTCCCAAGAAGGATGGGTACAAACAAGCCCAGGCTGTGAAGACTACAATAAACACCTAATTCTTCAATACCCAGCCACAGATGGACATCTACAAGTATCAAAACCATCCAGGAAAACATGGCCTCACCAAATGAACTAAATAAAGCATCAGGGAACCAGTCCTGGAGTAACAGATATATGACCCTTCAGATAGAGAATTCAAAATAGCTGCGTTGAGAAAACTCAAAGAAATTCAAGATAACATAGAGAAGGAATTTAGAATTTTATTAGATAAGTTTAACAAAAATATTGAAATAATTAAAAAGAATCAGGCAGAAATTCTGGAGTTGAAAAATGCATTGGGCATACTGAAGAATGCATCAGAATCCTTTAATAACATAATTTGTCAAGCAGAAGAAAGAATTTGTGAGCTTGAAGACATGCTAAATAAAAATACACAGACTGAGGAGGCAAAAGAAAAAAGATTAACAAACAATAAAGCACACCTACAAGATCTAGAAAATGGCCTTAAAACAAAATCTAAGAATTATCTCCTTAAAGAGGAGGTAGAGAAAGAGATAAGGGTAGCAATTTTCTTCAAAGGGATAATAACAGATAACTTCCCAAACCTAGATAAAGATACCAATATCCAAGTACAAGAAGGTTATAGAACACCAAGTAGATTTAACCCAGAGAAGACTACCTCAAGGCTTTTAATAATCAAACTCCCGAAAGGTCAAGGACAAAGAAAGGAGGCAGCAAGAGAAAAGAAACAAATAACATACAAGGAGCTCCAATACGTCTGGCAACAGACTTTTTAGTGGAAACCTTAAAGGATAGGAGAGAGTGATATGACTTATTTAAAGTGCTGAAGGTATAAAAATTTTTCTGTAGAATACTATATCCAGTAAAAATATCCTTCAAACATGAAGAAATACAGATTTTCCCAGACAAACAAAAGCTGTGGGATTTCATCAATACCAAATCTGTCTAACAAGAAATGCTAAAGGGAGCACTGGAATCAAAGAAAAGGATGTTAATGAGCAATAAGAAATCACCGGAAGGTACAAAACTCACTGGTAATTGTAAGTACAAAGAAAAACACAGAATATTATAACACTGTAACTGTGGTATAAACTACCCTTATCTTAAGTAGAAAGGCTAAACAGCTAATCAATCAAAAATAATAACTAAAATAACTTTTCAGAACATAGTACAATAAGATACAAATAGAAACAACAAAAAGTTAAAAAGTGGGGGAATAAAGTTATAGCATATAGCTTTTATTAGCTTTCTTTTTGCTTGCTTGTTTATGCAAACAGTATGTTATCAGGTTTAAAAAATGGGTTATAAGACAGTATTTGCAAGCCTCACGGTAAACTCAAGCCAGAAAACACACAAAGAATACACAAAAAAATTAAAAAGCAAAAGAAACTAAATTATGTAGCCAGAGAAAATCACCTTCGCTAAAAGGAAAACAGAAAGAAAAAGAAAGAAGGAAGAGAAGATCACAAAACAATGAGAATATAAACAACAAAATGGCAGGATAAGTCCTTACTTATCAACAACAATATTGAATGCAAATGGACTAAACTCTCCAATCAAAAGACATGGAGTGGCCGAATGGATAAAAAACATCAACAGCAACAACAACAACAAACAACCACCACCAAAAAATAAGACCCAATTACCTGTTGCCTTCAAGAAATACACATCACCTATAAAGACACACAGACTGAAAACAAAGGGATGGAAAGAGATATTCCATGCCAGTGGAAACCAAAAAACAGCAGAAGTAGCTATACTTATATCAGACAAAATAGATTTAAAGAGAAAAACTATAAGAGGCAAAGAAGGTTACTATATTATGATAAAGGGGTTAATTCAGCAAGAAGATATAACAATTATATATGCACCCAACACTGGATCACCCAGGTATATAAAGCAAATTTTATTAGAGCTAAAGAGAGAGATAGACCCTAATACAATAATAACTTGAGACTTCAATACCCCACTTTCAGCACTGGACTGATCTGCATACAGAAAATCAACAAAGAAACATTGGACTTAATCTGTACTATAGACATAATTGATATTTATAGGACATTTTATCCAGTGGCTACAGAATACACATTATTTTCCTCAGCACATGGCACATGCTTCTCTTCAGGAGATGTAACTACTCTTGACTCCAAGTAAGTGTTTCAATAACACCCTGTGCAGATTTCAAGCACTAAATTTAATTCATGTTATTGTCATTATCTATATGTCTATTTACCAAACCGGATATTGGCCTTTTCATGTCATTTTAGTATCTTCTGTCTTTGTATCCACACAGTAAGTGTAGTGTCTGAGGTGTTGTAAGTCCTTCACAAATATTTGTTACAGACATTCATTTGTTGAGGAAAGAACTCATGTAGTTTATTTGATCACATAATGAGAGCTTTGTACTACTTTCTGTTTTCCCTGGCTTGCCAAAAAAGTTCAAGCCAAATTTTATGCTCTGTGACAATAGCTATCTTATCCTAACTCTAAAAGATATTTTTAACTTTTGTTTTTATTTTAATTAAGCTAACTACATGTTTTCATCTAAATGATCTTAAATGCATTTTGGAACTATAAGGAATATAAATTATAAATAAATACACTTAGCAAATTTTGGCTCATCTCTATGTTGAAGGAAGATCCAATCAATGCCTCTCACCACGATGAAACATTAAGAAACATCAAGCAGTAATAACTGTTAGATAAACAGGCAAAGGTATTATGTGTTATGCTTATGAATAGAAAAGGCAAATAGAGATTACTCAAAGAGTAGACTGGAGATTTATAAACTGTAAACAGACACATTTACATGGCTAGAGTTGCTGAGATGATATTATGCAGTGAGGAGAATCATGTGTTGAAAACATTCGTTTTACTGTTAGTTATGTATTGGTTGTTTTGCTACTTAGGAGAAAGACAAAAGGATCCTCAGAGGAGAAGGAGATTATAAACCTGGTGAGACAGCTGCGTAGTGGCCCAGTTATGAGAAAAGCAGAGGTCAGATGCAGGTACCAAGGTCAGGCAACAGAATCCAAAAGGTACACTTCTATCACTATGAGAGAAAAAGAGTATTAGATTTGAGATTGGAGAATCTCAATGATCCAAGGAAATTATCAGTTGCTTTGGATAGTTACAGTGACATAAATCCATAAGAATATTATTTTGTGAAGTAAGGAGCATATTCGTTGTCAAATTACTCTTGGTTTTGCTACAGGCTTACCAAAAGGCTGAAGGCTAGAGTGAAATGGGAAGACAGAAAACAACAGGAGGGAAAAGGAAAATCAGAAGGCATGATGACAAGGCAGAGCTTTATTTATTAAAGTTATACTTTGGAAAATTTGAGAAAGTAAAGGAGTTGATCATTTTCCTGAACTGTAAACAGACCATTACTTACAAAGTAAACAGCACTTTCTAGATGAAAACAAACTACTGAAAGAATGAACAAAGAAGCAGTCATTTCACCATCAAGTGAGTCAATATTTGCTTTTTATGGTAACCAGAAATATCTGGGTTTGTTTTTTAATCTTAATGGTATAAATTTTAATGACAAAGATTATTTAGCCTTTAGTAAAAAATTGGAAATTCCTACAGTGAAGTTTGCTCTTAGAAATGGACTCCAGTTTTAGAATGAAAAGTGCCCTAACTTAAGACTTATTTGTTTGTCAAGGTTGATGAGACTATCTAGACATTGTGAAGTGGAAAAGGAATATGCCCACAGAGAAGGCTGGCATCTGCACTGGGAAAGGAAACTTAGAGGCAGTTGCTGGGCTTGGCCTGTGGTAAGGGTTCTTGTCCTTGACACCTGCTCTCAGAGGTCAAAAAACTTTTAGCCTTCCTGAGGCCATTTGGGGAGTCTGAAACTTCCAAATTCATTATTAATATTGAATTGTGAGATTTCACATAAAAATCCACATTTCTGATTTCTTTTAAAAAATCAAATAACATTCCAGCATAGCAACTATCAATAGGAACTGAATAGAAGCTGCTCATTTGGGACAGAGCCAGGTCATGATTGTCCCTTCCCTAACCCCACTATTTTTGTCAGACATGGAGGCTGAGTTGCCATCTATCAAAATGATTGCACAGCTGTTTGTTTTATTATAGAATTAATAAAATATTGAAGCATTTCTTTTTTCTCAATGTTCAGTTTTCTTTAATGACCCTCATCTCCCTGAAACAAAGGTTCAGGTAGCTGGGTGATGGCAAGAGATGTTCACTTGACGATTTTGCCCTGATTGAAGGCTTTGCCCACATGCTGGAAGGCTCTATCCCAGGAAAAGTACTCTTGAACCTGCATCTGGGTCTCATCACTGCCAGGATCCAGTTTCTGCTACGTGTATGACTTGTAGTCCACCTGCCAATCTGGACTCAGGGGAAAGGCAAGCTCCTGGCCTCTGAAGACCCAGATTCCAGAAATGGAGCTACTATTGTTGGTTCCAAAGAGGATGACACGGCAAAGGTGTTCTTCCTCAGCTTGTCTAGTCACTGGAACATTTCAGTGATGAGGTTGCAGCTCATGAAGGTCTGAGTGAGCTCTTCAGGGAAGTGATACTCAGAGAACCATAGGGACCAGCCATCCTTAACAGAGTGCTTCCAAAAATATGGCAGTGACACAGTGTGTCCTCACTGGAGCACTTGGGTGTAAATTCACCCAACACAAAAGTACCCTTGGGCAGCTGAGCAAAGAGGCCCTTGGCCTTGGGCTCAGCAGCCGGTGCCTGCTCACATTCATCCATCTCCTCCTCAGAAGCAAGGGAAGCCACACTTTTTCCTCTTTCTGTTCAGCCTGAGGCGTCTGCTTCTCTTTTAACGAACCTTTCCCTTTCCATGGGTGTCGTTTTTAGTCGGGCTCTCTGTAGAATTTTTAGCATCAAACTGGGCCATCTTCTCACACAGTTTCACTTATTCCAAGACAGCCCGCAACTGGGTCTGGTTAATGCAGATGAGGAGCCAAGGGTTGATACTGAGAAAGGCTTGGTGGAAAGAAGGCTCCAGCACCTGCTTATAGAGCCATAACAAGGTGCAGACAACTGTGATGTCAGCCAGTTACTCATTCACCCACCAGAAAAGTCCTCATCTTCAAGTGAGCATCCAGCAGCTCCAGAATTCACCTCATGTCCTCTTTTGCATTCTTAGTGGCCTATTTGTTGTGGTGCACGATGCCCAAGGTAGGGAACAACCAAGTACTGGCTAAGGGCACTATGTTGTTATCAGCAAAGCCTATCCACTGCACCACCTGGGCTTCTGCTTCTGGAGTACTTTCCTGCAGCTCCTCATTGCTCACACAGTAGGTAATGACATTACTCTTAAACACACAGGCTCCACTGTCACCATCAAATGCTGGAATCTTGCCAGCAGGAAATTTGAAAAGAAATTTAGGTTTGTGATTGGTTTGGCCAAAGTGGAAGTGGGGATGGTGCAGAGAGCATGCAGACCTGAGCCCTGCTGTATTGAGCAGTGATGAGGGCTTTGAAGGCCCTCCAGTTTTCAGCATATGTGTACAGGATCTAAGCCATCATGGTGATTCTTCAGAGAAAGAGAAGGGAAGAAAAACAAATCAAGAATGCATTTGGCTGCAAGTAACAGAAAAGCTGACCAACATGACTTAAACATGAAGGGTTTATTTTTCTCATATTACCAAACCTATGCAATTACTGGCAATTGGTTTAGCTACACAACTGCACCCAAGGGTCTAGACTCTTGCTTTACTTTCTGCTAAGCATCCTTCACAAGCTGGCTTTTGTCTTTGTGGCTATCTCCTCACAAGTACAAAATGGCGTTTGCATCTCCAGATAATTTGTCCACTTCAAAGCAGGAAGAAGGGGAAATGATCAAGGGCCAAACCAATTGTATGTCCCTTCTACAGAGAAATTTAAAATTCCTCAAGTCAGCAGCATGTTCTGCCTACATCTTATTGGTCAGAACTGGGTTACATGGCTAGAAACAAAGGAAACTGAGAAATAAGAAAATGTGAGTAAAAATTTTGGCATGGAGCTGGTTCTAGGCACATTGCCACCATAAAAAGCTCAGAGTTTCACTGAAAAAAAAATAGAAAGAAAGAAAATAAGACTATCTCTTGAGGTAGGAAATATTTTATTTAAGCCTCAGGGGTGATCTGTACCCATGGATGAAATTATAGATACAAAAACTAAGCTGGGGATCTTAAACCCAAAGTCCACAAGGGGATAAATGACTAAAACAGGCAAGTGACTTGTGTACATCTATATCTTCTCTGCATAATTATTTCTAAGATACTCTTCACAAGAAATATGACTTTTCCAATTGTTCTGGAATCATGTGGCATCTTGGTCCATTTTTATCACACTTGTGTATTTTGCATATCAGTCTCCTGTCAGATGATGGTTTGCAAATATTTTCTCCCATTCTATAGGTTGTCTCATCACTCCATTTACTGTTTCCTTTGCTATGCAGGAGCTTTCTAATTTAATAAAGTTCAATTTGTCTATTTTTGTTTTCATTGTCTGTGCTTTTGGAGTCTTAGCTGTCAAGTCTTTGCCTAGGCCAGTGCCCTGAACAGTTTCCCTTTGTTTTTTTCCAGTAAGTTTATAGTTTGGGGTCTTATATTTAAGTGTTTAGTCCAATTTTTTTGTACATGGTGAGAGACAGGGGTCCAGTTTCATTCTTCTGCATATGGTTATCTAGTTTTCCTAGCACCACTTATTGAAGAGATTGTACTTTCCCCAGTGTATGTTATTAATGGCTTTGTCAAAGATCAGTTGGCTTTGAATACGTAGATTTATTTCTGGGTTGTCTATTCTGTTCCATTGGTCTATGTACCTATTTTTATACCAATACTAAGCTATTTGGGTTACTCTACCCTTGTAATATATTTTGAAGTCAGATAGTGTGGTGCCTTTAGCTTTGTTCTTTTTGCTCAGGGTTGCTTTGACTATTCAGGCTCTTTCATTGTTCCACAAGAATTTTAGGACTGCTTTTCCTATTTCTGAGAAAAATGGCATGGGTATTTTGATAGGGATTGTATGGAATCTGCAGATTGTTTTGGATAGTAGAAAAAAATTTTAATGTGTAGATTTTATTGAAAATATTTATATTCAAAATAGTTTGGATTCTAAACACTTAGATTTTACCTGATTAAAATCAGAAGTATTGATCTTATTGTTAGAAGAAGCTTTGGTTATCTTAACAGACAGTTTCTACATAAACAATTATTTGATTATACAAAATATCAAATGTAAATAGAAATAGACCAAGAAACAATAGACCTAAATAATTATTTAACCAGTAGCAATCATTTGGATCACCTTTTAAAGGAATTTTTGGATACATGAAAAATGGAAAGATATTGTAATAAGATAACGCAGCACACAAAGGCATTTGATCCTATTTCATCACTGTTACTACACTTCTATTTTTCAGTAGTGGTGGACCCTCATTATTGCCCATCAATCATTCAGTTTATTATGTAAACCATAATGCAGGACCTTGTATTCTGCAGACAGCACAGGTCTTAGAATGCCAACATCTGTCATGGGCTGTAAGACACAAGATTTAAATGTTTATTTCATTCACTACTTTAGACTTTTCTCTTTTTTTAAGTTCTAAGATGGACCAAGTTATCCTGTTGTTTTTTCTCTTCAAGAGGAATAGACAAGCATTTAAGGCAGCAAGTACTGCAACTGGCTGCTTGGAAAGGCAACAACCAAGGAAGGGCAACAAGGAAAGCCATAGTGACATTGTGCTCCAGAGGCTGAAAGTGCTTAGGATAGGCAAGGCAGCACTTTCCCTTTTCCCTTTGCAGGCCATGTTCTCTAGCGCGTTGCCTCAGTGCCCTTGCTAATAGCAGACATTGCTGCTCCCAGCCCAGCATTTGCAGCCTCAGTTTTAGCTGGCTTGGCCATGCTGTTTCCTGTGGTTGTGGTTTGTTAATTTTCACTGCTGTATATCGTTCCATTATGCAAACCTGCCACAATTCATCAATATTACTGTTAATGGATTTTTCTTTTTTCTTTATTTTTTTTTTGATGAAAGAGCATGCTTTATTGGAAAGCAGAGTGCTGCACAGTGACCAAGAGATGAAGGCCGCCCAATGAGCATTTACACATTTTACTCCAAAATACACACAAAACGTCTTACCAACAAAAATAAACTGGAACAGGAGTTCCTTTGGGCAACTCCCCAGCCTCATCCCTTTCAGGGATTGGAAAATCTCCCAACCATTTTCCTGATGGCAGCTGTGGTTCACTAGAGATAGAGCCCCTTGGGAGTGCCTTCCTGTTTTTTGCAAAGAACATTTTCTTTATATTTTTTGAAGTCTTCATTTGTTACCTTCATTCTGTGGCTCTCTTAAGGCCATCAGGCAAGCTTCTGTGCAGATTGCCTTGATGTCAGCACCAAAGAGGTCATCTTTAGTCATTATCAAGTCGTCCAGGTTTACATCATCGGCCAGTGTCATCATGCTTGTATGCATCTGAAAGATGCTCTTCTTAGTATTTTCATTAGGGAGGGGAATCCCGATCTTCCTGTCAGTGCAGCCTGGTCTGCTAAGTGCTGGATCCAAATTTCTGTTTGGTTTGCGGCCATGATAACTTTCACATCTCCCCTAGAATCAAATCCATCCAACTGGTTCCACAGTTCCAACATTGTTCGCTGAATTGCTATCTCACCACCAGAATTTGAGTCATATCTTTTTGTCCCAGTGACATTAATATCATCAATAAACACAGTGGATGGTGCGTGTTCTTCAGCAACTTGAAACAATTCCAGTATGAGTTTGAGCCCATCACCCAGGTACTTCTGAATAAGTTCAGAGCCAGCCACTCTCAAGAAAGTGGCTGAGGTTTGGTTTGCTACCGCTTTGGCTACAAGGTTCTACCTGTGCCAGGTGGACCATAGAGAATGACCCCCCACCCCGTAGGAGGCTTTACACCCGTCTCTTCATAATATTCATGTTGGGTGAGAGGAGGCTTCACAGATTCCTTAATTTCCTGAATTTGGTTATCCAACTTTTCCCCCAGTATCAGCATAGGTCTCCTGGGGAGTCTTTTCCACCTTCATCACTGTGAATAGGGGATCCGTGTCATCCATCAGCACCCCTATCACTGCATGCACCTTGTGGCTGAGCAGAACCGAGCAGCCAGGTTCCAGCAGATCCTTGTCTACAAATGAAAGAATGCTGATGTAGTGTTCTGAGCCCACAGATGTAGAATAATGGCATGATTGTGATCTCTTCCAAGGTTCCTACTGCTATTGGGGTCCCCCCTCAGATCATCCACTTTTAATCTTTTCTGTTGCTTTTCTTCTAATGGTTTCATTTATTTCTGATTTCTAATGAATTCTTCCTCCATGAGAAGACAGTCTTCAATTCTCTCTAACTTCAGTAATTTTCATCAGCACTGAGTGTGAGATGTCACCAGTGGCAGTTTGCTGGCAGCATCTGGTCCCTTTGTTTTCTTCTTCTCCACTCTAGTTGGTACAGGAGGTTCATATTTATTTTTCTTGTCCTTCCATTCTTCTTGCAAACTCCAGGACCATAACCCCCACTCTGACTTTCACCCATCTTGCCTTGGCCAATTGAGCTGCCAATTCTTTCTTAATGTCTGTCTTTTCATTAGGCTGTGGCTTCACAAGGTGTTCGTTAGGTTTTTTGTTTTTTTTTTTTTTTTTTTGGATGAATGGATACTGAATAGATGGTGTAATGTCATGGTGATATGAGATAATCCTGGAAAAGGTTAGTTGGGGCCATACTGCAGAGAAATGCAAAGTCTGGTGAGAAGTTTGCACTAATTTGTTAGACAATGAAGCTTCAGAGTGGAGTGATCAAAAGCACAGACTAGGAGCCAGACTATCTATGTGGGTTCCACTGCCGGTCCTACCACTTACTAGCTGTGTAACCTTGGGGTTACTTACCTAACATATCTGTGTCTCAGTTTCCTTACCTGAAAAAGAATGGATTTCATAGGAGGATTGTGAAGATTAAATGAATTCATATTTATAAATTGCTTAGACCAGTACCCAGCACAAGGTAAGTTCTACGGCAGTGATTATTAAATAAAATGGGTATCCATCACAGGTTTTTGAACAGGGAAGTGGCATTTTTTGGAGCAGAATGAGAGGCTGTAATAAAGGCAGGGGCAGTGGTCCAGGCTACAGCTACTGTTATGGTCAGAAGGCTGATTCTCACTGACCTCTGTTGCCTGTATAAGACATACTTATGAGCAACTCACAAGCAGAAAATAACTTGACAATAGGGATTGAGAAAATTACATTTTCAAAAATTTTATCCTTTACCTTTGCAGACAAATTCTGAGTGGGTGGGCAGTTTGGAATTGCAACCTCTAATTAGAAAACTTTCATCTTTTATATCCACCAGTGAATGAACTGTAGTTACCACAGTGGTGGAATTTCAGACCAGCAGGAGAGGGACTTTTTCCATCCCACTGAAATGGCACAACATAAGTTTCTCCCTATGGTGCCTAAGCATGAGGTTGATTTATTGAAATTTGCAGAAATTTCCACTGGAAGTTGCCTGCAGTGAAGTTGTCTCTGTAGAGCTGGGTCATCTCACTGAAGCCACACTATGGAACAGTGAATATGTGGGAGTTTAGGAAGAAACAGATGCTACATTCCAACTGGGCACTTTGAAACATTTAAGAAAAGGATCACTTGCTGACTAGGGAAAACAACAAGGAATGATGCAGAACCCTGAAGCTAGCAACCCTGGGGAAGCCTGATCATCTTAGGTCTGAATTGCATGCTTAATCTTACTTAATCCTCACATTATCTCCATAGCTATTATTACTAATACTTCTCAGATAAGGAAAACTGAGGCTTTAAGAAGTTAAGTGAGTTGCCCAAGGTCTCACAGCTCGTAAGAATCACCTGAATCAATTTTAGTGTTAGGTTTTCTGAAGCTAAAGTCCATGCTCTTTTCGCCACTTGAGTAATCTACTGACCTTTTATTTATGCAATAACTTTATATTTTACTCAATTAGGTGAGTATACTTGTATAAAATTCAAACATTACAGAAATTATAGAGTAAAATTATGGAGTAAAAAGTTCAGTTCAGTTCTTCTGACCTCTGTCCCTCAAACCACTTTTTTTCTCAGAAGTTATCATTATTGACAGTGGGACGTGGCTTCTTCCAGATACTTTTTCCCCTGTGCATTTACAAACTTAGCACATATATGACTATTTTTACAGAAAAGGTAAACTGAAGCTTAAAGAAGTTAAAGTGACTTGCCCATGGTCTGTTTCTGCTGGATATCCACTGTAAATAGGGTCATTTTGTTAATAATTTCCTTTAACTTCTTATTACTTTGTGCTTTTTTTTCCTTTTACTTTGGACACTTCCCTCCCAGAGTGATTTGAATTATTTCATTATACTGTGGCTTAAATTATACAGATATATATCTACATATCTATAGATAAATATCTAAATATATATTTAGGTATTAAACTTCCTGGTGTCTTTATCATTATACATAACTACAAAACCTGAATAAAGTTAAGAAACAACATAATTTAAAAATTAAAGTTGGCCGGGCGCGGTGGCTCACGCCTGTAATCCCAGCACTTTGGGAGGCCGAGACGGGCGGATCACGAGGTCAGGAGATCGAGACCATCCTGGCTAACACGGTGAAACCCCATCTCTACTAAAAATACAAAAATTAGCCGGGCATGGTGGCGCGCGCCTGTAGTCCCAGCTACACGGGAGGCTGAGGCAGGAGAATGGCGTGAACCCGGGAGGCGGAGCTTGCAGTGAGTCGAGATCGCGCCACTGCACTCCAGCCTGGGCGACAGAGCGAAACTCCGTCTCAAAAAAAAAAAAAAAAAAATTAAAGTTAAATCATCAATGTTAATGCAATGCAATTTAATGTAATTGAAATAAAACTGCCAATGTTTGGGTTAATTATAGGAAGACATTTTATTCACTTGTTGACTTTTGATTTTGAGCATGATAGTCCATTTTTATCTTTTTTCTTTTTTTGCTTTTAAACAATAAATACATACTCTCATTTTATCCTATGGCCAGTCAAAAGGCAATAAAGCAATGTAATAGTGCATGCCCAAACAATACTGAAACATTTTTAAAGGACCATTTACCAAAAATATTTTTCATGTATTTCTACAACTGTAAGTTCTGGTGATGAACTTTTGCAATCTGATCAGTACAGAGGTAGATATACACAAAGAATCCACATTTCCCACATTTCCCAAATGGTACTAACTACCATACCACTGTATCAGAATTACTGTGTATAAGATGACTCAGTTCTCTCACAAATTATTCCTTGTTTGAACTATTGGTAAACTTTTGTTTGCATAGTATAAAATGAGGCAATCTGGCCTCCAGTGGACGTTGGTGCCTTGTTTCCATTCTGAGTCCACCTCAATTTCTTCCTCATTAGCTGCCCCAGTTGGTATATATTACTGCCCCTTGTCATTTTCATGACACCATTTGTAAACCTCAGTTTATTCAGTAACTTAAAAAACTAAAGTTTCAGTCCATGAAGATGTCTTGTAATTCTATCCCCAGGAAAAAAATTTTTCCTTCTGAAAAATTGCAAAAGGAAGAAAGTATACTATTATGGAACTTGTGATCATTCATAGAGAGTTGTGCTCAAGTTCACCTTTGTCCTGTAAAAAAGAAAGATTTGCTAAACAATTAATAGAGGAAAGGTCATAACATCTTTATGCAAAACATTCCCATTTACAGAGAAGTGTGTAAATGGGAAAATCTCAAGCTTTGTCATATAATTGGTTAAAATAAATTACAAGTACAATAGCAGATACAGAATGTTGTCATTTAGATACTAGGTTGTGCAGGCTCAGATACATTCAGTTACGCGTGTTAATACATAGAAATGAAATACTATTCCTTCATAGGATCACTTGGTTATAACCTGACTAAAAATAGCAGTACAAAATGCAGGGATTGCATTTTGTGGGTATTAAGTGGTCATTTAGACTGACGCAGAATATGCCTATCTTTTTAAAAGAGTATCAATCATATAAGAATAAAAAATTAAAATAATCTCAAGGTATTTGTGATACAGTCACCCACCCCCACCCCAACCACAGCTCTGGATAAGTGAGAAGTTCCCAGTTTGAGAATTGCTGTGCACTGTGTCCTACTTCCCTGCGTGGGGCACAGAGGCCATAGGCTCGGGGGTGGGAGGAGAACTCTGCTGAAGGGAGTGAACACAGACTTACCTTCAAACTCTTACAGGGTTCTGTCTGCTGCTGGCAAGGAAGTTGGCCAAGTTAAGAATGGGATGCTGTGGTCTGTGTGGTTTTATATCTCCCCAGTGCCCAGGCCAGGGAGATATTTCTCCATTTTGCAGACAGGCTTAGACTAAATTATTTCTGTGGATGTCCAGACTCTGCTGGATTGATGTCAGCCTTCCATGTTACCCATCTCCTAGTTTGTACTATGGCTTGAAGCCCCTCTTTCCTGTCCTAAGATATACTTACTCACTATGAAAGAGAAGAGAAAAAGCCATAATGGAGGTTCTATGGCATGTAATGTCCTCATGAATCTATTACCCTGGTGCATAATACATTTATTATTCTAATTGGCATAAGTACCAGAAGTGTGTTTCTGGATCTTTCCTTGGGATTCAACATGGGTATCCACTCAAAGGAAAGTGTTCCCTTAAGATACTTCATTTCCAAAGTAACTGGTAGTTAAGACAAAGACAGAGTTCCTTTTTTCTTTTTTTTTCCCTCCTTCCTTCCCTTCTTTAGTTCCTCTTCTTCCTCTTTCTCCTTTTTTCTGTCAGGTATCCTTTAAGCAGAGCTGTGACTGGACAGGGATCCCCAGACCCCCAGGACTGTACTCCTCACACCAGACACCTGCTGAGAAACATAAATTAACAATATATTGAGAGTAGAATGATAGTTATCAGAGGCTGGGAAGAGTAGTAGGGCAGGGGTAGGGGGTGGGATCTGGAGAGAAGTGGGGATGGTTAATGTGTACAAAAATACAGTTAGATAGAATGAATAAAATGTAGTATTCCATAGCACAGCAGGGTGACCAAAGTCAACAATAATTTATTGTAGATTTTAAAATAACTATAAGAGTATAATTGGAATGTTTATAACACAAAGAAATAATAAATGCTTGAGGTGATAGATACCCCATTTGCCCTGATGTGATTGTTATGCATTGTATGCCTGTATCAAAATACCTCATGTACCCCATAAATATTTACACTTACTATGTACCCATAAAAATAAAATAAAACCCAATATATTAAGAAACACAGCCTTACAGAAGAATTCCAATTAATAAATGTAAAATTAAAGAGGGGAAATAAAAAGCCATCACTGGGGAAATACCACAGTAATAACTGTTGCAGACAAGATCCAGTGACAGATAAAATTAGTGGGCAAAAGTTTGAGGAGAAGTAGGATATCAGCATCATCTCAAAATATCTCTCCCAAAGCACTTATCCCTTATAAAGGGAAGAATAATACATTTGCAATGGAGAAACCCAACAACACCACAGTAATCAAGTGGTCAAGATTAATGTCACTGGTACTGAGACATATCAACATTACATACCTGCTGATAGTGTGCACTGGGAAAGACACAGTATCATTTTTGCCATAATCTTTCCAAAAAGGCATAAAGCCTCTATTTAATCATGAGAAAACATTAGATAAACCCAAATTGAGGGCCAGTCTACAAAATACCTGACGAGCCCTCATTAAAAGTGTCAAGGTCACAAAAGACAAGGAAAGACTGAGAACTGTCACAGATTGGAGCAGACCAGGGAGACAATCAAATGCGATGTGGGATTCTGAATTGATTCTTGAATAGAAAAAGGACATTCAGGGAAAAACTGAAGAAATTCAAATAAGAGCTGTAGTTCAGTCAATGGTGTTGTAACAATATTAATTTCCTGGTTTTGATAATATACTATGGTTATACAACATGTTATTAAAAATATTAGAAGAAGCTGGGTGAAAGGTATATGGAAAGTCTCTTTTTTTTTCAACTTTTTGGCAAATGTAAAATTATTTCAAAATAAAAATGTAAATAAATAAAAGAAACACTTAGGACTAGAATGGTCATAATAAGTTTCCTGTGTAAGAAATTATTTGATCTCAGCCTTGAATTGTGGGCAGAATTCCATAGGTGGAATTCCAGATAGGGAAGCTCCCAGATAGGGAAGGAACAAATCACCACTTGATTGATCAATGGCAAGAACACAGTGGGCCATGGATATTGATGTGAGGTTGGATTTGTAGTGGGAAGAGAGAAAACTGGATTGTGAGGATTCCTGAAAACCTGGTCAAGAATATTAGACTACAAGCCTGCAGCAGATAAGAGAGAGTCTTTATACATCTGAGAATGGGAAGGCTGTTGTGATCATCTGGATGGGACCGGAGGCCTTGCTAAGTTTGTGTGTTGACAGTGAGGAAGGAGAATGAATATGACATGAAATATTATAGGAAATGTTCAAGATTTGACGAATATAAGGGAAATGAAGAAGAGTCAAAGAGGACTTGATTTTAAGCTCAGACAGGTGGATGGTGGTATCATTCACAGTAAGAAATTCGGGAGGCAAGAAAATCTGGGGTGAGGGGAAAGGATATCATATAGGTGTGAAGTTTGAGATATTGCAAGAGATTCAAATGAAAATGTTTTAGTAATAGTTCTAAGGACATCTCTTTCTTTATTTGTTTAGCAGACATTTATTCCCTACTTTGTGCTAGGACTCATGCTAGGTGCTGGAGATAAAAAATCCCATGATGTGGCTCTTACCCTAAATGAGCCGGGGAGGAGACAGACACTGTATGGAGGGTTGCATACAGGCTGGGATTACAGGGAGTATGACAAGCTTTAAGAATTTTCCCAGTCTTGGGAATATGGGACTACAGGTCAGGCAAATACAGAAGATACGAAAACTTAGGAGTCATTAGCCAAAAATGGTAGTGGAAGCCTTGTATGGCTAAGTTAAAATTTAATAGAAGAAGAAAGGCAAAAGTTCAAGAGGTAGTCCTGCTGAGACTCACCCCGAGAGAATAGGAGAAAGTCAAAAGTCACTCGCAGAAAGGAAGAAAGTGTTGGAAAAGTTGCAACAGAATCTGTAGTCATGGAACCACAGACATGGAAGAGAGTTTCAAGGAAGTGGGAGTTTGCCAGTTGTTTGGATTTTGAGGGGATCAGTTCAGTGGAGTGGAAAGGTCAAGAATTGTAGAGAAACTAGAGAGGAAATGAAAGCATGGAGTACTCATTTGAAAAGTATAGTAATGAAAGAAAGCCAAGAGGTAGGAAGGTTCCTGGAGGGGGCACCAAGAGTGTGTGAAGTAGAATCTTCTCCACTCATTCACTCAATTCAACAAATACTGATTTCAGTTGCCAGGCACTGTGATGGGTATTTCATGTATATTTCTCAGTTAGTCCTCACAACTTTTTGAGTGGGTATTATCTCTTTAGCGAACTTTTTTTGGGGAGTCTACTTGGCACCAGAGAGTATTTCAGTTGATGAGGACACAATAATGGACAAAAATAGGCAATCCCTGACGTCTTGTCACTATTGACATTAAGCAAATTATGTCACACGTCATGAAAAATTGCAAAAGGAAGAAAATATACTATTATGGAACTTGTGATCATTCATAGAGGGTTGTGCTCAAGTTCACCTTTGTCCTGCAAAAAAGAAAGCTTTGCTAAACAAATTAATAGAGGAAAGGTCATAACATCTTTATGCAAAACATTCCCATTTACAGAGAAGTGTGTAAATGGGAACTGTGGGTTTGCTATAACTCTTAGGGCCATTCTAATTGTGGGCACTGACTTTAGGTGACTTCAGATAGAAACTTGTTCTGCTATTCTCTTGAGTCTTTCAACTCAGAAATGAACCTTTTCAAAGTCCAGAATGGTTTCAGGAGTGTGCTCTGAGGGTGGTGGAGCTGGTATTTAGCATTGAACCTGGGAAACAGGGTTAGGTTGTCCAAATGCCTCCTCCACCCTAAACCCCAAGGGCAGACAAGAATTTGGAATCTGCAGATTCTCCTTATCTGGGGTGGAAACCATGGAGTTTCCAGGCAACATTCTCAATGCAGACTTTGGAGTTTCTCACTTGGTCTTGAGACCCTATTTCTGTTCTCTGAAGCTCCTGATCATTTTCCTTTTTGCCCAGGCCCTGATCTCTGTTTTTAACTTAGTCTGATAAATTGAAATAATCTCTGATCTGTTTCTTTTTTCTAAGTTGGTTTCTTGGAAGGGTAAGGCTTTCATAATTCTGATAAGTTTTACCACTTTTTTCCCTGCCCCTCATTTGGGAGGCAGGTAACTTCAAATTTCCAGGCTATATGATTGTCTTTAGAGCAGAGTAATTTTTGAGCTTGGTTTGAGCATCTTATTACAGGAATTAATTAACTCAAAGTCATTCTGGTGCACCTTTCCAGAAATGAGAAGCAGTCATGTCCTCCCTGACATTTGTTTTCTGAGCTCCTGTGTTTTCAGGTCTTATAGGTAAATGTGTCTTACAAGGCTAGTATCTTTGCATGACTATAATACAAAGTCACCATAATGGTTAACTTAAACAATTACTCATCATTACAACAAATTTGAAAAATGTAAAATTAAATAAAAGGCAAGATTATAAAAAAATACTATTCCAATATGGTCCCTTTTTATTCTGTCTGGTCACTGTACTTTCCTGTTGGTTTAACCACCCATAAACTAGGTCACAGAGTGTGTAAGTAGAGCCATTTTTAATTTGTCTGGACTCACCAAGATGTGGCATCTATTTCTTCACACGCTCATGAAGTTAGTGGATCATTACCTTTGATTTATTGGAAAGTCTGAAGCTCTCGTCTGTAAGAAGGAACTATTTCTCTTACTCTTTTGCCCTGAATTATTTTCTCCTTCCCTAATCAAGAATTTTATCAAATTTTTCTTTACTTTTCTAACTACTCAAGAACATCACCTAGAAGTGATAATATTAAGACTTTCATATGAAAAGCAAGTTAGTCTAATTATAATAGCACTGAACTGCATTTTTATATATAATGTGAGGTTTTCTTTGAGTTTTGGGGAGGGATGGTTAACTCTGTTTACTGAAAGATATATTTAGAGGTCCAAGTAATATAACCAATTGGCAAGGGAGAATATATTAGAGAATAAACTGATTTTAATTGCTAATTTTAATGTGGCTAATTGCTGTTCATCCTCTAAGATGTAACTCAGGCATCGCTTCATGTAGGAAGAATTCTCTGAATTTCCTCATCCCCATCCAAAAGCACTAGGTAGGCAAACCAGGATCTACGGTCATCCTATATAATGCTCTGTCTAAATCTCAAAGTGCTTACCACATTGATTGATGTCCTATAATCACACAGAATCAGTGAATGATAGAATGCAGAAAAAGGTGTGGTATAGTGATGGTTTATGTGGACATGTAGAAGGTGCCATTCCTTCCAATGGTTAAACACTTCACCTCTGCAGCCTCAGTTCAAATCTCAGCTCCCTTACTAACTGTGTAACCTTGAGCAAGTCACTTAAACAATCTGTGCCTCAGCTTTCCCCATCTGTAGAATGAGGATAATGATATCTATTTAACAGGATTGTTGAGAGAGTTAAATGAATTACATATGCAAAATGCTTAGAAGAGCACCTGATGCATAGTATACGTGCCGTATAAATATTAGCTATTTATTGTTATGGCATGTAGTTGGCCTAATAGAAGAGGTAGAATTTGAACTGAAGTTGAAGAATAAGTGTATCTGAGTATATAGAGACAAGCTGCCAGTATGTGTGTACACATTTCTATGTGGCTGTAAAGATTAGCAGTTACAGTGTTGTAAGTAGGTGTTTTCATTTTATGTCTACAGGTTTCCAGCCACTGCACTGGGTTAGGAAAGTAATTCTACAGTTTTTGACCCAGCAGAACTTAGAGTCCACTTCCCTTCTACTGATCTCATGATAGACACTGATATGTTCATAATGGCATTCTTTCCAACGAGCAGGTATAGCTTCAAAGTTCTTCACAACATGACCTTCTAGGGTGGCCCTGCCAGTGATCACAAGAGCCGATAAGAGAAAAACACACACACTATTCCCAGAGGAGTCATTCTTTTCACAGCAGAGAAACTGGATCCCAGAGAAGTGAAGTCACTTGTCCAAGGCCACACACAGGCAGCCAGAGCAAGAAGAACTGGGGTCACTCTACCCTCTGAGGGGTGATTATCTTTCCATCGTCCATATCACTTGTTTATCTCAGTTTCTAACTAAAATTTTCTGCCACAAATATTTGCAAACTATTCATCTGACAAAAGTCTAATATGTAGAATCTCTAAGGAACTTAAACAACTCAACAAGAAAAAAAAAACCCATTAACAAGGGGGCAAATGACATGAACAGACATTTCTCAAAAGAAGACCTACAAGTGACCAACAAAAATATGAAAAAATGCTCATCATCACTAATCATCAGAGAAATGCAGATTAAAACCACAGTGAGATACCATCTCACACCAATTGGAATGGCTATTATTAAAAACTCAAAAAATGACAGATGTTGGTCAGGATAAGGAGAAAAGAGAATGTTTACACATTGTTGGTGGGAATGTAAATGAGTTCAGTCTCTGTGGAATAGATTGGAGTATTCTCAAAGACCTAAAAATAGAACTGCCATTTGATCCAGCAATCCCATTACTGGGTATGTACCCGAAGGAAAATGAATCATTCTACCAAAAAGACACATGCACTCATGTATTTATTGCAGCACCATTCACAATGGCAAAGTTATAGAATCAACCTAGATACCCATCAATGGTGGACTGGATAAAGAAGATGTGGTACCTATGCACCATGGAAAACTACGAAGCCGTAAAAAGTAATGAAATTATGTCCTTTGCAGTAACATGAATGTAGCTGGAGGCCATTATCCTAAATGAATTAATGCAGGAACAGAAAATCAAATATTACATGTTCTCACTTATCTGTGGGAGCTAAACAAGGGGTATACACAGACATAAAGAGAGAAAAAATAGACACAGGAGACTTCAAAAGAAGAGAAGGAGGGAGGGGGGCAAGAGTTGTAAAACTACCTTTTGGGTACTACGTTCACTGTTTGGGTTCAATACAAGCACAAAAAGCACATTATGCAATCTATTCATTATATCCTTATGTCTGTGTAACCAACCTGCATATGTACCCCCTAAATCTTAAACAAACAAACAAACAGCAACAAAAAAAACCCACACCAGTGCTGGAGCCAGGTCTGGGTCCAAATAAGTTTGTTAAAAAAAAGTTCTGCCACCAATTATATTGGTACAGGCTTAGATGGTGGAAGCATATATACGTATACACAAATATATATGTGTATGTATATATGTATGTATATATTAAATTATGTATGTGTGTATAGATATATCACATTGAATACATATAACTGCAAGTAATTAAAAACAAAAGGAAGCAAGGTACATTCATTGATCCATGAGGTGCCCTATTGTGATATTATTGTGAAATGCATAAAGCTTTGCATGCTCTGCAGTAGTGCTGATGGTACTATCTATCTGGCTTAACCAAATTATTGTGACACGATCTTGTACTCAGGTTGCAAATGAAAGCGCTCCACCAAGCTCCTCAGCAGCAGACTGAGTGTCCTTTAGAGCTTCATGCCCATAAGCATAATTTGTGATATTTTACTGCTCTTAAATGATGCATGATGAAATGATTGAAGACATCATTATGTGGAACAAAATGCACTGGGGAGTGTGATGCTAACTATTAAGCACTTCAAGCTTCTATGGGAGTGTTGAGTACTTTTACTGAAAAACAGTAAGGAAGCGCTGTTTGTTATGATCAAGACTGTATCTAGAGAAAGAGCAGTGCCTTAATCATATATAGACATGTTCGGCAAGCCTGGCAAGTGGGAGGGAGTAAGAGGAGTACGCAGCTTGATGCTGGATTTTAGTGATTTAATCAGCATTCACTAAAAGACTGTTAAAGTGGTTCCCAATCTTGGCCAAATATTAGAATTATCTGGGGAATTTTAAAAACTACTATTTGGGCACTCCCTTCTGAGGGTTTCAATTTAGTTTGAAAATTTAGTCAGGGCCAGGCATTGGTAGTTTTTAAAGCTCCCAGACGATTCTAATGTACAGCCAGAGCTGAGAACCAATGGTCTAGTACTTGAGGAGAAAACAGTTGTAGATCTTTACAGATGCATCAATGAACTTTTAAAAAAATGTCCTCCCTTTTTAAAAAATGCTCACATGGGGATTGTTGTGAGAATATAGGAGCAGGAGAGAAGGAATAATGGGTAAAGAGAATACAGGAGAGGGACAAATGTCTCTCAAAACCTTCACCAGATGTTTAAAAACTCACCTTAGGTGAGTGACTTCATAAAAATGCTAGTGACAAATCATGTCTGGAATATGACTCAATGTCTCTACTCTGGAGTTGTAAAAGGGCTTGATTTGTTCATCAATCCATTCGTTTAGTGAGCTTTTATAAGAGTACATGGTGCAAAAAACAATGTGCTGTGTTCTTTGTGCTCTTCAGAAGGAACACCTGCACAATTCTGAGGCAACCAACACCTGAAAGGTACAGAATATGCACATGTGGGTGGTGGACTTCCCTTTTTCCCTCTTTGGAGCCAGGTACTTTCTCTGGCTCAGGTAAATATAACTCAGGACTGGGAGGAAGGTATTGCATTTGCATGGTAAGGTGCGAGAGATAAGCAGGGTTTCAGGGGGTTACATTTTGATAGTGTAAGAGCCAAGGGAAAATGTCCGCTTTGCCCTCTGAAGGTTCACTGAAAAATCAACTGACAAAAGGGAGATTAATAGGAGAAATGGCACACAAATTTATTAATGTGCATGGAGAAGAATGATAGAATGATTACCCCAACACCCCAATGGGGGTACAGATGCTTATATGCCATCTTGAGTTTACAGAAAGAATGGAGGACTTGGATCATGGCCCAAAACAGGTTATGGTGGTAAATCATGCCTCTGTCCCATCCACTCTTACACCATAGCCAGTGCCATCATCTTACAGTATAAATGACATCACATTCCTTGCACATCACCCCCCTGCTTAGTGTCCCTCAATTAGAGACGTTTGAATCCTGCTCTACTGCAGCTGGAAGAGCTATGTTCCCTTTGCCCCAAGGACTTCATCATCCCCAACCACCTGTCGCTGTCTCTCTAGCACACTAGTGTTTTCTTTTTAAACTTTATCACAATTCATAAATATTTTGCTTGCTTGTATTTTTGTTGTTGTTGTCGTTATCTTGCCTACCAGATACTATCATTAATAACTCCAGAGATGTTTCTGCTTCTGTCTCATTCATTTTCATTTTCTAGTACCAAGCCCAAAGACTAGCACATGGTAGGCTTTTATTCCCTATGTATTTTTTTAAAAGTTTCAAACATAATGTTAACAGAATTTGACAATTAATGCCTGTATACCTAGCATCTAGTTTCTATTGTTATGTTTTCCTCATCACATATTTTTTCATTTTTCCATCCTTGTATCTACCCATCAATACATGGTTGACTTTTAATAAATTTATTGAATGAATGAATAAGTGTTACTCTTTTAGTCCATAGTCAGGAGCTGTCCATCTTTTGGTTGGCCTAATACAGACACTGAGCTTCTTTGTTTTTGTGTGGTCACAAGGTAGAAGGAGCTATATAATGTCCTCGTGGGTGGGAATTTGCTAAGCCCTGTATCAGGAGATTCAGAAATAAGGACAAATCTGCCTTCTAGAATCACCCCAGTAAGAGGATCTAAATATATTTGTGATGGAAGAAGAAAAAAATAGGAAATGTGGATGAGTGTTTTTTTTCCACAAACAACTTAATGAAGATTGGTTAGTCCTATCTTGATATTTAAACTGCCTGATATCTTGACATTTTGTGTTTTTTGTTGCACAAGCAGATAAAAGTAACTGTTGACTTGGCCAATACCAGGGAAAGAACATTTTACAATTTCTCGTTCGGTGAGTGACAAATGCAAGCTCACCGGAGCCATGGAACCTTTGGCCTTTCTTGTTTTTAAAGTTCTGTACACATCATTGAAATATCCAAGTAATGGAAGCAAAGGAAAAACACACAAAAAGTGTTTCTAATCTAGGCAAACTGGGGTCAAGGTAAAGAATGTCTCTCTCCATGTCTAGAAAATAAACTTAGCAGGCAGGGAAAGTAATGCTTACTCTTCTTTCCCACTACATGCTGATTGATAGGTTTTTTTTCCCAAACTATTTTTGATTATGTTTTTTGGACCCTGTATTTATTATTTTGACTGCTCAGAAGAAACACCTTCGAAGTGACATCCTGGGGTGGTGCTTTGCAATAATCTTTTATTAAGCTTTGCTGTGTCTATTCATGTTTATTTTAACTCTCTTATTTTTAGATGGAGGATTTTTTGAGAAGGTCAATGCAGTATCTTTGTGATTGAATTCCAGGAGTACTTAGCAGGGGTCCATGTATATAAGGGTGTTGAATCATTATGAACTGGGAATGCATCCAAGTTCATGCTTAACTGAGAATTCTCTTTAAATATTTAGAAGTGAAAGCAATCTTTCAAAATAGTCATGTGGGCCTTGGAAGCATAGAAATGGGTGAACACAGCATCCTAGGTACAGCAGCAAAGGTGACAGCTGGGACCTCAGCTTATCATTCCTCCAACCTTGGCTGTCTCCTAACGCTCTTCCTTCTATTTGATGGAGTTCTACTTTCAAACGTTGGTGACACTCATCCCATCAACTTTCATCTGTTCATTTTGTCCTCCCCTGGGCTTTCGTGTGCAAAATATTTGCAGGGCCCGGTGTGGTCCTGACCTGGATTTGCATCCTTGCTATGCTACTAGTAGCTACTAGTAGCTAATCGACCTTGAACAAGAAATGTAACTTTTTCAAGTTCCAGGCTCTTTACCTGTAAGTAGGAGACCTTTATACCTACTCCAACATGGAAAATGTGTCCAGCATGGAGAAGTCCCTTGATAAATGTTAGGTTTTTGTTACCGTTTTAACACCAGTTACCACATTGGATTACTAAAAAATGATAAGCTGGGGAGAAATATGCAATGTAACATCTAGATATTTAGTGCAATATGAATAAAAAGTAAATCTGGAAGTAGATATTTACTTACAAAATTAATTTTATTTTGCAAAACTCAACAAATACATGTTCAGATCTGGTTTCTCTTCAAAACATGTGTTTGTTTTTTTAACAAACATGCAAGTTAATTTGGCATGCCAAACATCTTTCTCTCTAGCTCACCTTGGAAAAATTTTTTTCATAACACAAACAAGGGTGCAAATATTGTCCAAACCTATTTACATTTTTACCCTCTAGAATTACATACATTAATATTTATTGGGAGGAAAGCAAAACTGCAAAACGTAGTCTTTGGCATTCACATTTGCTTCAGCAGTATAATTAAAACCTTATATTTGTTTTAAAGATAAACAGTTTGAAGGAAATTTAATAAATCTTGTTTTGGCTCTGCAAAGGAGCCACTATATCAAAGCATTTAACTGGAGCTGTTGAGTTCCTGCTGGTAGAATATTACTTCCAGCCTATTTATTAGCTTGTCTTCCGGTGGCCCAATACATGCTTTTTTCCCTCTACACTGAATGAAAGTACAAAAAGAAAACCATTTCTTTTCTCTTTTTCCCCCAGCATCATGCAAGGCAAGGCAACACCACAAATACAATAACTGAATTTACTTTGATTATACTTTAGTTTCTTACACTTAAAATTATTTTGTATTATAATACTTACTTGGTTATCTAAAATCAACATTGTTGATTTTAAACGGTTATAAAGCCAGACTTTAAGAAGCATTTAAAACAATTCATGAACTCTGTATGAAAGGAAATAATTGCCTCCAGCTTATTCTTTTGCATTTGAAGTAAAAGAATTTCCAGTA
Organism: Homo sapiens; assembly: GCF_000001405.40. NCBI lineage: Eukaryota > Metazoa > Chordata > Mammalia > Primates > Hominidae > Homo > Homo sapiens. The sequence continues at coordinate 161,345,590 of NC_000003.12, forward strand.
TCATCAGTTTACTAGAAAATAAGACTTAGGGGGTCCATATAATTTATTCACATCTTTTTATACATCGTAAACAAGGATAGGATACTTCTGACAGTAGCCTATAAAGATTTTTTAAAATTTATCCTTTAGTATAGAATAAGTGTCAAGGGAGCACTTTAAGCATGATTCTGGTAGGTCTGTTAGGAGTCTATTTTCCAGAAAAATTTTGTAGGAAATTGTTCTGATTTTAAATAAACTAAATTCATAGATTTGTGTTGACAGAATATGATTTGTGAGGTAAAGTCACTGTATTATCTCCGGTCTAAAGCACAATGTAGCATGTGCAAAAGAAACTAAAGAGACATGTATTTCAAACTCCAGGCAGAAAGGCAGAATATAAGAGTGCATAGAGAAGAGAGTGCTTTTCAGGTCAGATAGTGAAGGAAGACACAATAGTTACCTAAATCAATAAGCTGTAAGCAACATATAAATATGCAATGCCATTTCACTGAATGTGAACAGGATCAATTAGAAATTGTACTGTGATATCCACATATTTTTGAGAAAAATTCCCAAGCCAGGCGAATGTGGATTGGAATAAAGACATAGGCAGTGTATACCACCATAGCAATAATGGTTAGTAAGATGGTGTTAAACATAGATCGCTCCCAGGGCTCTAAAACAGCACAGCAGCTAATGATTTGGTATTGATAGTAGAGCCAGGAGAAATATTCCTTCACACGCCTCAAATCCATGGTTGGCTCCTTCAAGCTGCAGTAAGTTTGTCCTGTTAAAGAATGTAACAGATTAGAGGATGAGGAACCAAACATAGAATCACTTTAAAATTTCATGATCTCAGCATGTTAAAATCTTTCAAAGATTTGTTAAAGATCATTGAATATATTATTAATATATGAATATTCTGTAAAATAATACATACTATATTAACTATAAAAATTAATAATATTGTCACCACTACTAATAATCACTACTAAAATTGGCAGCAATAATACTATTAGTAACAGTAACATCTATCTAAACATGACAATTGTTAGAAATAACTTTAGTGATAATGGTACCTAAAAATTGAGGTTAGCCTCATTTTCCTGAGCCATGTATACAAAGAGAAATAAAAGTGAACCTAAGCACAGCTCTGAGGAAGAGACTTTTGAGATAAGGTCCAAGGGATCATTATGAGTCAAATGGATAGAATAGACAGTGAAGTAGGGAGAACAGCCAAGACAGAGGGAACAATATGTACAAAGGTTGGAGGTGGGAAGAAGTAGGTTGCTTTTGAGGGGCCACGGAGGGAGAAGGGAGCAGGGAGTGTGATGACACTGAAGAGGTGGGAATGGCCACAGTGAGGCCAGAAGCTGTAGGGCCTAGTTGGATAAGTTAACTGTTTTATCTTCAACCTCTGAGTTAGGGCAATGCTGTGGTGGGTTTGAGAGGAGGAGGCTTTAAGTTCATGTGGTAATGCTGCATTCTGGAGTCAAGTTGAAATGACTTTGGAGCCCAAGTATTTCAGAAAATCTGTACCTCTACTCTTCCCTAGGGCATTACTGTTTCAGAATCAACAGTATACTGAGAACCTGTTTAAAATATTCTTAAATACTCTTCATTTTTACAAATGAGATAATATTGCTTATTTAGAAATATTATTAACTTTTCTCTATATGTTGTGGCTATTTATTTATTTATTTGTTTTTGAGAGAGTCTCACTCTGCTGCTTAGGCTAGAATATAGTGGCACAATCTTCGCTCACTACAACTTCCACCTCCCAGGTTCAAGAGATTCTCCTGCCTCAGTCTCCTGAGTAGTTGGGATTACAGGCATGCACCACCATGCCCGGCTAATTTTTTTTTGCATTTTTAGTAGAGATGGGGTTTCACCATGTTGGCCAGGCTGGTCTTGAACTCCTGACCACAGGTGATCTGCCCGCCTCAGCCTCTCAAAGTGCTGGGATGACAGGCATAAGCCACTGTACCCGAACTTGTTGTGGCTTTTACAAATGCACTAATTGTCGGGCTCGGTGGCTCACGCCTGTAATCCCAAAACTTTGGGAGGCCAAGGCAGGCGGATCATCTGGGGCCTGGAGTTTGAGACCCGCCTGGCCAACATGGTGAAACCCTGTCTGTACTAAAAATACAAAAAATTAGCTGGGCATGGTGGTGGGCACCTGTAATCCCAGCCGCTGGGGAGGCTGAGGCAGGAGAATCACTTGAACCTGGGAGACCTGGGAGGCAGAGGCTGCAGTGAGTCGAGATCTTGCCATTGCACTCCAGCCTGGGCAAAAATTCTGTCTCAAAAAACAAACAAACTGCACTAATTAAGTGATGAGTAATGTGGTTAGGAGAATTCATTCATTCACCGAATGAATACATTTTAAGTATTACCATGTGGCTCCTTCTGAATATTAATGGCTTCGGAAAGACTTTATTCTCAAAGGCATCACAGTCAGGAGATGCTCTTCCAGGAAGCAGCAAACTGGACCATGTAACAAACATGCAGTGATCGAGGGCCCAGGAATGAGCACTAAGTGGGAGGAAAGGACATGGAAAAATGCTAAGGCATGGTGGGGCAGGACAATAGTCTCAGGTACTAGAGAGGCTGAGGCCAAGGGGGAAGGATCCCTTTGGTCTAGGACTTCAAGTCCAGCCTGAGCAACATAGTGAGATCCTGGCAAAACAAAACAAAACAAAACAAAACAAAACAAAACAAAACAAAACAAAACACTCTAAATTAAAAAAAATGCATTGATTAATTTCCCGGCTATTGCTTTCTCTATTAAAATTAGAATTCCTTGCTTGGGCAGCCCTAGCCAACACCTTAATGATGGCCTTGAGAAAGACCCTGAGCCAGAGGCATCCAGCTAATCTGTATCCAGATTCCTGAGCCATAGAAACTTCAAGATAATTAATGTCTATTGTTTAAAACCGCTAAAAGTCAAACAATCAATCAATGAATAAAAGAAACAGCAGATAAAAAGCACACCAACATGTATAGCACCAACAGTGGATACATGGTAAGATCTTGATCACAAATACCCCAAATCTGCAATGACTTTAAATCTGGCTGTTTTAAATATACTTCTGCACTGCTAACCATTTAAGCAGTTAAGATTAAAAAAATTTTTTTTTTGCCAGTTACCACAATCTCAGCCCTCTAAGTAGCCAGAACTGACATGTGAAAAGTGTCTCTTGAAAACACTGATTGTCTCTTTTTCTCTGATTCATTTTCCCCTTATTGATGATAAGCAATTTTAAAGACAGTTTGTGTGTCATTTCTTATCATGAGAAGGTGAGAAGAGGGAGAGTTGGTTATTATTGTTGAACCATCTGCTACAATCTATTGTTAGAATGCACACTATTTTTAGGTTCTAGATTTGCTTAGGTAATATATTTCTACCTTCTGTGAGTCAACTTTCTTATCTCCTGTGGGACTATATACAAGATTAAAAGGAAAAAACCACTTTAGACAATTTGATGAGTAATGTGGTTAGGAGAATTCATTCATTCATTGAATGAATACATTTTGAGTACTACTATGTGGCTCCTTCTGAATATTAATGGCTTCGGAAAGACTTTATTCTCAAAGGCATTACAGGCAGGAGATGCTCTTCCAGGAAGCAGCAAACTGGACCATATAACAAACATGCAGTGATCGATGGCCCAGGAATGAGTACTAAGTGGGAGGAAAGGACATGGAAAAATGCTAAGAAGAAGGCTAGAAAAAGAGCCTGCATTTGAGGAAATAAGATGACAGAAATATGAAATTAATTATCCACTGATAACCTAGAACTAGATGATAGCAAACATTTTAAAGTCCTAAATTTTCACAGTGAAATGTGATATTAATCTATCCACTTCCTTAGAGACCTAGTGCTGTATCTCAGCAAAGCTAAACCAAGAACTTGAAATGCTTACTTTATTCAGGCACACCATGCATCTCCTGTTTTTAGTTAGGTGCTTTTGAAAAGATGACTTTCGATATATGGAAAAGAAGGAGAGAGTAGTTTATTCTTTTTTAAAAAGAAAAGTTTCCTCTAAACTTGATGACTTTAAAAATGTTCTTAGATCTTTCATGAGATTGTGTATTCAAAGGTGGCACTCCTAAGCAGACTGTGATGTGGCTTCAGGCAGGGGTACAGTGGCCTGGATACAGTTTGACTCTGACATGCTGAGACAGTGATAATACCGGCTGTAGCCTGAATGTTTCTGTGTTGGAAGTCCACTAAAAGGTTATTTCATAACTGGGAATGCAGAGTAAATGATTATTTCTTATTTCTGATTGTTACTACTCTTTTATCAACGGGTGGTGATTTCCCTCTCATTAGATTTGTGTGCGGTGGAGAAGGAGATGAAGTTACATCTCCTCTCTCAGATAGAGAGGGAGAAGATTTGAGACTTATGACTCATTACACAGGGGCAGGACTTTGTTCTGGCTTGGATGGAGAAGAAAGTGAATAAATGTAACAATTAAAAAAAACCACATGTGGTAACACGAACACTGCTGTATGAGTCATGGAATGTGAACACAGTTGAGGGGAGCTTGCAAGAAAAGTATTGGCTGGGCTTGCTCAGGGAGCTCTTTGTTGTTGTTTTCTGTTTTGGGGAACAGGACTGGAAGGAAGTTAGGTAACTGCAATGAAAGAGGCGTAGCAGGTGATTTGGTACAGTGGTATTTACCTTGGAAATATTGCAGAAGACGTGATCAGTAGCCCTCCCCCTGCCAAAAAAGAACTACCCCAAGTTACTGGATTTTCTCATTAAGGAATTTCCTATTCTAAAGGTAGCTATTCTCCTGGGGAAAAAAAAGACTTAGTACATTTTGGTTTAAATTTACTTCTAGAACATCAGAATCAGGGACTGAACAGTTAGAAGGGCCTAAAGTTGATTTTTGGGTTAACTCCTTCTCAACTCACTTTGGAACTCTACATCAATCACTCAGCTTCATTTTTTTTTTGTGCTTCATATTTGGAACCTGAAAATCTGAGAAGTGATAAAAGTGTCCTGCCAGTTGCAGAGAGAGATGCTGTATCTAAAAAGAGACTCTTTCTGTACTCACAGTAGCTTTCTTTGGAAACAGCTTAATATGACTTACTCAAGTACAAGCCCTCCTTTAACTGAGTAATTCATTTATTTAAAAAATTAGAAATACAGCGATTTCCTTCCAAAGAACACAGTATGGAAGGGGGGATAAAAATGAGTAACTTTACAGTGGAGAAAACTGATAAGCCCTGCTTCAGCCAGGTGGTCAAGGCCAACATCGATCATTATTAGTCATGTTGATAACAATCATGATATGAATAATCTTCATGATATGATGTCAAAAAAGACACTTTACCTCTGTGGTCTTCTTCCCAATAACCCATAGATCCAGCCTAATCATGAGAAAGGTATCAGACAAATTCCATTAGAGGGGCATTCTACAAGATACCTGACCAGTACTCCCCAAAACCCCCAAGGTCATCAAAAACAAGCAAACTGTGAAAAATTGTTATAGCCAAAGGAGGCTAAGGGAGGCATTATGACTAATTGTAATGTGGTATCCCAGATGGAATCCTGGAACAGAAAAGGGACATTAAGTAATAACTAAGGACATATGAGTAAAGTAAGAACTTTAGTTAATACTAGTATATCAATATTGGTTCATTAATTGTAATGAATATGTTATACTAATGTAAGATTTTAAAGGGGACACTGGATTCAGGGTATATGGGAACTCCCTGTATTGTCTTCTTGATTTTTCTGTAAATCTACAACTGTCCTAAACAATGAAGCCGATCCAAAAGAGAAAAGATTAATTAGGAAAGCCTTCAAAGGTCCAGAGTTATCCCTATTCTAAACTCCAGTGAACTTTGCTGAAGCTTTACTTCCTATCTGGAAAATTTTTCCCAATAACTATGTACATAGATGAGTAATATCCTTGCATAAGAGACTGGCTTTTAAAATTTCTTAAACACAATAAAGAGGAAAAATACATCTTACATTGTGATCCATGGTGTATACACTCACACATACACACACAGAGAGAGAGAGAGAAAGAGAGAGAGAGTCATATAACTGAAACAAACATCTCTCAAAAGAATACTTTGCAGAGCATGCTGATATTTTTTATTCTATTCTGTTCCATTATATTTATTCTTATCTATTCTAGTTAATTCTACCTTATTTTGTTATTCTCTTCTTTCATTAAAAACATCATGATTGTGTTTACTACATTGATTTCTTAACCTACTAATTGCAACCTGCAGTTGGAAAAATCCAACTTTAAGGCTTAAGTGTTAGCTTCTCTAAGATGTCTCCGTACTGTCCAATATGGCAGCCACTAGTCACACATGACAATTTAAATGTCTAGTGTTTAATAGCCACATGTGGCTAGTGGTTACCATACTGGAGAGAAAAGATATAGAATATTTTCAACATTGCAGAATATTTTGTTGGATGGTGCTGTGGACTCTCCATCTGTTGCTTGCACTAATGAAATAGCTACCTACTTGTCTCTTTTTTACCTTACAGTCTTCTAAACTGCTGCTAGAATTAACTGTCCAAACTTAACAGATTCATTTCTCTTCTTGAAAGCCTTCAATGGCTCTCCATTTCCTATGAAATAAAACCTTCGTTTAAAGCCCTTCACAGTTTCATTTCTTCACCTCTCCAGTTAAATCTCTCAACTCTCCTGCTAAATGCCATTCATTCTAAAGCTTCTATGTTTTCATTCATGCTCTTTTCTTTTCTTGAAATTTTCTTGTGCCCCTTCTCTGCCAGATAAACTCCTATTTTAAGCTATTGCTTAAAGAAGCTATTTTAAGGCATATCTTCTATATTCTTTCTTCTATGAAACATTCTCAGAAGACCCCTCCCCTGCAAAGGAAAATATTATTACTCTCTTTTATGTGTTACCATTGTAGCAACATTTTTAGTTATGCACAGTCTGTTTCCCCACAAGACTATGAGGGCTTTGGGTACTGGGAATGTGCAGCATTCATCTTTTTATCCCCAGTGCCTGGTTGGTGAGCTGGCCTGTTGGCTGACTGACCGATTCAGTTGTAAGGTGGTTGAAGGCAGGAAGCACACTCGAATGTACTTAATATTTCCACAGCACAATGTGGGGATCATAAAAGGTGCTTCTGAATTCTCATTGTCTGCTTTCAGGCAATGAGTTTTAGACAGATTGTTTTGTGAAAATTCAGTACAATCTGTTTTTTTGAAGCATGGAAGGGAGCTGGTGCTAAATTTTTAAAAATATATATAACAAATGCTTTTTTACTTTCTTATAATGTTAAAAGTTCATGGACTCTGCAGGGGAATAAGAAAGACTTATGAATTAGTTTTAAATCCTATTGAAATAGCTCTTAGAAGTGCTTACTCTAGGTGAGTAATAATTTAAGATTGGTAGGTAGAAAAGTGGTTCTAATGGGAAAAATTCCAGGATGGGAACACCTGGACACTTGAAGACTTGAATTCTATTGCAGCTCTTTTCCTCTCTTTCTATTTATTTATTTTATTTGTGTCTTTGGGTAAATTCCAAAATCTTCTTGTGTCACAGTTTCTCCATGTGTAAAACTGAGATAATTGATAATTGTCTCTGAGCCTGTTTGAGTGATGTAGTAAGGAGAGTTGGAATGGGTTTTAGCTCTTTAGACATAATAGTAATATTCACAGCAACTGTAGTGTCTTGTCATTACTTGTAGATTTGTAAAACTTTAAGCCACTTGCAAGATTTTACTAAATTATAGACTCAAAGAGTCTTTGTGGAATATAACAGTTACTTCAACAATGGAGTGATTTGTATATTTGATGGGGAAAAAACTACCCCTTATTTATGTTTGCTAATTGAATCATCTAGTACCTTAAAATAAATAAATAAATACACACGTTTGTAGCCATGATTGCTACATGGCTTCACTACTTGAAAGGTATTGGAACCTGTAAACAAATGGCGAAATATTTCTTGGGCAGGGCCACCACATACTGTTGTGTGGGCTGTGCACTGCACAACCAATGTGATTGTTCTTGTCTCGGGGGCCTAATCACAAGCTGCATCTTCATGTGAGCACAATTAGATTCACAGAGATACAAAGACATGCAATTTCTTATTGTATCGGACACATGAATGTGGTTTAAGTTTATCTGATTAATGGGGCAAAACCTTATATTGCTTCTGTGTAAGAATTAGACATAACCTCAGTTTATTGGCTGATCAGTTTCCAGATACCTTGCTCTACATTCTCTGTGGGTGACCCCAATGTTTTCTGTGCCCTACAGAAAATTCCATCCTTGTTTAAACTTTTGGAGGAGAATTTTCTTTTCATCTTAGAATACTCCCCAGCCTTCCTTTGGCAACCAATTCCTCATGTTGACAGCAGAGTGAATACCAGAAGTCAGACCAGAGGTGAAGATTTGGAGTCCAAGTTTTTAGGGGAAGCTGAAAAAAACAACTTAAAAGTTTATGATGAATCAAAGGTAGGGAAGAAAATCGAACAACCATAGGGCAATTAAGGAACTTTCTCTACACATTCATTAGTTGGATAATTTTATAGACCCTCTAGAGATAAGAAACAAACAATTGTAAGTCAAAGCACATTATCGCTTTAGGCAGCAAAGTTACTCTAATTAAATTTTATAATCTTATACTTGGAAGTTTACTGAAATAATATACTAGAAGGAAAAAGTCTCACTAACAGTTCAGTCAGGTTGTTGTTGATACAGTGTTTTGTGTTATATACAATAACAGAATGTTTTATGGCTACCTGAACTCACCTTATTTTATTTATGCATTTATTTATTGAGACAAGGTCTCGCTCTGTCACTTAGGCTGGAGTGCAGTGGCATGACCACAGTCATTGCAACCTTGAACTCCGGGGCTCAAGATATTCTCCTTCCTCAGCCTCCCAAGTAGCTGGGACTATTGGCACATGCCACCATGCCCAGCTAATTTTTAAAAAACAGTTTTGTAGAGGCCAGGTTGTACTTTGTTGCCCAAGTTGGTCTCAGACTCCTGGCTTCAAGTGATCCTTCCACCTTGACCTCCCATAGTGATGGGATTACAGGCGTGAGCCACCACACCTGGCCTGAACCAATTTTATTACCTTCCATTTGTATTAACACTAACAAAAGCAAAACAATTTAAAAAACATGTATTTCTAGTCCAACTATCAATTGGAGTCATTGTGCAACATGGCATGTGTTGAGTAACTGCAATTTCAAGGCAGTCCTATTTTTTGGTCATCTTCTGATAGACTACAGAGGAATTTATGAATGAAAAACTTCCAGCTGGGAAAGAAAATTTGGAATTCGACTTTAACAAAAATTCTCATGATAATATAGAAAATACTAAATTCAGATTAGATTAATCTCAGTATTGTGTGGCTATCAAAAAGAAGAAACATTTAGAAAATAAAGAGTGCCACATACATTGATGCTGAGGAGATATTAGGAGTAGGAAGAGAAATTTGTAACAAGGGAATGGTCTATCTTGTCTTGCTTCTGCTGTCCTTTCACTTCCTAACAGAAACAGGGTAAGTATCCCTGCTTATTTCTGGCAATACTGGAAGGGAGAGTAGGGCTTCTAGGTCAAGGTTTAGCTACAATGTCCTTTCTTAGTATGAGCTTCTTTATAACTATTTTATTTAAAAAGAAAAGAAACTTTGTTGTTATATAAAGAAGGAAAAGGGAAAATATATAACTTCTGAGTGGCTTTTTCCTTTTGAATATATTGTTGCCAAGGGCTGCCAGGTTGTTTTTAGAAGCAAAAAGTGAACAAACTGCAACATTAACAATGGCATTAAAGCCACCAAAAGTTGTTTTCTAAGTCATTAAAGGTGTATCCACATTCACAGAAGCATTATTCACAATAGTCAAAAGATGGAAGCAATCCAAATGTCCATGGACAAATGGATGGAAAAATAAGATGTGGTGTATACATACAATGGAATATTATTCAGCTTTAGAACAGAAGGAAATTCTGGCACATGCTACAACATGGATGAGCCTTTGTTGTTGAAGTGAAATAAGCCAGTCACAAAAACTGTATGATTTCACTTACATGAGGTATCTAGAGTAGTCAAACCCTAGAAACAGAAAAATGATGGTTGTCAGGGACTGGGGAGACGCAGAAATACAGAGTTATTGTTTAATGGGTATAGAGTTTCAGTTTTGCAAGATGAGAAAGTTCTAGAGATTGGTTGAAGAACAATGTAAATATACTTAACACCACTTAACTGTACTCTTAAAAATGACTAAGATGTTAAATTATATGTGTAGTTTACCACAATTAAACATTTTAAGAAATCAATGAATAACCCTAAAAATTATGAAGGACTGAAATTTTAAAATAAACTTTAAAACAGTCTGAATAATATTTTTAAAAAGTTATTAAAAGTCAATAAGAGTCTCAAGTTGGAATGGGGCATTACTAGTCTAGCAAAATCACATCGATGTACCATACAAAGCTGAGTAAACAAATAACCCCAAAGGTCTTCAAATAATAATTGTGAGGTCCCAATTGGGGTTCCCTTCTTGGTTGTCAAAATAGAAGGGGAAAACTCAGAAGAGCCAAACCCCCAAGAACCTTCTTGAGATGACAGCTGACATATTTAGGTTTATTCCTGGCATCAGTGAAATTCTAATAGCTTAATCTTCTACAGTACTTGTGGGAACTGTGAATTCTATGATATGCTTAACTGCCTTAGGAAAGACTTGCTTGATGTTTTTTCTAAGGCCTTTGTTTTTCTTAAGAGCTAGAAGCCTGACCATGAAAAGTTAAGCCTTTTTCTCTTCCCTACCTATTGTTATTACATTTTATGAATCTTCAGCAACTGAAGATTTTTATCCAGTGAATAATTTGAGGGTGAAAATGGTGAGTTACTGCAATATTGATCTGTCAGGAGTACGTTGTTCTCAGAGTTCTGCCAAAGCAAATCTGGTTGTATAAGGAGCTGGTCAGCCAAGACCTTTCCAATAGTGTTTTCTAATACTAATTGTCTGTTTTCTTTTCACTTTTTTGGGTAATATTGAATAGATATGTTTATACAACTTTTTAAAAAAACATATTTATCTGTCTCTCCCACTTCTGCTTATTCTTTATTTCTTATTACATTATCTGGAAAGCTGTGGTGATGAGGTCAGTGTTTTTCTTATTTTGGTGACTGACAACATTGAACTTTCATAGATGTGATTTTGTGACAGTAGTAATCTAGCCTGCTGCCCTTTCATTGCCCTCAGTTGACCTGCTTCTGCATCTCACTTATTAGCGCTTTTACAGAAAAGAGTGGAGGCTGGGCGTGGTAATCCTCGCACTTTGAGGGGCTGAGGTGGGAGGATCGCTTGAGCCCAGGATGTTGAGGCTGCACTGAGCTGTGGTCATGCCACTGCACTTCAGCCTGGGCAAAAGAGTAAGACTCTGTCTCAAAAAGAAAAAAAAATAAAAATAAAAAAGGAAAAGAAAAGAGTGGAGAACTAGGCGGATCAGGCCATAGAGACACGCATAGCGTTGATAAGGTGCTCTCTCTGCCAACCCCTGAATCAAGGGACATTTCCCTGCTTGGTTGGTTATACTGCTGTATTCCAGGTTAGATGGTTTCAGAGACAGAGGGGAGGTGAGAAGGGAAAGTAGAAGTTTATAGTCAAATTCATGAGTATTCAGTGAAAACATGTTGCTTTAGGCACATAAATCGCTTAGATTTTATAATCTTATACTTAGAAGTGAATTACTGCAATGATATACTAAAAGAAAAAACTCTCATTGACAATTTAGCCAAGTGGATTTCTGATTCTCCTGAGAATAGTGTGGATATATTACTGTTGGGTTCATCCTCCTTCACCTGCTCCCAGCCATATGGCTACCTACATGCTTCCAGTGCAAAGAAAAGGAGTGGTGAGATAAAATGATTTACTCCCTCTGAATAAAGCTGGCTTGTTGTCAGGGCGAAGGCCAGAGGGAATCTTCCAAAACATAAAAATACTTATATTGGGATTTTGTAGTAAGTCGGATATTAGCCGCCCAAAACCTATGTTCATGTCTTGGAAGCAGTGAATATGACCTTTTTGGAAGAAGAGTCTTTGTAGTTCAATTAAGTTAAGGATCTTGAAAAAAGAGCATCCTGTATTACTCAGATTAGCCTTAAATCTAAGGACAACTGTTTTTAAAAGAGAGACACAGAGAAGGCCCTGTGAAGACAGGCGAGATCAGAGTTAGGAAGCCACAAGCCAAAAAAAAATGCCTGAAGCCACCAGAGCTGGAAGAGGTGAGGAAGAATTCTCCCTAGAGCCCTTGGAGGAAGTACAGCGCTGCCAACACTTTGATTGCAGACTTCTAGCCTTTGGGAGTATCAGAGAACAAACTTCTGTTGTTTTAAGCCGCTAAATCTGTGGTGATTTGTTACAAGAGCCCTAGGAAGCAAATACAGATATCTTCCTTAGAAATGGTAGAATCTTATAATGTGATCTCTTTGCAGGCAATAGAAACTTTTGTTTTTTTTTTTTTTTTTTGGAGATGGAGTTTTCCTATGTTGTCCAGGCTGGTCTGGAACTCCTGGAGTCAAGTGATCCTCCTCACTTCAGCTTCCCAAGTAGGTGGGAATATAGGCGTGCACCACTGCCCCCGGCAGAAACAGCAGTTTTCAGTACCAGTGTGGTAGGCAATGGCTAGATGCCTAACTTAAATTATCCCTGTTTTAAAGATAAGGAAACTGAGGCTCAATGTGTCATGAGGGCCATGTGGGGAGCTGGGTGAGAATCCTGCTGACAGGTCGTACGGTGAAGTGGTTACAAGCTTGGGCTCTGGTCCTGTCTGGGTTTGAATCCCAGCTCTGTTCTTACTAATTTTGTGACCCTGGCCAAGTTACTCAATCACTCTGACCCTCAGTTTCTCCAGCTGGAGAACAGGAATAAGATAACTTCATTCACACAGATGCTGGGATGATTAAAAAGTATAAAATATTTAGAATAACACATAGGAAGAGCTAAGTGAATGTTAGCTATTATGATTACTACCACACTATTCTAATATGGTATTGCTAGATTATGACTACCAGGCAAAGAATGAAAGAGAATGGGATCATTTTTAAGGTGGGGCATATGACTTTTATTGGTTACTAAATTCAAAACCAGTTTTAGAGAGGTTATTTTTCAGAATGTTTATTCAATTTTGGTGTGGCTGTCATAAAGCAGACAAACAGGCTTCAGCAACCTCAATGGCACCTGTTCTTTGCTGAATACCTTACAGTGTTCTGCAAATGCCAGGCATCCTACAAGTATTTTTGAATTAGTAAAATCAAGGCTTGTTATCAATAATGTTAAAGTAATATTGAGCTTTCAAAAATATTTTGAAATGAAGAAATTATTGCCAACCATTTCAGAGTTACAAATCTCCAAAAACACTGTAGCAAAAGGGGAAGGATTGGGAAGCAATCATTCATAAGATAAATCTATTTGTTTTTGTCCACATCCCCTACCCTTGGCTGATAGGTCACTTTTACTATAGGTCACTCACTATAGATTGAATAAAAGTGGACAGGCAGCTAGTAGTATCTAGGTGTTTTTTTTGTAATTCTATTTCCTTTTCTTTCTTTATTAAAAATAAAGGAACCAGAAAAAAATTAATGTTCTGTTATAAACATTAGGCATCTTCATTTTAATTGTTAATATTTTTGGAAAATAGTGTTTTCATTTTACCATATTTTTCTCTTAATTTGTCTGATCTGGTTAATTAAATGCTTATTAAAACATATATTCCTCTCTTGTACCAAAGGTCTTCAAGGGTAAGATGCTGCTCCATTTAAATAAAAGATGAAGGATGTCGAAACACAAGCAGCCTTTAACCAGTAGACCCATAAATAAGACAGTAGCTAGTGCTATGCAATTCTAACACTGGCACTTGTGCTGGGATTGGCCTCTTCTAGGCTAGGAGTTCTTAACCTGGAGGTCAAGGACTTGGGGGGAGGGTCCTATGGACCCCTTGCAATGTAGGCAAATTTTGCATAAACATTTTTCTGCACACGTTTCAAAGGAACTTGGAATATCCGTAAGTTGAGACCTCCAAATTACTAGAGCTAATTGCCCCATTTTATTCCTTTGTATCATCTCAAATGCCAATATAATATCTAGTGTATAATAAATGTTTGCTGGCTGCTTAGGAGAGAACTAGATGTGTTAATGACGCCATCTCACAGTGAAAAGGGGCAGATTTCTCAAAGCAAGTCTCCGTGATATAATCAGAATTTACTTGCCTAAGAAAGTCCAGGTCTGGTTCTTCAGCCTTGCTCCTTCACGAAATGATCCTGTGTGGGTTAGTTCTCCTCTCTGGGTTGCTGTTTCCTCATCTGCAAAATAAAGATTTGAATTAAATAAACCAAAAGATGTCTTCAAATTTTAAAACCATTCTGTCCCATGTAAATGGTCATTAAGCCATCTAGATGGATAATCTCTCACAAAAGTCTAGAATGTGTTATAAACACAAGGCACAACAAGCCAGCCTTATTTGAAAAATTATTTTTAGAAAAGGTCACAGTTTGAAGATATGCCATTGGCTAGTGATTCCCCAATCAGGACTATAAAGTGCCACAGGTACCAGGGTTGAGGGGAGGCCCAAGGAGGGACAAAGGGAGGGGCTAAGAACACCCCACCTCACTTCTTTTGGAGCAGACTGCTTTTGATCTGCTCTCTAATTCAGTTTTTGGGTGAGATTTTGTTTGTAGAAAATATTTCTTGACTTTATTAATCTCTCTGAATATCCATGGGGGACACGGGGAAGAGATTAGATTAGTCACTATCTATAAAAAATTTGTCTTTAAAATCACATTGGATATAGTCAGAAGCAATAAGGCTTATATCTTATTGTGTCATTTATTTGATGTGGAACATCAGGTATGTCATACAGTCTTTCTCAGTCTTTTTCCTCATATATAGAACAGTGATATTGTCTTATGCATATATTAGGTGTGAGAATTAAATGAGAAAATATCTGTGAAAATGTCTTGTAATTTGTGAAGCATCATAAAGATGGTTAGTGTGTCTTCAGTAGTTAGCCCCAGATTTTTGCACTTTGCCCTGACCATTTGTAGCTTTTTTGTCCATATGAATTAAGTTAAGAAAAGTACGTATCATCAAATTTCCAGATGATCCCATGTTATGGTGTAGGGGGATAAGAGACTTAGCAGATTGCAGATTCTGAGGGTAAAATGGGGAAATCAAAAGGTCCTGTTCTTCCATACAAAAAGACAATTGGTAAAGATAAGATTGGAGAAAATTAGCTTATAAGGAGTCCCAGTAAAAATACTAAGGATTTTTTATTGGCTTCAAGTTCATTTTAAACCAATAGTTTTGTGATATGACTGCCAAATAAATAAATAAGCGGTCCAATATTCTTACATATCTATAGAAATATGGTGTCACAGATGAGAAAAAGGGGATATGGCTTCTGGCTTTGATTAGCATTCTTCCTCTAGCTGTTAAAATGGTCACTCCAGCAAGCTAAGCATATCCATAGAAAGCTAGATGGAGAAGTCCTGGAAGGTTTCCTCTGGGAAATGCTGAGAGAAGATTTGGGGGGAGGAATGTGTCATGGAAGTCTTAAAAGATCTAAAAGGTATTAAAGGGTGTTATAGGCTGACATGGAGGAGAAGATTTGGAACTGTTGTTTTGTTTGCAGAGGTGAATCTTAGGAAAAACTTTAAAAAATCAGAGCTGTCTAAAGGGGAATGGGTTATGTGGTGAGGTAGCGAGAGCTCCATTAGGAAAATTGTCCAAGCAGAGGCTAGACAACACCTTCTAAGTGTTGCTATGCATCAGGAGGCAGGTTTTAAGAAGATATTACTAAAATCTCACCGATTCTAAGATAGTATTTCTACAGTAGAATTAAATATTCCACCAGAGAATTATTTACTTTGTTAAAATGTTTTTGTCATATTAAAAAAAGTGTGGAGTTTGAAATTGGCAAACTGGAGTTTGCTATTGCATGGTATTTGGATATTGTTTAACCTCTTTGAACATTAGTTATGCCATCAGTAACATGGTGATTATCAATTATTTCTGCATTATTGTGGAGATTAAACAATGCAACATTGGTGAAAGGTCCTTAGTGATGACTGGTCTTAGTAAAGGCTCAAAGATAGTAACTTTCGTCACAATTATTATTTGTTCCTTCTATTTTCTACATGCATTTTATTTCCTCTTATCTAACAGATTCCTTTTAGGTGATTCTACTGAATCCTTCAGGGACATGTGATATAAGTGGGTGAAATGATAACTCCCATGAGCCTCGTAGGAAGAATTCACCCCGAAGGAAGTTAGCAGATCACAGAGTTACTGTTTTGTATTTGCATTGATGCTTGTTTCCTCCTAAATAGAGGTAACTTGTGGAACAGCTTTTCTTTGTTGTTGTTCTAAATTATAACCTGATTTTCCTGCCCATCAAAACCAGAACTAGGCCAACCTGATTGATTTATTTTTTCTTTGTTCAAAGTTTTAGGCAATAAAACAACCTACTAAAATTTTAAGGCCCAAGCTCTCCATCGCAGAGTAGACATGATATCTGCAGCCTCTAGGAGTAAGAAGGGTTAGTAACTGAACTATTGGGCTCAGTTATGTATGTTTCTATGCCTAATTTTTCTATCAATAAAGTGAACCTAAATCAATTTTACTTAAAATTGCTCTTCAATGGGTGAATTAATAAAGGAGAAGCAGTTTACTATTCTTAGAAAAAGATCAAACACATGAGATCCTGTTCTCTCAAGCATACTGCCAAATATTAAGTAAGAATCTTCCACTTCAAATGCATTGAGCTAAGGGACAAATGTACTGCGACTCCACCTCCCCATGACAGACCTTTGGTAAAGAGTTCACATCAAATTTTTTAAGTTGTTCACTTTGTTTCTTAACTACTTTTTGCTTTTCCTTCTAAAAATCAAATTTGTACTCCACAGCATTGATTATTTTAGACTCATTCCCCACCAAATATAAGAATTTATTTTTTTGATTCTATAAACAAGAAACAAATCAGAATCTATAGCTAATCAAAATTGATAACTGTGAGAGTGGGAATGATCAAGGTACAGCTTGTTATTGCTTAAACAGTTGCCTTGTTTATGATGACAAATAATTACATTAAAAAGCTGCATGACCAGACTGTGAAATAACTTATTTAAAGGATTGTTAGAGGAACTGGGGCTATTTAACATATATTATTCATAAAGCCCATGAAAATTGAGTAAGCACTTTCTACGGTATCTAATTTAGTGAGTAGTAGTGATATTATGTTTGATTACAAATGTAGAGTTTAGACAACACTTATAAGAAGTTGTTGAATTTTTCTGTTGCAGCTTTATACAATATGATAGTAATAATAATACGTACAAATGTATGCTTCTTTGTATTATTTACAAATATATATATTTATATCCACTAATATGTATGTATATCATTTGTAAATTTAAAAGTAACCAAATTAATTTATCATTTTAAAATAAGGTGTCAATTATGTTCTTAAGAGTTTACAATTGCTAAGTACTAGATTAGAAAGTTATTTATTTATTTCAAAATTTCATTTCCATTATGTTGGTTCCATTATGTTTAGCTTAAAAGATTTTAGAGAAGACCAAATGTAAACTTTTTAGGAAAAACATTTCTTTATTTTAACTCTTAACCTCACTAGAGAGATAAGGTTCTATGTTATGTGACAAATAATGCTTCTCCATCAATAGTATAATACATTTAAAAAATGTCTCTAGAAATAGTACAGTTAATCAGATTTTCTTGACTATTTGAGTGACAAATACTGACTTTTGTATATTAAATTCAATATTAGTGAAGGTAGATCAGATAAAGATAGTAGCTAAGTCAGAAGACTTTGCTGACAACTTTAAGAGAAATATTGTTGCTATGCTAATAGACTGGTTTTTAATCACAAAGAATAATTTCTTTGTTTATTAATAGTTTTAACTACTGTTGAAACCATACCTGCTCTTATAGAAATAAAGTATCCCCTGAGATATCACAATAAAAATTATAAAATATTATGAAAAATATAGACAACCATAATTTTACCATTTTTAAAAAACTTTGTATATTGTTAACACTTTGGAGTTTTTTCTATGCATGTTTTACTTTCACACTTGATTGTAGTCAAAGTATGTATTTAATTCTGTATTCTGATTTTTTCAATTAATTTTGCTCAAAGGGATTTTTAAATATCTTTACACAGTTTTCTAATCATCTTTCTAATGATTGATTGCATTAGGCTAAATTTCAAGGTACCTCAAGATTTATTCCATTCGTACCACAAACATTTATTGGTCACTGCTATAAGCTTAACATTGTTTTAGGCACTTTACAAAAACTTCTACCCCTGTGCAGTCTATGGGAAGATGACACAGGATGTATAGATGGTACATGAAAAAAAAAATCCATAAAATCTCTAATTCAGTGCTATTACTATCCTAGTGTTAAATACTTCAGTTTTTCATTAAGTTGCTGATTATTAGCCAAGGCAGTAAAAAATATGTATATATGTTTGTGTAGATCCTGTGGCAGGTTTAAATCTATTAAACTTAAACTACTTTTTTTTAAAATTTCTCTATCTAAACAGATATACAGCAGTCATAGCCTAGTAACAACGCCAGAATAATTTTGAGACCAAAGGAAAGTTCTGCCTGGATAGTTGATCAGGACAGCTTCTATTTTCAGTGGGCCTGGGCATGTGTGCTAGGCATCACATGCTTTCCTTCATGTGTGATGGCTCCCAATTCAGAGATCCCACAGTCATCAAAGGTCGCTATCTGAGTAATTAAAACAAAAATGTTTTTGAGCGAGATTTAAAATTTCCTATGAGGATCCCTTTGGTAGGGGAAGAGCCCAAGCATATTCTCTCAGATAGAAGTAGAAGAAAGCAGCAAAGTTACTGGGTTTCCATATGTTGGTCACAAGTTAGCTTTTCATCTCATTTAGTTGGTAATAGATAACTCCATATGAGGAGGCACTATGCTAATTTTGATTAAAGGTCACACACAGGAAAAAGCATTAGATTTTCAAAAGAAACAAAAAGATAATACAACACCCTTAGGTTTAGATAAGACTAAGCTTCAAATAAGATGCATCCATATATATATAATATATATTTATTTAATTTTTTTTGCTTTATTTTCTACTTCTTCATCAGTGAACATTCATTGGTGCTTATTTCTATGAGGCACAATTAGAATGTTCCAGAACGTAAACATGAACTGATATTTTGGCTATATATGGGGAATGTAAGTGTGGTATTATTGCCCCAGAAAAGTTGCTTTGGGCATGACATCTTGCGCTTTTTTCCTTCTTTCTTTTTTTGAATCATTTTAACTTTCTTGTTCAATAGGCTATTTACATTTATTCCCAAATTCTCTTTTTAATATTTTTATAGATATTGAACTCAAAGTGATAACTTTAGCTTGGAATTACTAATTGACAACCTTTGATCTTATAATGGAGCTGAAAGAGCAGGGATACAATACTTAAATGGCAAATTGTCACCTGGAAGCTGCCATTTTATACTGATAATAGTAGCAGATATTTATTGAGCAACTTATGTTTCGGAAGTTTGATAAGCACTTTATATGAATTACTTTATGCAGCTCACTTAACAACAATATAAGAGATGCACTACTTGTATACCTGACAAATCATTTATCCATCCTTCCAGCCAGCTAGCCACTCAGTCAAGTATTTAGCAAGGATGTAGGAGGGATATAAACTGTCAATAAGATAGACATGGTCACTGTCCTTAGGCTGCTTTCTAGAGAAGAGGAGGAGCAATTAAGCAAGCATCCACACACAGTGTGGTTTATGCTATGATAGGGAAGTGTAAGGTTCTCAGGGGCATAGAAGAAGACTCTAATCCAGTCTGGAGGAGGTGTCAGGTCGGCAAATCAGAAAGTTGTTGTCCTTATTCCTGTGTTCTCAGACATTTTGTTGCAAAAGGCATATAACATATCCTCAGAAGGAAAGGTCTTTGAAATAAGGTCCTCTTCTGTCTTGTTACCTAAGTGCCTACCACATAGTAGCTGCTCAATCAAAATTTGTTGAATGAATGAATGAGAATTCTAATGCTCCATAATAACTCCCTTGTGACAGGGGGTCTTTTGACTTATTTCTAACTTTATCTTTATTCTGAATATTCTTAAACACTTTTCCTCTAAGCCTGAAATAAATGTATCCTTTTGACTTACAAAATCAGGTCTCTGCTCCCTTTTAAGCCATTACTAAAAGCTCTAGTCCAAGAAAGCTGCGGCACCCATTATATTTCACTAGAAAGAGACCTCCTCAGGTCTCCTTTAAACCAAGTGCCCTGAGTAGGAATTCTGGGACAATCTGGTAAAGTGGAGACTGGTTGCTTTTTCCCTCTTTTTTTCAGTTGGTCTGTGGGATTTGATGCTCTGCTCACTTTCCATAGTTCTGAAAGACTTGTTCTCTCTTTACCTGGGCATGATGGCCTGGAAATTTCTCTTACCTTACTTCTCCCCAACACTTTCACTCTTCAAACGGTATTAACTTTGGGGAACTAGTTCTTAATTATTTACCACACAATTCTCTGGAAGACTGTAAGAATCCAGGACAAAGCTAGAGGAAGAGACCAAAAGCAAACTAATTCTCTGGAAGACTACAAGAATCCAGGACAAAGCTAGAGGAAGAGGCCAAAAGTAAACTGAAAGCCCAGGCTGATGATTTCTTTGAGCAATTTTTGTTATTATAATGCAGTGATTTACATAGGTTGTAATTCGCGAGAGCAGGTGTTGGGTTCTGTCTTCCTTATGCTTACTTGGAAGGCCTTTGTGCTGATATACTATTTTTTTCTGATGAAACAACAGCAAATATAGGCAGCAAAATAATCTTGGTGGTTGAAGCTAATGGCAAGGGGAAACCAAAGCTTCCCAGGGGAAGAGAGAAATTAACTGGGAGCTGGTAGTCCTTTTGGCGAGTTACAGTGGCCAGGTTTGTATGTGATTTTACATTTTTCTAATTGCATGATCTTAATTCCTAGTCTGATCTCACTATTTAAAATTGTAGCTCGTTCTTTTCTCTGTTTTATGTTTCTTCAGAGCCCTTATCTACATTATGTAATTTACTTATTATTATTAATGTTTGACATCTTGGGAATTTTTGTCTATTTTGTTTATTACTTATCCAGGGCCTAGAAGTGACCTGGTACAGGGTAGGTGTGCAATAATTCATTTATCTTTTTTAAAATCTGTTGAATAAATGAATTATTAATCCTGATGAAAGCAATATTTTAAAAGTAACTATAATCAAGTTTTTTCCTACATGTATTGATTTTATAAACAAATGGCTGGGCCGGGTGCAGTGGCTCACGTCTATAATCCCAGCACTTTAGGAGGCCAAGGTGGGTGGATTACCTGATGTCAGGAGTTTGAGACCAGCCTGGCCAACATAGTGAAACCCCATCTCTACTAAAATACAAGAAAATTTAGCTGGGCGTGGTGGCAGACGCCTGTAATCCCAGCTACTGGGGAGGCTGAGGCAGGACAATCACTTGAACCTGGGAGGCGGAGGTCACAGTGAGCTGAGATCACGCCATTGCACTCCAGCCTGGGCAAAAAGAGTGAAACTCTGTCTCAAAATAAATAAATCAATAAAAATAAAATAAATAAATTGCTGGACATTAAAAATTATTTTATATAAATCTTTTAATTAGAGAAAATATTACAGTGGACTTCTACAAAAGCTTTCATGGTCAAAACCCACACAAATCAGCATGATATGCTCCTCAAAAACATACACATGAAAGAATAAGCCTGTGCTGGTGAGAATGGAAAATCTTGAGGTTTCCTGAAGCCGGTAGACTTAAATCCCTAAAGCTAAGGGTATGGTTTGTTTCAGTGAACTAATAACTGTCTGGCAGCAAGGCTGAGGCTGCTTGCCACCCCCATGACACTCTGAGGCTCACTAGTTTTATATTTCCATTTCTGGACGAAGCATTATCATTTGATTTCATGGTTCTTAGTACAGGATCAGGCAGCTTGTGGGAACTCAAAACATAAAAGATGAATAGAGGAACATATTAATTATTTGGGAGAGTCTCCTGCATTTGAGGTTGTCGTAATCACAGCAGATGCTTTCTGACAATGACATGTTAGTATGCTGTGAAGACTTCAGTGGCTGCTCCAGCTTTTCCTCTTCCCAAGACTCTCTGGCTTTTAGGGCCAGTCTAGTGTAGGCAAAACTGGGTTAATCTGAGTAGAAGGCAAGTACACTTTTGGCTGAGATCCAGGTACCTTCCTCTCTCACCCAATGTGGGCCTGAACAAACTCAACCGCTGGCCTGAATCACTGATAAAGGACTAGACATATCTAGAAGTAGGAGGAACAAGTGGCCTCACAGGTCCTGGATTAATATAACGAATTGATGAGTCCAAAAAGATATAGCATTGCAAGCAAATTCTTTGTAGGACTATACTAATGACATTTGACTTAATTCTAAGTGGAGAAAAGTTTGGGCAGGCATGTAAACATATGTGAATCACATAGCTGTGTGACACCTGTGAAATTCTTAAATATTTCATATATTTTAATGTGGTCATTGGGGAAAAGCCTCACATAAACTATTGGTCAAATGGCACATGCGGATTCAGCAACTCTAAGTTTTAAACCCATTTGTTCTTTTAATACTCTGGAAAATTTTTTTAAACCGGCTTTATTGAGATAAAACTCACCATACAATTTACCTACTTAAAGTACACAATTCAGTGGTTTTTAGTATATTTACAGTATTGCAACCATCATGACAGTCAATTTTAGACCATTTGCATCACCCCAAGAAGACACACTGTACCCTTTAGTCACTCCCGTTTTCTCCCTAATCTTACCTTCTTTTTTTTTTTTTTTGAGACGGAGTCTCGCTCTGTCGCCCAGGCTGGAGTGCAGTGGCGGGATCTCGGCTCACTGCAAGCTCCGCCTCCCGGGTTCACGCCATTCTCCTGCCTCAGCCTCCCAAGTAGCTGGGACTACAGGCGCCCGCCACTACGCCCGGCTAATTTTTTGTATTTTTAGTAGAGACGGGGTTTCACCGTTTTAGCCGGGATGGTCTCGATCTCCTGACCTCGTGATCCGCCCGCCTCGGCCTCCCAAAGTGCTGGGATTACAGGCGTGAGCCACCGCGCCCGGCCCCTAATCTTACCTTCTACTGCAGCCTCAGGAAACAACTAATCTACTTTCTCTATAGATTTGCCTATTGTGGATATGTTATGTAAATAAATCATATAGTATGTGGTCTTCTTTCACTTAACGTAATCTCTTCAATGTTCATCCATGTTGTAGTATGTATCAGCCACATGATTTTCATTGCTGAATAATATTTTATCATTTCATTCCATACTACATTTTATTTATCCATTCATCATTCAATAAACAACTTGGGTTGTTTCAATCAGCTTCTTTGGGTGTTATGAGTAATGCCACTATGAACATTTGTGTACAGTTCTTGAACGGACATAAGTTTTCAATTCTCTTGAATATATGCCTAGGAGTGGAATTGCTTGATTATGTGGTAACTCTATTCTCAACTTTTTGAGGAACGATCAAACTCTCTTCTATAGCGATTGCACCATTTTCCATCCCCACCAGCAATACCAGCAATATATGACAGTTCAATTTTCTCTACATCTTCTCTAACACTTGCTATTATCTCTTTCTTTCTTTCTTTCTCTTTCTTTTTCTTCTTTCTTTCTTTTCTTTCTTTCTTTCTTTCTTTCTTTCTCTTTCTTTCTTTCTTTCTTTCTTTCTTT
The DNA here is from genome assembly GCF_000001405.40 of Homo sapiens. Classification (NCBI taxonomy): domain Eukaryota; kingdom Metazoa; phylum Chordata; class Mammalia; order Primates; family Hominidae; genus Homo; species Homo sapiens. The sequence goes on from NC_000003.12 coordinate 161,369,344, forward strand.
CTTTCTTTCTCTTTCTTTCTCTCTCTGTCTCTCTTTCTTTCCTTTTTTTTTTTTTTTTTTTTTTTTTGTGATAGCCATTCCGGTTGGTGTGAAGTGGGATTGTACTGTGGTTTTGATTTGATTTTCATTTCCCCAACCACTAATGGCTAGTAAACACCTTCTCATGTGTAAATTGGCTGTTTCTACCTGCTCTTTGGAGAAATGTCTATTCAAATTTTTTTGTCCACTTTTAAATGAGTTGTGTTCTTGTTGTTGAGTTCTTCATTTTCTGTCTTAAGAGTGGAGGATGGTTGGAGGAAGAGAGCCTCAGAACTCTCAGTTGCTCTTATCTAGAATAGAGCTCTGAAACACAAAGCTGGGGATGATGAGTAATGCTGGTGGCCTGCTTCTCTCAGGGTATACTGTAGACGAGGATCTAGGTTGAGAGGGGGCCCTGCGTTAGTGGCTGCACCCATCCTTACTGGAACATCATCACACTCAACTGGAGAGGGTGGGGAAATATATTGTGGTTCAAGCATCACAATTGTTTGCAGTTCTTACTGAAATATAAGAGATTGTCTTGAATAAATATTTTCTTCGTGCTGTATGTCCTTAGGACAATTACCAGGAACTTTAAATGGTTATTTATCTATAATTTTCACCAGTTATTGTTGTTTTTAGGGAGTGGATTTGAAAAGCTCTTCACATCACCATTCTGGAAGTGAGTCCCATTTGGATCATTTTTTATGAATATTTTGTTTCTTTTATACTTGGTGGTAAGATAGTGGCAAAACTCTCTTTATAATTAGCATAGTAGAGATAGAATTGCTGTACAATTATAAAGGGCAGTTTTTATAAAAGTATTTGCAAATTTACAGTGAATTAAGAAAACCAATGAGAGTTGAGGACTGGTTGATTTTCAACTTCAAATCGACTTTCAACTTCAAATCTAGTCGAATTCTAGAATGACCATGCTTTGTTTTGACAAATAATTTTTAATTTATTATCATTAAATAGTTGTAAATAAATATCTGGATAATGAGAGTGACAGTACATTTCATACTACAGCTTGTTGGTTTTGGTCTAGTTATCTATGTACAAAGCCTTCACAGCCCTTGAGAAAGTCACCGAAATGACCTGTTTTAAACAGCATAGGAATAATTCAGATGTGGAAATCAAGTTATTAAAAATTCAACACTTTTATGTATACATTTTAGAATTTCACTAGCAAAAATTACCATGTCTTTCTTAATTTTTGTCTAATTCAAAATAAGTACTGCACCACAAAATCTTTTTGAAAAACAATTTTCCCAACTCCCCTGATGCAGTTATTTGGACTTTGGGGCTAGTTCTTACATTTAACAATTCTTCAAACTCCTTATGTGATTGTGGACTGGGCTCATATGTGAATTGCCAACCAGTTGAATGTCACTTTAGTTGAAACAAATCTGGAGTCCAACTCATATTTAAAATGCTACTCTAAACATTTCCCCACCTTCTTCATCCCCATGGCAAAGTTAACTATTTAGCTAACTCTAGCTGGCTGTCTTTTGGTGAAGAAGTTTGGTTACTTATAAAGGATGACTTAAGTATCTTTGAGAAAATACATACTGCTTAATACTTACAAGAGAATGTTAAAATGTATTCCTTGTTGGAAATTCTTCACTTTTTGGCAGGTGACTTGTGTGTACTATTGCCTAAAGTACAGTAGTTTAAGTAGCTTATGGGCAGAGAGGGATTGTATAGGAGCACGGAACTAGGTAAAGATGAATATTTAAGAAGGAAACCAAGCACAACCCAATGATATTTTCCTGAGTCGTTAATGGACTACACGAAGGTAAATAGTGAAAATAGTAAAGAAATTTTCTCTTCTTTTAGTTTGGAAAGTTTCAGTGTTAAAGTTTGGCTTCTACTGAGTGAAACATCTTAGTTTCCCACATAGTGAAAGGTAAATGGAAAAATCCATCAATTCTGAAAATTGTAATGCAGTTAAATAATAAACTGATAAATTGCATTAAAGCTCAGTATTAATTTTTTCCTCCTATAGAGACAGGAATTCTATCCTACTAAAGCTACTTAACAGTTCAAGTAGGTATTTTGGAAGATGCTTACCTCCCAGTTGGGTGTATCTCCCTGCGGCTTAGGTGAGCGCCGAGGCTTTGGCTCCTCCCCAGCTGCTGCGAGCTTCCCACTGCGCCGGGCGCCTGGGAGCCTCCCGGAGTTAGGTGTTCGGCCCCGCCCTCAGGACTCTTGCTAAAACTCAAATTCTACCTGGCTAATTCCGGTGATTAATTATTGACAAAAGGAAAACACTCCTACGCAAACTTGTGTCCAACCGCACTGCTCCCAGCGACTCCTTCCAGAAGAGAATGCCTGCTGCAACACTCCCCTCCCCCCCTTGCTCTATGGTCCCAACTTCTCATACGCTGCCACTCTTAGTCCTGGGCGATCAGACTGGTCCTCGGAGGAATGCAGCCCAACGACTTCTACATTTTAAAATCTGGTTTTCTGCAGCTCGTTCGCAGTTCTCCAGGGACCAGCCTCTCGAGAGGGGGCGCTTTCCCGGTGCAGGGGAAGCCGGGGCTCCGAGAGCAACAGAGGCGGCTGAGGCGTCGCTGTCACCTCCGGCTGCTGCAGTAAAACCCCGAGCCGAGGCGGGGACGGGGAGGAGGGGATAGGGAGGCGCCCTCCCCCGCTCTGGGGCTGGGATCCCCGACTCTACTGAAGGGGCACGTCCTTTGGCGGTGGTAGAGGGGCGGGCGGATAAACAGGAGGTAGAAGGTGGGAGCTCTGGGGCTTTAGCCTAAGCTGCGTTAAAGCGCTCAGGGAAAGCCCGCGCCCAGCATCCATCGGGCTGCAGACTTTGGCAAGGGGGCGAAGAAGCCCGGGTGTAAGCGCAGCAGGACTGCGTCTGAAACTCGGCATCAGGCTGCTAAGTGAGCCCAGGGCTCGGGCTGGGGCAGCGGGCGGCCAAGCAAGCATCCCACCCCATTTATTTGTCAAAAACCGAAGAAAGCAAAGCCTTTTAGCACTGGCAGCTAATTTTGGTGCCTCTGAACGTGTGAAACGCCCCTCCCCGCCCCACTCGCATCCTGCCACCTTGCCCGCGGTAGCTAGGAGGTTAATCGTTAAAAAGGTGGACTCCCCCAGGGAAATAGATGAAAGGATCGTGCCCGGAGAACTTGTGTGTGCCCACTCACAAGTGCAGAGAATTAATCTCGGCCCGGACTGCGGCAGGAGGGCAAACTGGGGAAAGAAGGCTGGGAGGCGGCCCGGTGGTGCAGAGACGCGCGGCGCCTGCTCCCGCGGCTCCCGGGGCTGGCGTGCCCTGCGCTTACGCTCCGCGCTCGAATATCTTCCCCGGAGGGCTCGGGACCAGCGCGAGCACCTTCCCTGGAAGCCCACATCCATCACCCAGCGATCTCCTCTCCATCGAGAGCAGGGCTTGCTGAGAGTGGCGGAGGACCTTGAAGGCTCCCGGTTCTGTATCTCCGTGGCCGAGACGCTTTCTGCTCGAGGCCCAGGGGAGTCCGGGAGCGAAAGCCTCTTTTGATGAATGAGCATTTGGGCAGTATCTGCCCATCAGCCCCCACTGCCGAAGGAGGAGACACTGCACATGCTCGGCCAGGGCTGATTGTGTTAAAGCGCGAATTTTAGCTGCTGGCAGGTCTCTGCTCATCCTCACAACGCGCTTTCAGCGGGTTCCACACTGCCAGGGCTATTACGAAGAGGGAGGCTCACGTTATTGGGCGGTGGTGTCTCCATGCAGGAGGGAGGATGTCCCCAGAGGAAGCTAAAGGTAGATGGGGGCAGGGAAGGGAACCAATAGAAACAGAGCACCTGCTTGGGCCCGTGTTAGCCATTTTACGTAGTTATCATTTCCTTCTGCTCCCGTGTCTAAATAGCAGCAACCACTGCTAGTGTTATTTATTTCTTTATCACTTTATGTTGGTCACATTCCTTATCTTTTGGCTTCTCGCGACACACCTTGCAATATTGGCAGGGTAGATATGACCACTCAGGGCATGTAGATCAGGAAATAGAAACCCTAAGAAAGGACTTGGCGGGGACTACCAAGGCCATGTTGGTGAGGCCAATTCTATTTACACTGGTAAATCTTATTTTTCATTATCTATTTACCCCCACTTAGTTGTGACACTCCACCCTCCATACTGTGATTGCACATTTGTGGAAATATAGAAATAGACCTTCTTGGCAAAGGTTTGTGAAATGGATATGAGACCTTGCAACTACTCCAACTGGAGGTTGGGGGAAACTGGCACAGCTGGCAGATGTATTCAGACCATTAAAAATAATCTTAAATAACATACACGTATTATAACCACACACAGGAACATCTTTATGAATATCTTAGCACCTCCAAACGGAGAATACATATTAACATGTTTTCCATACAACTATAGAACATTCTCGAAACTTAACTAGATCACAAACTATAGGTCAACACTTTTATTTTTATTTTTATTTTGGAGACAGGGTCTCACTCTGTCGCCCAGGTTGGAGCGGAGAGGCACAGTCACAGCTCACTGCAGTCTCAGCCTCCTGGGCTCAAGTGATCCTCCCGCCTCAGCCTCCTGTGTAGGTGAGACTACAGGCACGTGCCAGTACACCCAGCTATTTTTTAAATTCCTTAGAGAAGGGGTCTCATTTTGATGTCCAGGCTTAGGTCAACACATTTTAAAAGGCAGAAGTCATACAGACCACATCATCCATCAAAATACAATAAGGATAAAATTAACAACAAACATTTACCCTGATTGATATACTATTGGAAATTTAAAGATGCTTTGAATCTGTATTAAAAAGCACAAATGGGAAAATTACAAACTCTTTAGGAACAGAAGAAAAACAAAAACCCTACATAACAAAATTGAGAGAATACAGAAAAGCCAAACAATCTATGAAATTACACACTAAGTGTCTTTATTGCAAAACAATGTACAAGGAGACTTAGAAAAAATTGTGAAAGAATTATGTTAACTAATAAAGATAACAGCAGAAAATAATAAAGTAGGAAAGTAAAAAACAAAAACAAAAATGAAAAAGGAGACTTGATCAAGAAAAGAAAAAAATATTCTCTGGAAAGATCAAGAAATAAATCTAGAAAAGATCAGGAAGCAGAGAAGATACAGATAACATTAGGAAAGAAAGGTGGCATACAACCACAGATAAGGAAGATATTAAAAAATTTAAAAAGCACCTCAATTGATATTTTTTTGTGCATGAGATGGCATCTTCTTTTGTTCTGATTACTGGAACTTGTGAGATAATAATTAGTTAGCACTACAGCTTGTGCAGAGGTGAATGAAATTTGAAGAACCAGGCAGAATTGTTAAGAATATAATAGTGTAAGAACATAAAGTAATGATAATTGTATCAACTGATCATTTTGAACCAGGCCTTTCATCATCAGTATCCTAAAGTTTCTATCGCATAACTAAAAAACACACTGCTGGAGTAGAAAACTTTCAAAAGTAATCATCACTAGTGTGTATTCCCCTAGGTAACCTGAGATGTTTGGAGACAGATATTATTGGGAAAGGAATGGGTCCACTTTGTAAAACTGTGTTTAGGTTTTTTTGGGATGTCTCTGGAGTCTACAATATCAGGAAGAAGAAAGGAGTTGATGGGAGAATCCACTTAAAATGACCCATAGTCAGCTACCCAATCTTTCATGCATTTGCTGAGAGTAATCTTACTTTTAGCAGATGAAAATTCAAGGATAAAATGTGAGTTTTTCTAAAGCTTCCAAACCTGACCATGGTGAAAAGAATATGGACTTTGAAGAAAAACAGCTCTGGATTCAAGTCCTAGCTCTTTCTACTAATCAGTTCTGTAGTCTGAGACAATTAGCTGTATCAGTATACTTGGTTTTCCCAATTATAAAGTAGGAATAATATTGACTTCATAGGGTTCTTTTGAAAATTAAATGAAATGTCATTTACAAAGTACTCATCATATGGTTCCTGCTGAACCCCGAACCCCATTCTGCCTTTCTTTATTGCCATCTTTTAGTAACTTCTCTTCTGGCTATTCACATTCCTTCCATTTTGTCACTGGGATGTTACCCCTTCTTCCCTTCCTTTCAGTAAACCATGCGCCTACTCCATGACTTACCAGCAATCAGAGAAATCCAAGTATCATTACTGAGTACCCTTGGGTTGCTTTGGAAAGATCCTCTTAAATCTAAAAATAACTTAGCCCCTTTTCTACAAGGTGTAAATGGCAAAAATGAGGCCTGCTTCTTCTTTCTTTCCTTCCTTCCTGCCTGCTCCCCCCTTTATTTTTGCTTACCACATTTTTTTTGAGTTCCTATGAAACTATGCATGAGCTACATTCCCCAACTCACTGATTCCTGTTTAACAAGTATGCATACGCTTAGACTGAAGTCTTTCACTGGGGAAAGACCCTAATCTTGAAACACTTGTAAAATTTAATGTTAGAATAAAGACCATATTATTAATGATCAGTAATGACAATCAGTAGTTTATTCTAAAAATTGGAAAAACAGCATTCCATTAAGGGACTTAATGTTGATGTCCCCATTAATCACTAACAAAAATAAGAGATTTATCAGAATAGGCACAAGTTTTTCCCTTAAAAAGCCTGTCCCCATCTACCACTATAGAGCTGAGGAGTAGCAATAAGACCAGTTTAACAAAAGATTTTCTGCATCATTTATTCTAAAGCAGTCTTTTAAAAACATTATTTCTATATTACATTATTATTACATACAACATCCATTTTGGTGTAGCTATATCTATTTGGGCAAGACAAAGAAGACAATGGAAAGTCAACAGAGTTAAGAGAAAAGAGTGAGGCTCCACTTAATTGTATTAGGTAATATCCTGGCTTAGCAACTCTTATCCTCTTTTATTGATCTCATTTTCAGAGGGGAAAAAAGAAATAAAATGAGTAATCCATGAGGATATTTGAAAGTATAAACAGAAATTTGAGGCAAATTTTATTTACTTTTTTTTGGTTTGCTTTCATAAGGTGCAGATTAACCCTTGCTTATTTCTTTTAAACCTTGTTATATTAACACTATTTATTTATTTTTTATGCCCTAAAGATACTACTACTCCCCCAGAGTAGAACTCTTCCTAACATTCAGTAGAATTTGAAGGGTATTTGAGGGAATTGTCATATGTTAATGGAGTTTACATGTTCTAACAGCAAGTAGCTATGCCCCTCTGGTATACTAGCTAACTTCTTAACCATTTTTAAATGTCCAGTGCAGTGGTATTAAATACATTCATAACAGTCTGCAACCATTACCACCACCTCTCTCCATAATTCTTTTCATCTTATAAAACTGAAATTCTGTACCCATTAAACAACAACTCCCCATTCCTCCCTCCATGCAGCCCCTGGCAACCACCTATTCTACTTTCTATCTCTATGATTTTAACTACTCTAACTGTTTCATATAAGTGTACTCATACAGTATTTGTGTGGCTGGGTATTTCACTAGAAAACTGTTCTCAAAGTTTATCCATGTTGTAGCACAGGGATCCCCAATCCCTGGCCCTGGACCAGTACCTATCTGTGGCCTGTTAGGAACTGGGCTGCACAGCAGGAGGTGAATGGTGGGCGAGCATTATCACTGGAACTCTGCCTCCCATCATCAGATCATCATCAGCATTCGATTATCATTGGAGTGCAAACCCTATTGTGAACTGCGCATGTGAGGGATCTAGAATGCATACTCCTTATGAGACTCTAACTAATGCCTGATGGTCTGAGGTAGAACAGTTTCATCCTGAAACCATTCCTCCCCTCCCCACCTCCCTGTCTGTGGAAACATTGTCTTCCATGAAACAGGTTCCTTGTGCCAAAAAGGTTAGGGACCATTGTTACAGCCTATGTCAGAATTTCCTTCCTTTTTAAGGCAATATTCCATTATATGTATACGACATTTTGCTTGTCCATTCATCTATTGCTGGGCATTATGTTGCACTCTTATGCTCAGTGATGCATCAGTAAATGAATTGGTTACCTGGAGTTAGAGGTTGTTCCAGGTACCTACATAACTGGACCATATCATGGTTAAACCTAAGATCTTGAATAAATTACTGGAATACATTTATCAATAAAGGAACGAATCTCACTTTCCTTCTGGCTGGTATAAGGAAAGCCCCATTAATAATCTTATAGTTATCCTTTTTTTTCCCTCAGAATAAGTAGGCAATTTTTTCTCTGTAAAATGGAAAATATTTTTCCCTTCACTGCTATATTGTTACAAAGATGCATGTGATATCCCCCATTACTATCAATTCTTTTGCTTTAGTTTTCCTGTACCAAAATAGAATTTTATTTTCTTCATTAATTAGTCCTTTGGATTAAAGGAAACAAAACAGACAGGGTGCAGTGGCTCACGCCTGTAATCCCAGCACTTTGGGAGGCCGAGGTGGGCGGATCACCTGAGGTTGGGAGTTCAAGACCAGCCTGACCAAGATGGAGAAATCTTGTCTCTACTAAAAATACAAAATTAGCCGGGTGTGGTGGTGCATGCTTGTAATCCCAGCTACTCAGAAGGCTGAGGCAGAAGAATTGCTTGAACCCGGGAGACGGAGGTTGCGGTGAGCTGAGATCGCACCATTGCACTCCAGGCAGGGCAATAAGAGCACAACTCCATCTCAAAAAAAAAAGAAACAAAACAGGAAAGTGGTAGTGACTTGAGTGTTTTAACTCTGTCAAGCTCAAAAGAAGATGAATAATAATGATACAGACAATAATGATGATAATGACTATCAGTTATTAAACTACTATCACAAAATTTTCACAAATAATCTTACAGCAAGTTTGGAGGGTAGGAGCTTTGTATCTCATTTTGTAGACCAAGAATCAGAGAGGTTGGAACCCTTCTAAAGTGACACAACTTTACGAGTTGGATACCAAAGACTTTTTTGTTGTTGTTGTTTTTGCTGTTTTTTCTACCCTTTACTATGTTAACTCACTTTAAATTATTTCTCCATGACTACTCATATATCACTTCTCCTGATATTTTTCTCAGAGAAGATGGTTGTGCTGTGCTAGTTAAAAGAATAGATGTTGGAGCCAGACCTACCAGATTTAAATCCTAGCTTTATCACTTAACTGTATGAATGAGGGCAACTTACTTAAACTCTCCTCAGCCTCAATTTCCTTATCTGCCATGAAGGATAAAAACAGTATTGAATTATTTTAGTTAGTATATCTAAGCCATTTAGAAGAGTAGGTGGCATTGAGCAAATGCCCTGTAAGCGTTCACTACTATTGTTTTGAGAGTTTGAGATAACACAGGTAAAGCAGTTAGGGCAGTATCTGGCCCCTAGAAAATGCTTAATGCTTCTATTTTACTTTTAAGTATGTTTTATTTATATAATAATAGTTTTAAAGTAGTTTTTCAGGAATACAATCAGCATCTTCTTCCTTCCCTCTCCCCTTCCCTCTGTCACTCCCTTTCTCCCCTTCTCTCTCCCTTTTGTCTTTCCTACCTCCCCTTTTGTGACAAGTGGCTATGACTTATTCAATTTGTGTGTGTGTGTGTGTGTGTGTGTGTGTGTGTGTGTGTGTGTGTGTGTGTGTATTTGAGATGGAGTCTTGCTCTATCTCCCAGGCTGGAGTCAGTGACACAATCTCGGCTCACTGCAACCTCTGTCTCCTGGGTTCAAGTGATTCTCGTGCCTCAACCTCCCAAGTAGCTGGGATTACAGGATTGCACCACCACACCCGCCTAATTTTTGTATTTTTAGTAGAGACAGGGTTTCATCATGTTGGCCAGGCTTGTCTCTAACTCCTGACCTCATGTGATCCACCTGCCTTGTCTGCCAAAGTACTGGGATTACAGGCATGAGCCACTGGGCCCAGCCTGCAATTGTGTTTTCTATGAACTATTTTTCAGTGAAATCCATTTATTTACCCTAATGTTCCAGACCAACAGAAAATACATTTACTTCAACATCACATATTCAGAGGCAGAACACTGCATTTCCCCCATCTCGTTAAAAGACTTTTACTAAAACAGTGGTTGATAAAAAAGAATCTTAAGGTTTTGAAAGTAGAGATTAGTTTAAAAAGAAAAAAATTCCAATTTATGAGAAAGAGAGATATTAATGATAATGACAGAACTCTCTATATTTGAACTACAGATTAAGTTGAAAGTGGCCGCAATTTTGATGATCCAACCATTTTACTTTGCGTTTTGACACGTGACCGTGTCTCTGCTCAGAACAAACTTACTTTGCCTGTCCTTGCTGAGAGATTTATTGCTTCATTGAAGGCTTTTGATTTAGCAACCATCTTCCCTAACTAGTTTTCTTATCTTGAATCACTTGGAGTAAGACTCTTCAGGTATGATGAATAGCTGTATAATGAGATGGAGAAGAAGCCGCCCCATCATTTTATATTTCCACTGGGTGAGTTGTCACTCACCTCCAGCAAAACATCTTTCTCCCTTATGTATTATGAAAATTCATAGCAACTCTAGCGTAGTGACATTTTGCTGTGGAGAATTTGGCATTCGTTGTGAAGGTATTATTTTAATTTCTGTCAAATTAAACTTTCAGGTCAGGGTTGCTATTAGGGATGAAAAGAGCAAATCCAGAATGAAAGTAAGAAGTAAGAAGATAAGGCAACAAGACAATTCAGATGTCAAGATTAAACAACAGGAAAAGAAGCCCATGGAAACAGAGTGGCAACTGGAAGTAAAACCATGGTCTTTCATGGATAGTTCTGTCCCAGTCTTCATCTCATCTAGTGATCTGTACTTTAAATTTATTTGATGACTTGGTGGGAGGATTCGGGGAGGTTAGAGAAGCATCTCAGTGGTTTTAAGTACATTCACAGGGTTGTGCAACCATCATCACTATCTAAGTCTACAACATTTTCATGACCTGAAAAAGAAGCCCCATACTTGTTAGCAGTCACTTCTCGTTCTTCCACCGCCACTGCCAATCCTAGGCAGCCATTAATCTACTTGCTGTCTCTACATATTTGTCTATTCTGGACATATTATATAAATGGAATCATACAATATGTCGCCTTTTGTGACTGTTTTATTTTACTTAGCATAATATTTTCTGCTCACTGTTGAGGAGGGCAACTGGCACATAGTGGGTGCTCAAAAAATATTTACAGAATGAAGAATAAGAAATGGAAAAGTTTCTACCTTCATGCTTGGAGTTGGGAGGTGAGTGGATCCATTCCCTACTCTGGTCATTCATGTTGTAATATGTATTAGTACTTCATTCCTTTTTATTTGCTGAATCGTATTCTATTGTGTGGCTGTCCTATATTTTGTTTATCCATTTCGTCAGTTGATGGACATTTGGGTTGTTTTCCCTTTGGGGTGATTATGAGTAATGTGGCTAAGAACATTTTGTGTGGACATATGTTTTCATTTCTCTTAGGTATATGAGATATGATAGTGGAATGGCTGGGTCATATGATAACTCTGTGTTTAACTTTGAGGTACTGCCAAGTTATTTTTCAAGGTGTTTGCACCATTTTACATTCCTACGCATAATGTATGAGGTTCCAACTTCTTCACATCCTGACCAATGCTTGTTATTGTTTGTGATTTTAGCCATTCTTATGGGTGTGAAGTGGTATCTCATTGTGGTTTTCATTTATGCTTTTCTAATTAATAATTATATTTAGCATCTTTCCATGTGTTTATAGGTCATTTGTACATCTTTGGAGAAATGTCTATTCAAATTATTTACCCATTTTTAAACTGGGATATTTGTCTTTTTATGTACAGTTGTAAGAGTTTTTTAAATATATTCTGGGTACAAGTCCCCTGTCAGATATATGATTTGCAAAGAGTTTCTCCCATCTTATGGTCTGTCTTTTCACTTTCTTGATGGTGTCCTTTGAAACACACAAGTTGTTAATTTTGGTGAAGTCTAACTTATCTCTTTTTTTCCTTTGGTCTCTTATGAATTTGGTGTTTATGTAAGACACTATTACCTAATCCCAAATTATAGAGATTTTCCTCTAGTTTCCTTCTAGGAATTTTAGAGTTTTAGCTCTTACATTTAGATGTGTGATCCATTTTCAGTTGTCTTGTGCATGGTGTCAGGTAGGTATCCAAATTCATTCTTTTTCATGTGGATATCAAATTGTTCCAACACTGTTTGTTGAAAACAGTGTTCTTTCTCCATTGAATTGTCTTAGTACCCTTACCAAAATCAATTGACCATAAATGTAGGGAATTATTTCTGGGTACTCAATTCTATTCCATTGATCTATCTATCTAGCCTTATTCCAGTACCATGCTGTTTTGATTACTATAGCTTTATTCTAATAAGTTTTGAAATTTGGAAGTGTTGATCCTCCATTTTGTTCTTCTTTTTAAATCTTGTTTTGGCTATTATTTATTTTTTGCATTTTCTTATAAATTTTAAGATCATCTTGTCAATTTCTGTGAAAAAGGTAGCAGGAATTTTGATAGGTATTACTATCCTGTAATACAGATTTAATTTATAGATTAATTTGAGGATTATGCCACCTTAACAATATTAGGTGTTCTGATCCATGAACATGGGAGGGCTTTCCATTTACTTAGATCTTCTTTATTATCTTTTTCAATAGTATTTTGTAGTTTTCAGTGTACAAGTCTTGAATTTCTTTTGTTAAAAGTTTTTTAAAACTCCAAATGTAAATGAAGCTTAGTGATGTCCAGGAACGATGTCTTGGTCAACCCTGCATCCCTCCTACCAAGCTTAGTGTCTGGGTTAGTGTCTTGAATTGTGGCTGGCAATATTTGTACTTATCGAGGTGAGTTCAAAAAATATCTTTCATGTCCATAGAAAGTTGACAGTATCATCTCCTTTTTATTACAGCATTCCATTAAGAAAACAACATATATTAATGCCATTTAATAAGAATGGTAAATTATGGATAATATATTAAAGCCAAGATGGTTAACTGACATCGCCAAAGATATGCAGTCAATGTCAAATATAAAATTAGAGCACAACTCAACATTTCCCCCAGTGATACATTAATTCTAAAAGCCTTTAAGTCAAGAAAGACATGAGAAAGATAAAGGGAAAAAAGGGGGGTGGAACTAAGTGATTTTTATTGGATCATATACAAATGTATATTGTCATATCATCCACCTTTTTTAGGGCTAAAAAAGGCTTTCAGTTAGGAAATGTACTTTTTTCTTGAACTTCTAAATTAGCTAAGTGTTTGAAAAGGAGACTTAAGAATTATCTCCATGCCACATATCAATGGCATTGACATGAATATTCCAGAATCTTGACTTAGTGAAAGTTAAGGTCAGACTCCCAAAGATGAAGCTAAAGATGTAGCAAATTTTCTAAACTCCCTTTTCCACTTGTGCTTCAAAGGTAGGAATCTCTTTAATGAGTTAACATTTCCTGGGATGTGGTCTGTGCTGCAGGATTTAGATTGAGCATCCAGTTAAACATCTGGCAGGGTGCTTAATAGAGAAACTCCTAAGGGGATGAAACTGGTGTTAAATTACCATGATTGAAAGGAGTGCAGGGTATGGATAACTAGCATTTACTGAGAACACTTATAAATCAGAATGGCATTGTCAAAGTGAGGCAACCAAATGGACCAAGAGGAGAGTGCTATACTGGCTAGATGTTATTGATTATGCAACTCTCATTCACAGGGGGAAATGAGGCCTATTGAGAATTTCTTGATGATGAAAACAGGAGGTGCAAGAAGAGAGATGCTTATTATCAAGGGTTTCAGACATTGTGCCCACAGGAGCTGCTGTGGTTGACTGAAACCTTTTAGATCTGAACTGGGTGAATGATGATGGCTGCCTGGATTCAACACCCATAAAATTTTCAATTATAAATGGTTAAAAAAGAAATAACTGAATACTCCCAGAAGTGTTCCTTACGGGAGCCAGGTTAAAACCTGTGGGAAATATAGGTAGAGGGGCAGAGGACTTCTAAAATGGGAGTGAAACAAAAGATCTTTCAGATGAGGTGTGAATTGAACTAATGTTAACTACATATTTATTATCCTATCAGTTGTCTGAGAGTCAAACCAATGACTTCATCATTAAGTGATGAAGGCCTTAAAATAAACTCTTGGCATATGTGGATGTAACATTTGTGGTTCCACTATATTTAAAGCATTCTAGAGGTCCATTAAATTTGTAATTTTGCTGAGACACAAGCTTGAATTCTGAATTTGATGTGAGAATGAGTAAGTTGATTGGTTAGGAAGTCACCTAGCTAGTGAGTAAGAAGTAATCTGAAACTAATTTTTATTTTGTTTTGAATTTGCCAGCACCTCTAGTAAAAATTAGCTCGGAGGTAATATGAATATTTACAATAAAATAGTTTAATTACTTGAGCTTTATTTTACCTTATCCCTGTCTCCCATTAACATTGATAATTCAGTTTATTTGGAGGAAATAGAGTGATTTCACATGTCTTTTTAAAAGTTTCTGAGAGATGGCAGATAGTAGAAAGCAAGGTTTTTGTCATGAAGCTGCATTTCCATAGTAAGTATCCAAATTTAATTCAGAAGAAAATTAGATAAAAATTGGAAGGGTTTAATTTTTAATCTTAGCTTCAAGTAGGCACATAGCTTCTTGAAAGGAATTAGATCACTGTTGTTGTTAAGAAAATTGAGATGCAATTTTGAAGAATAAGTTACGTAGGCATTTTCCTCAAACCATTAGCAAATAATATGTGATCAATTCCAAGGTGTGGCTTTTAATTTTCAAGGTGAAAGCTATTTTTCTGCGGTGGCTGTGTGGATGCAACACAATTTAGTGGAGGGCATGCTGAGAAGTATCTTCGAGAGGTCTTTGTAGGCTGTAAGAATGACAACATGAATTTAAGTCCTTCTGAGGACTAAGACTATTTAAAGTTTCAGGAGAACAGAGCCAGAGTTGTTCTTATGGGATTTAGCAATAAAGGACTTAATTTTGAGAATCAATTAACAAAATTGTGAATTTGGAACCATAGCAGGATCTGATAGTAACCCTGAAGCTGGAAGGAACCTTGGAGCACAGCTTCCGTTCTTTGATGGTTATAAGCAGGGCAAGTAGTTTCAGTCAACAGTACATCAACATTTAAGTCTTTTCTTTTGAGGCATTTGACTGTCTTTCAGTTTAGAATCTGCAGAGACAAGCAGATACCTCCTTTCCTTCTCCCCCATCAGCCCCTATCCCCCACAGGCATTTTAAAAAATGAATTCCCATTTTATTTATTTATTTTAATTTCTTCTTTTTTTTAGATTCAGGGGGTACATGTTCAGATTTGCTACAAGGGTATATTGTATGGTGTTCAGATTTGGGCTTCTACTGGGTATCATGTTCACCCACATAGTGAACATGGTACCCAATATGTAGTTTGTCAGCCCTTGTCCCCCTTCCTCACTCCTTTTGGAGTCTCCAGTGTCTGTTGTTCCCATCTTTATGTCCATGTGAACCCAAGATTTAGCTCCCACTTATAAATGAAAACATGTGATATTTGGTTTTCTGTTTCCCCACAGGCATTTGAGGGATGAACAAACGAAGAAATGGTAAGCCCTCCTGATTTTGAAATCAATAATAACAACAGAAGGAGCAATTAACAGATGGATCAATAGCTGAAACAAAACGAGCACTCAGGATGAAATTTCTGTTTACTTTCGAAAAATGTTCTATATTAAGACAATTTTTTTTTAATTTAAAAATGCTTTTTCTTCCTTACGTTTTTGTTCTCTATGCTGAAACAATATATCAGCCTGAGGAAAGAGTCATGTTACAGCTCAATGGCAGTATATTTTATTTGCACCAAATTTTCTAGAGATTTTTCTTTTATAGTGTCTTTCTTAAATTCAGTTATTGGCTTCACAGGTGGCCATGCATTCCTGGATACAATCCTCTTGCAGTGTGTGCTCCTTCCACAGGTGTGTGAAAAGCATGCTTTTCATGAGTCTATCTTACCGTGATCTTTCAGGAAGGCCTAGAGAAAGATTTACTGGACATAGCAGATTTCAGGACAATTTTATTTATTATAACATTTGGAAGTTTTAAATCAGACTGAAGCATATACAAAAGCTGAAGAATTCTTGAGAGAGAACTATTAAAATTTTTAATCAAGAACTATATGAAAGTGAGGACTTGAATTCTTCATTATGGTCACTAGGAGGGAGAAAGGGGAAGGAAAAGGAAGGAGAAAGAAGAATATGGGACATCAAAAGACCAGAAGGGATGAAAACAGATCTTTCTCCTTCAGAATAAAAAGAAGAATAAGAAGTTGCTTAGCGAGGGAGAGAGACAGGCTAGAGAATAAGAGATGGGACTGAGTGTTTAGTGGCGGATGAGCTCACGTGCTGCTCTGCTTTTCAACCATTCTGGTAAACATTACACTCTTCTTTGAGCCCTCTTTGTGCTTTGGGGGAGGGTTTAGACTTCCTGACCTTCTGCAAAGAGTGGCATGACCATCCTTAACCTCCCTGTAACCTACTAAAAAGTCACTTGCAGTCCTTTTGGTTGACTTTTGTCCATGAGGAAATACTCAATGTACTTTGAATTGTCATTCTTCAGTTATATCAGACAGTATTCCTGACTAGACGTGGAAATACCCTTCCCACTCCTATCTACTAAAGTCAATGTTTATTTTCTCCAATTTTAGTCATTTAACACACGTATGAAGGCTTGTGTTAGGTGTTAGAGATTTACTCTTAACTTTATAGCTGTTACATTATTTAATTTAAATTTATTACACAAATTACCAGATTGGCTTACTCTTGATTTCAATAGATATCTAGATTACCTGGATATAGCACCTGTTAAATGTGATGAATAAGATTGATGCTTGCAAAGGAGCCTTTTCAATTGCTTTGCACATAACAGGTGCTCAGTGGTTATTAGTTTTCTTCTTTAACAGTGAAGTTGTTAATGAAAGATTTTAAGTAGTAAAATTACAATCCAAGATTAAATGAGTTAGCTAAAATTCCAATTTGCTTTCTGAGTAAATTTCATGTTTGCATATAGAGAGAGCTTTGTTAGGGTTCAACTAAAAGTAAAAATTCAAAGAATTTCACAACACCAACAAGTAATGTATCATATTTGCAACTATGGCTTAACATACTTTTAGTTTCTCCTGCTATTTTGAAGTGTTCCCTTGATATCACTGTCAAGTATGTTAGGTAAAACACACAGTTGCTTATGATCTGAAGCCAAAACTTGTGTCTTTGCAGCCTCATGGGATGCTCAGCAATAGAAAATATTAGTTAGAGTAATTCTGAAAAGTTACAAAAATGGTATTATAGCTACAAATTGAGTCTCACTCATTGACTAATTTATCCAGGCGCATTTATTCAGCACTTATGTCCAGCCGTGCTTGCTATGGCATACAGTGGTGGCAAACAGAGGCTGACTTCCTCCCTTCATGGAGCTTTTATTTTTGTGGTGGCAAATTAATTAGTTGAGCAGTCTTGGCTCCCTTCATTAGATCCCTTCATTTTAAAGGGTTCATTTGAAACAATGGTCATGTCACACGAGGAATAGGCCAGGGAGCCAGGTAATGTTACTCGACAGAAAGAAGTCTTGAAAGTTTGTCTTCATCTCTATCTGGAAGATTGCCATATTTACATCTCCTAAGAACTTTGTAGGAAATATTCTTGCAAAATATGCTGACAGGAAGTTAAGCCAAGAGGTTTTAAAGGACTCTTTCATATCAAGGAGTTGGTAACAAACCAAGGGAGGAAAAAAATCTCTCTTAAAACAACCTCAGAAAAACAGAAACCCCCTAAAAAGTGCTGCCTGCCTTGGTAACTGTAGTGAACTCTAATGAGCAGGCAGGCATGAGTTATGTCTACCACACTATTGACCCTTGTTCATCCTTTATCATTTTGTGCAAAGAAAGCCTGGAGACTAATGGAAAAACATTATGGAGCTTTTATTGATCTTTGCTTCTGACTGTGAACTGTAGCTAGAGACTTGTTAAGCTAAATGAGCTCAACGGAGACTCAGGCTGTCAACATTTGTGGAGAACCTGTACATTAGCTTCTGGGTCTGCAGGGGTTTTCTTCTGATGAGGCATAAACATTGCACATGTATAGTTTTGAATTGGCCTTTCTGGTAATTATATGGAAAGAGTCTGCCTTTAACTTTTTTATACTTGTAGCACTTTTGTTGTTTTTATTTCAAAAGTAAACATGTTTAGAATGTATTATTAAAAAGTGTGCACACGCTTGTGTGTGTGTGTGTTTACTTAACATTTGGCAGCATTTCTTCATCGTCAGTGAATGAAATGGTAATTTCCTGTTTTGTTAAGTGGGTAGTGTTAATTTCACTTCAGTGTCCCTTGTGATTGGAGATATTTAAGCAGAGGCTTGGTAAGGATTAATATTATGGAGGAGTGGTTCCCAACATGTGGGCTCCAAGCTAGCAGCACTAACCTCACCTGGGAACCCGATGGAACTCCTCCTGTTCCAGGTGGTTCTGATGCATGCTGAAGTTTAAGACCCCTGTGCTAGAAAGATGAGCCTAAAATCAGTAATTATCTAGGAGGTAAGAAGAGGATGTGGAGTTTCAACAACACCTGGGATTTTTCTTTTCCCAAACTCACAGTCTCTTTCCCCCACTCTGCTCCTCCTTCTACTCCCATTATTGCACAGTAGCCATTACTCTGGGACTCTGACACAGTCTTTGGGGGTGTTGGGATACACCACTGGACTAGATGAATGACATTTTAGAGATGATCCATTATCATGGAATTATGTCCTGACCTTGTGACATTTTTAGGATACTTGTTAATAAAAATTTCTACATTTTGCTTGTCTTTGCATCTACTCTAGGTATACTGGTGATCCCTTATGAGTTAGAAGTAAGAAAAGTGCATTCTTTTACAATCTAGGAATAGCCTCTGGTTGCAGACCTTTCTTAGGAAATTTGAAAATGTTTTTACTCTTATATGAAATACAATTTTAGTTTTATTGTATAATGCTTTGCAGTTTGGGTTTATCTGAAGTAAGCGACCCATTCACTGGCATTGAGAAAACAAAGTGGAATGGTTTTCATGATCACATGTCTTGAATCCAGGTTCCCTGGGCACAGATCTTGGCTCTGCTAAGCTACATGCATGACCTTGGGAAACTTCCTTTACATCTCTTTGTCAGTTTCTTCATTTGTAAAATCAGGCTAGCGATAATGAGTACTTCTTAACTATTTTAAGCATGTACTGAGTTATTGCATGTTAAGTGTCTGACTCTTGATCAGGACTCAATAAATGTTGGATATTACTATGAGTGACTGTTGTGTAATGAGATAAAATTACCTACAACTGTGAAGATAACTAATTAAAACAATAATCAAGACTGGAAAACATATATTTATTGTGTACTATATAAAAAATCTGTCGGAATAGAATAAAGCTATGAAGACAGACAGATACAGGTTTGAAAATTTGATATGTGTCATACGGCAGGTAACTTAGCTGTTCCTGAGTCTTGGTTTTCTTATGTTTGAAATGGAGATAATGCTGCATTGCAGGGCTGTTGTGAGCAGAAACAAGAGCATTTGGAAGAGACTGGTATACTCAATACAAATGGCTATTATACTTTTTGTTGCAACTTGCTTTTCTTGAACTAAATTTTAAATAGCAACTTCTCTTTTTTATGGAAATCTAGGGAGTCTGATTTAGAGGAAGTGAGTATATGCTGTAGAATGGCCCATATGCCACTTTGCTATTAGAATATGAGTCATTATTTCTAAACTTAGTATTGCTTTATTTGTATGTTCCTTGCTTTTCTCAGAATCCCTAAGTCAGATCTAACCATAAACTTTGGATCATAAAAGAAAGCAACTTCAATTAAGTGCATTTTTTTGAGTCACTGCAAGTCACTCATATAAGGTTGTCTGACCAAGCAGTGATGTAAAAAGGACTCATAGTATTTCAGTGAGCAACTCTGGCATTTAATGTTTGTACAGAGCTCTTCTACTTATGAAAGTTTTAAATTTGTATTATCTTTTTTATGGAGGTACAATTTACATATGGTGAAATGTGTAGACCTAAATTGTGCATTCCCTCTGTCCTGACAGATGCATACATTTCTATTAACATATAGAATATTTCCATCACTCCAGAAAGTGTCCTCAAGTCTCTTCTCAGTCAATTCTTTCTCTGCTCCCATGCAACCACTATTCTGATTACTATTACCTTTGGTTAGCTTTTCTTGCTATAGAACTTCACATAAGTGAAATCTCGCAGCCTTTTGTCTGTACTTTTTTCCTTACCATAATGCTTTTGAGATTCGGCTGTATTGTTGTATGTATCAGTAATTTGTTTATTGTTGTCGGTGACTAATATTCCATTGTATGGATATACCACAGTTTGTTTATCCATTTTTTTATTGAGAGACATCTGGAACATTTCTATTACTTCTTTTGATCATTATTGTAATGTTGTTGAATGGTCAGAAGATTCTACTATCTCATTCTCTAGATTAGGAAGCTGGGACTCAGAGAATTGAGACAACTCAAGGTCCCACTGCTGGTAAATGAGGAACTTGAGAGGAGAACCTGGTTTTCTGGTTCCAGATCCTCTGCTTCCTTTACTTCCCATTTTCTGAGTCCAGGTTGCTTAGGGCCCTGATCAGGAGTTCTGCCCTGTCTGACACCAGGATTTGATCTGACCTGTCTTATCTTTGATGGAGAAAGACCTAGAATATCAAAATTTAGGAATGTAGCCCTAATCTGGCTAACCCTTGCCTAAGTCTTAGTTTCTCATGTGGAGTGATTGGATTTCTGAGGCTAGCTCAAAAGTTGAACAAGCAGAGGGTCTGGATGACCTTGGGTTAGGTTATAGAATGTCTGAAAGTATTCTACAAGAGATGCTTTGTCTTTCATAGTGGCAAAGGGGAAAGGATGGACATGGAATAAGATAAGCCTCTCTTAAATCCAGCTCTACTACCCATTAGTTGTGTGAGGTTGGTTAACTTAACTTCTCTGAGTCTGTTTCTCCATCTGTACAAGAGGTAGTATAATGCTTCCGTCTCAAGTCTTGGCAAGGAAGTTCCTAACACAACCTGTCCTTTCTGTGCTCAATCAAGGTTGGACTTAAGGGAGCATTACAATATGATGTTGATCTTGCTATGGGATTTGCGTTGTATGGAAGAACTAATTATTCACTTTATCTCTGAAGACAATTCATTATTTATAGAATCTGAATATAAACAGAAAAGTTTATTTGTCAGTAAAGTCCTCATAAAAATAAAGCAAGGGAGGGGCAAAGAGGAATGTGTTTACTTTAAGGCAGCTGGAAAAATGAACATAGGTAAATAGGTCCTTTGAAGATACTCTTTTCCTTCTCAGGAAAAAGGCAAACATATTTAGAAGGCTACTCCTTGTTCAGGATACTGATTAGGCTGCTTGGTTAAATAAGGTCTGTAGGAGAACCAAAAGGAAAAAGGGTCTTAAAAGGAACCCCATTCCTGTACTGTTATGGATTTAATTATGTCTCTGGGTCACAGTTTCTCCATACGTAACCCCTAAATAGCACTTTTTGTCACATATCTCGGACTTGATGTGAAATTTGATGTGTTCAGTTTTCTCCTAATTTATATAGTTGCAAAAATTTTACTTAAAAAGAATAGTGTTTATGTGTATTTTTTGTAATTTGAAGCAAAGTACGCTGTCCAAGAAAACCTTATAGTTTATGAGAAGATTGATATGTGAATGACTTAACAGCAAAATACATTAAATGCTTGTCATAACAAAAATTGGCAGGAGTCTTAGAAGAACCTAGAGTTGGATGATCAGCTTGGTTCATAAAAACTTCTAAAGGAAATTTCAAAGACTAATGACTTCACTGAGCTTTTTCAACCAATATTGAAAAAAGCTGGTATAAAATGATTCAAGGGGTATATGCTGCACTGCAAAACAGCTTTGCTTCATATCATTTGCCTTTAATGTTTCCCAAGAAAAGGACATGCTTGTAAATACTTAATGGTTGTCCTTAGAGAGGAAAAACAATTCCAACAGTCAGGACATCAGAGTGGTTGAAAAGTATTCATGCAGGAAACTGAATGATGTACTTTATTTATGGATTTTCATAATTGGCATTGAAACACCGCTACTTTGCTGGCTCAGCTTTTTAATGTATGAGATCAGTCACTTGTAGGAGGAAAGAAGAATGAATGTGCCTCTGAATGTGGGGTGCTCTCTTTTAATTAAGAAACTTCAGAGGAAAGAGATGACAATAGGCAAAGATGAAACAAGTTAAAAGGAGCAGGCAGAGGATAGAGAAAACTGCATCTCATGCAGTTGACATTTATGTGGCACTTGTCTGGTTTGGACTTTTTGTAGGAGAACATTTTTTTTCAGAATTTATTTTATGTATCACTCATAAGTATTGCATAAATTCCATATTTATTTATACTGTAGGTCTGTCTCCCCTTCCAGGCATAAAAAAGGACACTTTTAATTTCAGGTGACAATGGAGCATACAATTTTAGCTACTTGCTTAAAAGTTAACATTTATTGAGTGTTTTTTATGTGCCAGGCATTGGAATCATCTATATGTATAAAATTTTATTTATGTCTCATAGCAACCATATGAGGAAAGTATGATTATTATTTTTATTGTTCCTGTGTTACAGATGAGGAAACTGAAGGCAAGAAGTTGCCAAGTTTAGACAATTGGTAAGTAACAGATGTCAAAGCTATGGCTTTATACTATATTGAGCTTCTTGATGGTGGAGGTTCCATCTCATACTTTTTTGATACTCAGCTCAGTGTCTGCAATAGAGTGTTTGTTGAATAATCTACAGAACCTAAATATTTTTAAAGGGACTTTTGCAAAACAGCTAGTATCCTTAGATCCTTTTTTCCCCCATGTACATAATCAAGAGCTGGAGATTATTAAGGAAAAATTTGGACTTCCTTTTTGGACATGTTAACTTCGACATTCAAATGTAGATGTTTGTTCAATAATTATATTTATGAAGCCAGAGCTCAGGAGATAAATTGGAGCTGGAGAAATAAATACGGTTGTCATCAGTGAATAGAAGCATTTAAAATCATGAGTGAGATGAACACTGTGATGGCGTGGAGTGTGAGTGTGAGTGGGGAAGCTGGAAATGTGAAGAGGGCTAAAGACTTAGCCCTAGGCTGCTATCATTAGCAACTGAGCATAGAAGAAAAAAAGTGAGTTGGAAATGGAAAACTAGGAGTGAAAAGTCATAGGTGCTAAGAGAAAAAGGTGATTTGGGCAGATGAGTGTGGGCAGCTGAATCAAAATGGTGTGAGAGGTCAGGTTAGATGAAGACAAAGCACTGACCGCTGGGTTTAGTGTGGCCAAGGCGATTGGTAAGAGTTGATTCATGGGTATGGTGGGGATGAGAGAGGAGCAGAGTGGGCTGGAAAAAGAATGGAAGCTGAAGATTAGTCAATTCCTTAGAAGTTTGCTGTAAAGGGGAGATGAAGGAAGCTGAATGGGGTCATAGGATCAAGGGAGAGTTGTCTTCTTGAAAAATAGATGACAGTAAGGCATATTTTATGCTCAAGGGAATAATCTGGTAGTGCAGAAGAAACTGAAGATGTAGGAAAGAGAGGGGAGAATTGCTAGAATGTTGTCCTTTAGGAGGCAAAGGGGGGAGGAGAGCAGGACTCCAGTGCCAGGGGAGAGGGACCATTGGAGAAGGGACACTTCTTCCATTGGTCCAGGAGAGAAGGCAAGATAGGTGGTGCTGATGAGAAATATTCCTCCCTTACATTCATATTACTAAACTTGCAAGAGCTGATGGATTTTGCACATGCCAAGTGATACACGTTTCTTCTCTGAATAAATGCATATGTACAGAGAAAATATTCAGTCTGAAAGTGCATGCAAGAAATAAGTAAAATTTAATAGTCAAAGGCAATCTTATGATCAAACCAACATTTAGGGTTGAACTTTAACTGCTTACTACTTCTGTGGCTGTTACCTGAGGTTAAAGGAAGAAATTTGCCATAAAAATTAATGTAACAAAATCTTTAATAAAATGCTAAAATGTGAAAAATTTTAAATCAGGAATTATGTCTGTTTTTGCTCAAAGAAATTAAATCTTTATAGATATTATAGAAATAATGGTGGCTATAACCAATTGTAACTTCTGTGAACTGAGAACCATATCATGTTCCCAGTACTTTTCAAATATTTGTGCTGATCTTCACAGCAAAACAAACAGAGTAGTTTTACTACAGTTTGACAAGTGAGAAAACTGGCAGTGAGGTTCTGCAAGGTTTAATGATTTGCTCAAAGTCACCCAGCTGGTAAGGTGATGTTTAAATTAAAGCTCATTCTGGATTCAGAATTGCTTTTCCTAATGCACTGTCTTGATATATAAATGTTGTGATGTAAATAAAGTCCCTATTTAATGTGTGAAAAACTTTTGGCTCAAAAAAACAAACTTGCTCAAATATCTATAGAATTGCACTTATTTGCACAAACTACTCATTTTTTCTTCTAGTCTAGTGTATAAATTCAGCTAGAAGGAAAGAAGGAATGAAGGAGAGAAGAGGGAAGGAGAAGAGGGAGGCTAAGATATCATCATTTGTCTGATTTATAAGGTTAGCAAAGTCAGTGACTACTGGTGTGTCTTTTCACCCTATCATATATGCAAAGGGCTACCACGTATTTTGTATTTTGAGTCTGACTTGATTTTTAAGCTATTTTTATCACTGTGGTTTCACAACATTTGTGGGATCTTTAAGTTTTAAAATGTGGTTAAAACATGCATGTTCCCTGTGTTCTGTCAACTACTGAGATATTTACTGAGCCTGTTTCTGCTTCTCTGCCTCAGGACCTGTGTATTAGTTCATTCTCATGCTGCTATAAAGAACTGCCTGAGATTGGGTAATTTATAAAGAAAGGAGGTTTAATCGACTCACAGTTCCACATGGCTGTGGAGGCCTCAGGAAACTTACAATCATGGTGGAAGAGGAAGCAAACAAGCCCCTTATAAGACCATCAGATCTTGTGCCAACTCACTCACTACCATGAGAACAGCGTGGAGAAACCACCCCCGTGATCTAATCACCTCCCACAAGGTCCCTCCCCCAACACGTGGGGATTACAATTTGTATCACAATTCAAGATGAGATTTTGAGTGGGGACACAGCCTAAGCATATCAGCCTGAATGCTTCCCACCCCACCACCTTGGTTATAAAAGGCCTACTTCCTCAGCTGGTCATTGGCAGCTGAGGGCTCAGTCACATTTCACAACAGAAGCCTCCTGTCTGGGGTCCCTCTTCCACAGCTTTTTCCTACTGGATGTCCACCATGTTTCCTGGCTGTGTAGGAATCACTGACCTTCCTGGCTGTTTGGAGACTTTCTAGTTTATGGGTCCTACATTTGCAAGACAGAATTCAGAAAACTTTCTTCAGCTTTCTTTACAGCTATTCACTCCCTCTCATGACAGCTGGATTAGAAGTGGGCAACTGGTGGAGGGTGGATCCATGAGGAGTTCACTTTGCTAGCAAGAGTGGTGACTGAGACTGCCTGTTCTTGGGAGTGGCAGGGGTTGCAAAGTTAGGCTCCTGGCACAGAAGTGGCTTTGATGGTGTGGTGGTGGCAGTGGGGTCAATTTCCTTATCTGGCCAGTTCTGTGGCATAGTTTTGAGTGTTTTTTCTAGAAGTTTAGTCTTGAACCTGCTTCTCCCACCCTTCTAATGATTTTGTGAGTGATCTAATGTCCTTCTGAAAAACTGTTGTTTCCAAAGAAGATCATCACCAGATGTACCCCTTCAATCTTTCTTCTACAATGAAGCCAGAACAACCTCTTAGGAACATAAGTCTGCCCCTGTGCCACCTAACAACCACAATTTATTTTCTTTCCATTGTTCTCAGAATACCACATTTTATAGAACTGAGAGTTCTGTCTTTTGAAAGGCACACCTTATTTTGTGAACTACCAGGAAAGAAAATGCTGCTATGTCACATCTTTGATTGTAGCAGGTATCCTGGTTTCAGAGCTGTTGAAATGAGGTGGGGTGGGCAGTGTCTTAGAAGTGAGGAAATGTGGTAACATCTCACATCTTTGATGTGGCCTTCTAAGGCTGGGAATTGATGTGACATGCTCCTCCCTCTCCTCTTGTGCCTCTTTACTCTTTGCCCTCTCACTAACTCTCAAGAGGGTCTTTTCTCCCTCCCTGGAAAGGTTATGCTTTCTTATCTGTGCTGTTTCCCTTGCCCACTTCTTAACATAATTACTATTCCTTTCTAATGCCTTAGCTTAAATGTCATTTCCTCAGAGAAGTCCTCCCCGAACCCTCGCATTCTTCCTTCCTCTAATATTAGCACAGTACTTAGCCTTTGTTCAGCATTTACTATCTGCTGGGCTCAGTGCTAAGCACGTTACATATATTGCCTCATTTAATCCTCACTACAAACTTGCGAGATAGATGCTATTTTTTTGGTCAGTTTTCAGAAGAGAAAACTGAAGCTTAGAACTGTGCAGTAACCTGCCCAACGTTTCACAACCAGAAAACAAGGAGAAGGAGCCAGGATTCACACCCAGGCCTGGCTCATCATGCTGCTGGGCTGCCTCTCTATTTACTCACAGGTGATCAGCAGGTCTGTTATGTAATCTCAGACTGTACAGTTGAAATTATTTAAGTATTTGTATAAAATAATTATCTAGTAAGGATGCCAAATTCCATGAAGACAGTGATAGTAGATCTTGACCACTCTGGCGCATATTAAGTGTCCAGCTAATCTTTATTTTTAAAATTTTAATTGTAGAAATGTACAAATGCATGTAAAACTAAAAATAATAGTATCACAAGTCCTCATATCTCTTGTTCCTGCTTCATCAAAAATCAATTCCTGGCCAATCTTATTTCATCTCTGTCCCCACTTCCTCTCCCTTGCTACTAGATTTTTTTGAAGCAAATCCCAGAGATCATATCATGTCATCCATTAGTATTTCTGAAAGGTAAAAGTTATTTTTAGGGATATAACTTTAATACCATTACCACATGTTTAAAAATTAACAATAATTCCTTAGTCAGTATTCAATTCATCCCAAATATTTCATGAATAATTTTTACAATCAGTTCACTCCAATCCAAGCAAAGGCTGCACAATGTAGCTGGTTGAATTGTTTCTGAAATCTCTCTTAATTTATAGTTTCTACAGCCTCATTTTTCCACCATCTTGCAATTCATTTGTTATTTGTCCTGTAGACTTTTCATATTCTGGATTTTGCTGATTACATCACAGTGCTTTTGGTTTAACATGTTTCTTTGACCTGGTGTTTCTTGGAAATTGTTGATGCTTGATCAGATTCAGCAGTATGAAAGCAGGCCCATATGCCATACACCTCAGTATTTTAAAGTTATAAAGCTCTGTCCAGACAGATGACCATTTCCACCCCCAGTTTTTCTCCTAGAGCTGAAAGAGTCATGTGCTCCTGGGGAAGAATTAATGCCCCAGTAGTCACCATGATCTGCAGGGGCACAACAGAGTGAAGTCAGTGACTCAGTGACTAGTTTCTCACAAAACAGACTTTAAACCAACAAAGATCAAAAAAGACAAAGGCATTACATAATGGTAAAGGGATCAATTCAACAAGAAGAGCTAACTATCCTAAATGTATATGCACTCAATACGGGAGAACCCAGATTCAAAAAACAAGTTCCTAGAGGCCTACAAAGAGACTTAGACCCCCACACAAGAATAGTGGGGGACTTTAACACCCCACTCTCAATATTAGACAGATCATTGAGACAGAAAATTAACAGGGATATTCAGGACTTAAACTCAGCTCTGGATCAAGTGGACCTCATAGATATCTACAGAACTCTCCACCTCAAAACAACAGAATGTAAATTCTTCTCAGTGCCACGTGGCACTTACCCTAAAATCAATCACATAATTGGAAGTAAAACACTCCTCAGCAAATGCAAAAGGACTGAAACCCTAACTAACAGTCTCTCAGACCACAGCACAATCAAATTAGAACTCAAGATTAAGAAACTCACTCAAAAGCACACAACTACAAGGGAATTGAACAACTTGCGCCTGAATGACTCCTTGGGCAAATAATGAAATTAAGGGAGAAATCAAAGAGTTATTTGAAACCAATGAAAACAAAAAGACAACATACCAGAATCTCTGGGATGCAGCTAAAGCAGTGTTAGGAGAGAAATTTATAGCCCAATGCCCTCATCAAAAAGTTAGAATGATCTCAAATCAACACCCTAACATCACAACTAAAAGAACTGGAGAGCCAGGAGCAAACAAACCCCAAAGCTAGCAGAAGACAAGAAATAACCAAGATTGGAGTAGAACTGAAGGAGATAGAAACACGAAAACCCTTCAAAAAAATAAATGAATCCAAGAGCCGGTTTTTTGAAAAAATTAATAAAATAGACCACTAGCTAGAATAATAAAGAAGAAAAGAGAATAATCAGACACAATAGAAAATGATAAAGGGGATATCACCAATGAACCCACAGAAATACAAACAACCATCAGAGTATACTATAAACACCTCTATGCACATAAACTAGAAAATCTAGAAGAAATTGATAAATTCCTGGACACATACACACTCCTAAGACTGAACCAGGAGAAATTGAATCTCTGAATAGACCAATAACAAGTTCTGAAATTGCAGCAGTAATAAATAGCAAAGCAACCAAAAAAAGCTCAGGACCAGGTGGATTTACTGCTGAAATCTACCAGAGATACAGAGGAGCTGGTACCATTTTTTTCTGAAATGATTCCAAACAACTGAAAAGGAGGTACTTCTCCCTAACTCATTTTATGAGGCCAGCATCATCCTGATATCATAACCTGAGAGAGATACAACAAAAAAAGAAAACTTTAGGCCAATATCCCTGATGAACATTGATGCAAAAACCCTCTACAAAATACTGGCAAGCTGAATCCAGTAGCACATCAAAAAACTCATCCACCATGATCAAGTCAACTTCATCCCTGTCATGTAAGCCTGGTTCAACATATGCAAATCAATAAACATAATTCATCACATAAACAGAACTGAAGACAAAAAACACATGATCACCTCAATAGATGCAGAAAAGACCTTTGGTAAAATTCAACATCCTTTCATGTTAAAAAGTCTCAATAAGCTAGGTATTGATGGACATAGCCCAAAATAATAAGAGCCATTTATGACAGACCCAAAGCCAATATCATACCAAATGGTCAAAAGGTGGAAACATTCCCCTTGAAAACCAGCACAAGACAAAGATACGCTCTCTTACCACTCCTATTCAGTGTAGTATTGAAGTTCTGGGTAGAGCAATCAGGTAAGAAAAAGATATAAAGGATATTCAAATAAGAAGAGAGGAAGTCAAACTGTCTCTGCAGATGATATAATCTTATGTCTAGAAAACCCCATCATCTCAGCCCCAAAGCTTCTTAAGCTGTTAAGAAACTTCAGCAAAGTCTCAGGATACAAAATCAATGTGCAAAAATCACAAGCATTTCTATACACCAACAATAGACAAGCAGAAAGCCAAATCATGAATGAACTCCCATTTACAATTGCTACAAAGAGAGTAAAATACCTAGGAATACAGCTAACAATGGAAGTGAAGGACCTCTTCAAGGATAACTACAAAGTACTGCTCAAGGAAATCAGAGCGGACACAAACAAATTGCATGGGAAGAATCAATATCGTGAAAATGGCCATACTGCCCAAAGCAATTTATAGATTCAATGCTGTTACCATTAAACTACCACTGACATTCTTTGCAGAATTAGAAAAACTACTTTAAAATTCCTATGGAACCTAAAAAGAGCCCATATAGCCAAGACAATCCTAAGCAAAAAGAACAAAGCTGGAGGCATCATGCTACCTGACTTCAAACTATATTACAAGGCTACAGTAACAAAAACAGCATGGTACTGGTACCAAAACAGACACATAGACCAATGGAACAGAATAGAGATCTCAGAAATAAGTCCACACACCTACAACCATCTGACCTTCGAGAAACCTGGCAAAAACAATCAATGGGGAAAGGATTCCCTATTTAATAAATGATGCTGGGAAAACTGGCTAGCCATATGCAGAAAATTGAAACTGGAACCCTTCCTTATGCCTTATACAAAAATTAACTCAAGATGGATTAAAGACTTAAATGTAAAACCCCAAACTATAAAAACCCTAGAAGGAAATCTAGGCAATACCATTCAGGACATAGGCATGGGAAAAGATTTAATGACAAAAATGTCAAAAGCAATTGCAACAAAAGCAAACATTGACAAATGGGATTTAATTAGGCTAAAGAACTCTGCACAGCAAAAGAAACTATCATCAGAATGAACAGACAACCTACAGAATGGGAGAAAATTTTTGAAATCTATCCATCTGACAAAGGTGTAATGTCCAGAATCTACAAGGAACTTAAACAAATTTATGAGAAAAAAACAACCCCATTAAAAAGTGGGCAAAGGACATGAACAGACAGTTCTCAAAAGAAGGCATTTATGTGACCAACAAACATACGAAGAAAAGCTCAACATTACTGATCATTAGAGAAATGCAAATTAAAATCACAATGAGATACCATCTCATACAAGTTAGAAAGATGATTATTAAAAGTCAAGAAACAACAGATGCTGGTGAGGCTGTGGAGAAAAAGGAACACTTTTACACTGTTGGTGGGAATGTAAATTAGTTCAACCATTGTGGAAGACAGTGTGGCAATTCCTCAAAGACCTAGAACCAGAGATACCATTTGACCCAGCAATCTTATTACTGGGTATATACCCAAAGGAATATAAATCATTCTTTATAAGGATATATGCACATGTATATTCACTGCAGCACTATTCACAATAGCAAAGGCATGGAATCAACCTAAACGCCCATCAACGACAGACTGCATAAAGAAAATGTGGTACAAATACACCATGGAATAATACTATGCAGCCATAAAAAGGAATGAGATCATGTTCTTTGCAGGCACATGGATGGAGCTGGAAGCCTTTAACCTCAGCAAACTTATGCAGGAACAGAAAACCAGACACTGCATGTTCTCACTTATAAGTGGGAGCTGAACAATGAGAATACATGGACACAGGGAGAGGAACAACACACATTGGGGCCTGTCGGAGGGGGTTGGGGGAGGGAGAGCATCAGGATAAATAGCTAATGCATGTGGGGCTTAATACCTAGGTGATGGGTTAATAGGTGCAGCAAACCACCATGGCACACATTTACCTATGTAACAAACCTGCACGTCCTGCACATGTATCCTGGAACTTAAAATAAAATGAAGTTAAAAAAAATTAAAAAAAGAAGTGTTGAGGCTGATAAACTAATACCTTAAAATATAGTGCTTTGACATGCTGAACTAAAGCAGAAGCCTCAAGGTCTCTCTGACCAACCCCCTCCAGCCCCCGACCCCTGCCGCCCCACAATCCTTTCTCTCAATCCTCAACTCCAGACCTGACAAAGAAGAAAATAATTACCTCTTACCTCTGATCCCTACCCTGAGTTTTCATTAACTGAGCTCATAATGCAGAAAGAAAGACTGAACTCTGTCAATATACCTGGACAGACTTTGGTCACAAACCATTATCTACTATTTGGGCTGGCCTAGCCGGCTTTGGCCCAGGCCGTTGTATATTGTTCAAGCTCATTGAATTCCTCTAAAAATAATTTATTACACCACTAAAATTATCCATATTTCCCCACCTCCTTTTTCCCTAGGAGGGGGAAGAAGGAGTATTTAGTCATCTGTACCCCATTGTGTGGTGGGGTAATCACTCTGATTCTCCCTCGTGCACATTAATACATTTGTATGTCTTTTCTCCTGTTAATCTGTCTTTTGTCCACTGATTTTCAGTGAATCTTCAGAGGGCTAAGGATAAGTTTTCCCTTGACCCCTACAGAAGCAACAGATACCTGTAGAGATAGCGACGTGGATGGATCTTAAAATCCTAGTGAAAAAAGTACAAAATAGAATGAAATAGAAAACTAAACACCATTTAATTTGTGTGAATTAATGTGAAAAACATGAACACAAAATAAAAATATCCATTTGTGAGAACATACACAAGCAGATACTTATTAAATATATTAGAATGACTGTCAAGTGACCAGAAAAAGGGAATGGAACTGGAGTATGAGAATAAAAGAGAATATACCAATCAATCAACTGGGTCAGCTCCCTTAGGCTTTTGAAGAGATAGCAGTTAGTTGCCAAGGCAGCAGAAACAGATGTGGAAAATCTTGGGTTCCCTCCATTTCTCAATATTTCCTTATCATCACATCTTATACTGCCTAACTCATCTGTTCTCCATGAAAGCTGGCCCACAAAAATGCAATTAGTTAGAAGCAGTCTCCTGATAGTACTTCATTTCCTGCCCAATTTCATGTGAAAATGTCTTTCGCCCTGCATCTGGAGCTTTGACGCTTTCCTGATATTCTGGCCAAACCTGACAATTCTTTGGTGATCTAAATGCTAGTATAGAGTTGATAACATTACTTCTTATTGCAAAGAAATTATGGAAAGCAAGCTCACATTTATATTGACAGTGAAGAAACCCCTTGTTTTGTACAAGGTCTAACTTAATGCTTGTATATGCAGCTGCTTTCTAGGAGTGAGGATGCAATGTCTGTCCTTAACATTCATTCTGGAATTGGAGTTCCAGAGCTACTAAAGTTATAGGAAGTAAGAGCTAAATTACATTAAATGGAAAAATAGCACAAATAAAGGGAATAAGTAGCATAAGAGATTTAGTCAGAAGGTGAATTGTTTAATGAAAAGCCCCCTTTCTGTAATTTATAATAATGGGAGTTCAACAGCCTATTTCTTCCAGTCTGTCTCAAGACAATAATTAGAGTATTTTATTTTATTTTATTTTGCAGGCTTCAAAATTTAAAGGAGGTGTCAAAATGGAGGGTAGAAAAAGGGTAAGATATGTTAACAATATTTAGTATGATTTATGGGTGTGGTTAAAAATTCCCCATTATAGTAACTAATTAGATATCTTGAATATAAGAATTCTTGGCTTCTCTTGATTTATCGAATTAATTCTTCAAATTCACTAGGATCTCAGTTTCTTTACCAGAAAAGGAAGAAACTAAAGTATAGCTTTCATTCATATTCCAAGATCTTTGAAGAGTAATAAAGTTATTCTCTTCAAGTATTACTTTCAGGGTCATCACGACCTCCTTGGGAGAAGACTTCATGTGGCTGTTGTAAGTTTTAATTATCATCAGTTTCTATGTTAAATATCTTGAAAAGTCTTTAGATCTGGAAAGATTTTTTTCGTTCAAGTTTAAATAAGTCGATTTCCAAATTTGAAATTTGAGAAGTTGGAATGAGAATGGGAAAAGTAGAAGCTCATGGTATAATGATAAGAAAATATCAACAGTAGTTGAAAAATGTCTTGCCCTCTCCCTGTGGGTCATTGTAAACCATTTTTAAGCCTTTATCCGAAAAAAGAATGTTCAACAACATGATAAGCTCTCAGGAAGATTGTGAAAACGCCAAAGCTAAATCTCTAGATTAAAGTAAAATGACTACTGATTTGAATAACATTATGTTTACTCTGTTGAATCTATCATCTTTATCCTTCAAAAGTTGTATAGTTTGAGCCAGATTTTCTCATTTCAGTTTAAAAGATCCAAGCCATTCTTATGTCTAGATTTATCTATGGTTACTATGGAGATGGCTCACTTGGTGTGAGGATTTACAATGTCATCCCAAAAGAGAAAATAATTTGGGCTATTGAGTGCTTTAAAGACCTTGCGAGGTGAGGGGGTTGGGGAAAGACCAAAAGTTGCTGACATTTTAGTTGAGACTCAGTGATTCATGGATAGTGGGTCAGGGAGTGGGGATCGGTTATGTTCTGCATATGATGGTGCCCATCTTGACAATTGTGTCACCTTGTACACACCAGTGTTAGCTACTATACAGCCATTCTATTCATGTCTGTTTCTTTGATTTCAGAGAGCCATTGAGTTTATAACTTGTGGCCAGTAGGCTTAGAATTATAAAACACATATCAGTCCACTGAAAGTAAATATAGGGAAAATGAAAAGGAATTTAAAAAATGTATTAATGCCCAGAAAATCTGAGTTTTGGATCTCATTAAGTGGTCCTGGACTGTTCTTTTCACCCTAAGGCATATGAGGTATTAGACTGGGCTGGGTGAATCATCAGGGTTCCCAAGCATTTCTCTGGAGTACATCCAAGAGTTTGTATGTTTACCTTCTCCCTTCTCCCCAAGTCCATTTCATAGGCTCCCAAACACCCCAGAACTAAATTTATTTTTATTCCCCTATTTAAAATGAAAAATTAGTGCAAAATCTACATTCTACTGCATAATATATTGGTATGTTTTGATATAAACTATTTCAAATGAATAAATTACCTTAAACTTTCCAGTAAAATAGATGCACCTGAATAACATGTCCTGTTGCCTGTGGCTCTGAGTATAGTGCAACATACTGCCTTATATGCCTAGTGGTGCACAAAATTCCATCTGAGGAACAGCTGAAAATTATACTTTAGCAGAGCTGTGAAAGACCATTGCCTCCGGTCCTCTGTGATGTCTGAAATGCCACCATTTGAAATGATGTTCTTTAATCTCTGTGTTGTCCTTGACAATGAAGCTATAAAAGGGAGCATAATAAATTATTCATGCCTTAGCAGTGGCTAGTGATAGCTCAAAGACAGCATACATTTATAATAATGATAGTTGTTGGTGTGGTTTAAATGTTTTTCCCTCTAAAACTCATGTTGAAATTTAATCTCCAATTTGGCAGTATTGAGAGATGGGGCCTTTAAGAGGTGATTGGGACATAAGGGCTCTTGATTAATTCACTCATGGATTAATGGGTTAATGGATTAATGAATTAATGGGCTATCATGGGAATGAGGTTGGGAAGCTTTATAAGAAGAGGAAGAGAGACCTGAGCTAGCACACTCAGCCCCCTTATAAGTGAAGCTCTGCACTGCCTCAGGACTCTGCAGAGAATCCCCATCAGCAAGAAGGCCCTCACCAGATGTTGCCCCTCAATGTTGCACTTCTCAGCCTCCATCACTGTAAGTAGTAAGTTCCTTTTCCTTATAAAGTACCCAGTTTCAGGTATTTTGTTATAAGCAACAGAAAATGGACCAAGAAAGTTGCTTAATAGTTGGTTATAGGGAAAATCATAAATGAAAATTGAGTTATAGTTGTATATTTTAGAGATAAGGAAACTAAAATAATTACCTGTAAGTCATAGAACAAGTTGGTGAACTCTTAGAGGATCTGGAGATCATCTAATTATTTCTGACTTCCTAATGCCTATCATATTGGAAATACTAAATGCCTGTTTAATGAACAACTCAGGAAAGCAGAATTCACATCTTAGGCCACTGTTGTTTCTGTTTGAGGGAACTAGATGTCCTCAGTTCCTTTGAAGCAGATTTACATTAAATCGAAGAGAATTTCTGTTCATAGTACCACTGCTGAACCTGGAACCAGGGTTTGAAGTCTCACCTTTACTGCATTTATCCATTCTGTGTCCTGTTCCTGTGGCTTTTTCTGTTGTGAGGTCTTTCATATTTCTGATTTTTTTTTTCTGCTTCTCTGGCTCAGGCCCTGGTGGTTTCCTTTCTGGAAAAGTATACTAGCCTTCCAGCTGTTAAATAAAATTTATGGAGGTAATTGTTTTGGACTGAGCTTCTGCACTAGGCCTCAGCAGACCAGACCAAATCAAAATGGGGTCACCCATGCTAAATGCCATGTAATGAAACTTAGATATAGGTCAGTTTTCCGAAAAGCAGGAGATTCAGCAACAACCAGTGTAAAGGGGCTTAGTTAACCTGAGCCAGCAAGACAGAGAAATCATGCTTTAACCCTATAGGGAAAGTAACTTTGAAAAGACCAATCCTCTTCTTGTTCCTTGTTTCTGCCTTTTCTTCAGGTTTTTCTGCCTATAAAACCGATGTCTTCTGCTCAGCCCATTAGAGCACCTTTCTATTTTGTAAATGGGATGCTGCCCAATTCATGAATTGCTAATAAAGGCCAATTAGATCTTTAAACTCAATGTGCTTAAATTTTGTTCTTTGACACAGCTGATCTTTCTGTTTTCAAATATTTTCCCCTCCAAATATTCTGGCAGGCTGTCTATAGGACAGTATTACTAATTCACTCATCAATTGTGCTATCCTTGCACAAAAGCCTTTATCAACCATCTGTGACCCATGAAATCCAGTTAAACTTTCCCCCTTGGCATTGAAAACCTTGATCTCACCTGACCTACATTTCTGGGCTTATCTACATAGCCACTGACATAAAACCTACATACTTGACAATCTAGTTGTTTTACATTTCCTCATGCCTGAGGAAACGTTATGAGAAAATTTGTTAAATTATGAAATTACCTTTGCCATTTGATAGTAATCAGCTAAAGGATAGAGGATGTATCTTATACATCCTCGAATTTATTCTCCAACATAGCAAATACCCCTGTGGAGATGCCCACTAGAGATGGCAATTTTAGCTCTTCCATGAAATCCTGTGGCAAGAGGGAGGCAGCATGCAGGGCTTAGATGTAGAAGTCTGTCCCTGATGGCATGGGACAAGGAGATGTGAAAGAATGAGCAAGGGATTAAAAGTGATAGGCAAAATTGAGAGAACTGGCGCTGAAGACACATTTGATCTGTTTAAACTTCCTGGAAGGATCAGATCGCTGTGAGCAATCCTGATGTTCGCTGGGTTGGGGAAACAGCAGGCTTGCAGACTGACATGTTACTGGAAAGAAACGTTGATCAGGGTTCAAACTAATGTCAAGGAGAGGGCTTAGGTGGGTGGAATCTAGTGAAAACCAGCACACAGGTCACTAGGTTGAGAGCAGGGAGGCATGAACCAAGCTGATAACCAGCTTTCCTGGCATGGGAACAAAGGTGCTGCTATAGTCTGAATGCTCCCCCAAATTCATGAGTTTAAAGTTAATTCTCATTGTGGTTGTGTTAGAGGTGGGGCATTTTGTCATGAAGTCATGAAGTTTCCACCCCACAGTGGATTAGGGAAATAAAAGCTGGAGGAAACTAGCTTGGGCCCCTTTTGTTCTTCTGCTCTTCTGCCATGTGAGGATATAGGATTCATCTTCTTTTTTGTCCTTCCATCTTTCCTAACATGTTGCAGACATCTAGACAGTGCCATCTATGAGGAACAGGCCCTCACTTGAAACTGAACCTACCAGCACCTTGATCTTGGGCTTTCCAGCCTTCAGACTGTGAGACAATAAATTTTTATTTTTTATAAATTATCCCGGTTCCGGTATTTTTTTAATAGCAGCACAAATGGACTAAGAGGGATGCCTAACAAAGGGCAAGGATAGCCTTGGCAGGAGGGATTGCATGCAAAATTTTATTATGCATTAAATTAATATTTCCCAGTGTCTGAGGAATTTTGGCCATTGTTTTCACGTGTGTATGCATGTGTTTAGCTGGAGCCTAACAAAAGAAGGCTGTGGTTGATGCCACCACTTCCTCACTTCCTGTAGCCACACACCAAAGTGCCTTGTGAGAGGGGCTGTTAACTCCAGAGCCACAACCTGGGTCTAGGAAAGCTCTGATTTCAAACATGCTGTTGATTCTTCCCCAAATAGCATAAATTTTTATCATAATCTATGTCTTTATTTTTGCTGCCTAAAACATGGCCCTTTTCTATCACACCATCATTGTCATGGAATGTTCTTTAAATACAAATAGAACCTTTGCTTCCTAAGAACTTTCTTTTGCACTTTGCCAGAGTTCACTTTTGCACTTTTTGATTTCTGAATGAAATCAAAAGTGCAACTTAGTGGAGGAGTGTGGGATCCAGAAGCATAAGAATTCTGTTGTTCCCAGCTGTGGGGTTCTCAGCACAATAGTAAGAACCCTTAAAATGATAATAATTCTAATTTCTCTTGAAAAATTTTCATTTACAGTGGAATAAATGTCAGGAGATGTTAAGTATTTGCTACTTAGAATAGACTCTTTCCCAGCTCCAAAAATTCTTTTCAAAGCAAATATGTACATTTGATACCTGCAAGTTTTGAATGTGCAAATATTGGCTCAGCAGATGGATGAACCAAGTCTAACATATTGTTTTTTTTTTTTTCTCAAGGGTTGGGACTATTATGACTCTGACTAAGGGTTACATATTTTTTCCTACCCTTACTGATAACTGATGAATTTTTAGAATGGAATGGATTCTCATCCTTTTCTCTAGAATGTATAACACCTTTATAAAATGCTAAAGAGATTTTTTTTTAATCATTCTTATGGTTTAGGCTAAATCCCTGTTTTTGCCCCTACAATTTCTCTAGTGACCCTTGCTCGGGGTCACTAGACCCCGGGGATTTGCTAGGAATCTCCAAGTTGTTTGATTCATTTCATTTTCAGTATCTTTTATTTTGAGACTGGTTAAAAAAAAAACTACCTTCATAGAGGGCAAAGAACCTTGAATGATGGAATTTCAAAATGCTTTCAGAATTAGTTCTGAAGATAAACAAGTGAGGAGAAAATGTACATAGAATTCTAAATTCTAAAAGAGTTTTATACAAGTATACTTGCATAAAATCATAAACTTGAAGGCAATGTAAGAAGCTAGTTGTTCTAGAATATGATTTACAAAGCAAGGGACTCACGGTTGAATCATTTACATCAACAGGTGTTGTCAAGAAGTGCTACGATTTAACAGCACCGAAAGTTTCTACCTTTAAAGTGAAGAGCAGGCACATTATTAAGTAACTTAACATGGCACAACATGATTTTCATAAAAGCTGATAAAATCATCTTGGAAAAGTTAACTGCATCATGAGGCAAGTTTTAGGTACATAATTTTAATCTATAATGTATCTATGGTTATTGGCGCTAGGTATGTATACAGGCTATCAGTTTCTGGAGACCCGCAGGAAAATCCAACACTGAAAGAGCTTGCCCACCCAGGCCCCACTGGTTCTGAGCAATGTTTCAAAACATCGTGCATTCCAACATGTGGTCCCTAATCCCTGCTGGGGGAAGCTGCAGTTGAGTAAGGGTTTTACCTGAGACTTTGATTTTCTTGTACATATGGGTCTTAGGGACTCAAGCTGCAGGCTGTTGGTTACCTCCTGCTTTATGCTTCTAAGCATATGTTATCTTTAGGATGTGGATCCAAACAGGTAACCCAACAATCTATTTGAATTAATTGTATGTTTAATAAAATCTTAAAATCTTACATGTGCAGACCAGGCACGGTGGCTCATGCCTGTAATCCCAGCACTTTGGGAGGCCAAAGTGGGTGGATCATTTGAGGTCAGGAGTTCGAGACCAGCCTGGCCAACATGGTGAAACCAAGTCTGTACAAAAAATATAAAAATTAGCCGGGCATGAGTGGTGTGCACCTGTAATCCCAGCTACTTGGGGGGCTGAGGTGGGAGGATCGCTTGAGCCTGGGAAGTAGAGGTTGTAGTGAGCCGAGATCTTGCCACTGCACTCCAGCCTGGGCAACAGACTGAGACCCTGTCTCAAAACAAAACAAAACAAAACAAAACAAAACAAAACAAAAAAATCTTACATCTGCAGACATAGCATTACACTGGGAATTAGCACCTTCCCTCTGTGGTAAATGGTGCAGGTGGGATTAATGCTGTTTTACAGATGTGAGTGGGGTTAGTGTCATTTTACAAATGTGAATGTGGAGACCCAAAGGGGCCAAAAGACTTGCCCAAGGTCAAACTTCAGTTATTACATTTCTCGATTATTTTGCTATTTAGCTATGATTGTCATGAAAAGTTTCACAGAGCTTGAAATTCTGGGCAATATTCTTAAAGTCAATTCCTGGAATATTATTTTTGGAGTGAACAACTCGATCTCTGGAAAATTTGGAGGTTAAAGAGAGGAATTACAGTTTTTTGAAGAGATGTCTTCCCTATGTAACGGCCCCATGTTGCCCCCTTATGGAACTTGCGATATTTGCAAAATTCTTTGCTGAATTAGTCTTTCACTGAAGTGTGACTTATTTGACACACAGGATTTACAGCATGAGCCTTTTGTCACAACAGCCTTTTGTCACAACAGGATTTACAGCATCAGCCTTTCTCAGGATGATAACATATTACCTTACCATTTTCATATATTAAATCAACTGTTACTGAAATTCAGCCAAATTGAAGGAAAATGTGATTATGAGGAA
Source organism: Homo sapiens (assembly GCF_000001405.40). Taxonomy (NCBI): domain Eukaryota; kingdom Metazoa; phylum Chordata; class Mammalia; order Primates; family Hominidae; genus Homo; species Homo sapiens. Next base: position 161,409,453 of record NC_000003.12, read on the forward strand.
GTCTACAGAAAACTTTTTTGTACTAATTTCTAACTATACTCACAGCCCCTTTTCCCATACCCTCAGGGCTGACCATTTTGCACATTAAAAAGTAATGTATCTAACGAAATAGGACGGTGTTCTTAATATTTTACTAAAAATTGTGGATCATTTTAAGTTTCACGCTTGTGAGACGTTTGGGGATTTGGTTTTTTTTGTTCAATGGGTTTGAATTTCACCTCTGCTACTTAGCTACATCACCTCCGGTAGACTCAGTTTCTGGGTCTCAGCATCTTCCTCTGTAAAATGGGAAGAATGGCGCCATTTGTGAAGCATTTGAAACAATTCCTGGTAGAGTATGCATGCAAAAGTGAAAGCAGTAGCGGTGGTTGTAGCAGTAGTAACCCCTGGATCTTACCTCCTCAATTATCACATGAGGAGATTGTACTAAAGGAGCTCTGAGATCCTCTCAAGTTCTTACATCTCTGATCCTCTGGATGCAAAATAAGCAGAGGAAGAAGGAGGCACCATGAGCAATGATTCCATCTCTGCCCTCCTGAGAAAGTCTTTCCCTCCTTTCCACAGCACCTGGGAGGAGCAGGAAGTTACTAATTTGCTGGCAGGGCCTGCTGGTTTCGGCCACAGTTTCTGAGTCTTTTGGGGAGTCAGATGCAATAGGGTATATGCCAGACAGCAGAACCTATCCAGGGGTGTGGAAGCATTCCGCCTTTGGGAACCCACCCACCCTGGATGGGGCAACTAATCGGAGAAAGTCTCAACAGAAAAATGGAAGTGGGTAGTGTGCAGTGAAAGTGGATGTAGGGAGGCTGGAAAGTGGGACCCGTCAAAGCCTAAGAGATAGACTGGAAGGAGGCACGAAGAAGGGATTGCTGGCAGGGAAATTCCTCCCTTTGTCCCAGGGTCTCAACTTCACACTTGTCCAAGATAAACACCACTGACATTAAAGTGATGAAAACATTTTATTCAGTAACTACTGACAGTCAGGGAAAGAGCTGCGCTCCATTCCAGTTTGTGCAGAGGTGGCGGTGTCTTTTATTTTAATTTTTATTATTCCAATAAGACTTTATTGTTTATGTCTGAAAATTAGCTATAAAAACTTGTAATATACATTGTTTTATCAGTTCTCTCTCTAGTTTTAGCTCTATCGAGGTACAACTGATACACAAAAAAATTGTACCCATCTAATGTATGTATCTTGATGAATCCAGACATATAAATACACCCATGATGTCATCATCACATAAAACACATCCATCACCTCAGAGGGAGAGAGTGGGAGGGAGAGAGAACTGGGGTTCAAATAAAAAGTTACCAAGGGTTGGTCAGTGTAAATGTGACTAGGCCAGCTGTGTCTGCTAGCCAGCAATGATGGCCCCAAATTAGGATTCTATCCTGACAAGTACATTTCTAAGAATGGTCTTCAGATCTTTGAGAAAGACAATCCTAAATTGCAGGAGATATATATACATCTCAAAGGGACAGAGGAAGGATTCATGATTGTAAGGCCTTTACAGTAAATGCTTTAATAAGAGGAGGTATAGGGGCCAAGGGAAAACTTCTCCTTTGTCCTCTGAAGGTTCACTGAAAGTCAGTTGACAAAAGGCAGATTTAATAAGAGAAATAACATCCATAGACCAGGCGTAGTGGTTTACACCTGCAATATCAACACTTTGGGAGGCCAAGGCAGGAGGATTGCTTGAGCCCAGAAGTTCAAGACCAGTCTGGGCAATACAGTGAGATCCCATCTCTACAAAAATTTAAAAATTATCTAGGCTTGGTTGTACATACCTGTAGTCCCAGCTACTTGAGAGGCTGTGGTGGGAGGATCATTTGATCTGGAGAGGTGGAGGCTGCAGTGAGCCGAGATCATAACACTGCACTCCAGTCTGGGTGGCAGAGTGAGCCCCTCTCTCAGAAATACTACTACTACTACTAATAGAAGTGGTATATAGATTTATTAATGTCCCTGGGGGAGAATCAGAGTGACTACCCCACCACGCAATGGGGCAAAAATGGTTATATACCCCTTCTTCCTTTACTTAGGGGAAAGAGAGATGGGGAAGTGTGATGATTTTAGGGGGATAGTAAATGATTTTCAGGGGAATTCACTGGGCTTGAAGAACATACAATGGCCTGGAACAAAGTCTGTTGGGCCTGCAGAGCAGACAATGGTTTGTGAGAAAAGTCTGTCCAGGTGTGTTGACATACTTCAGTCTTCTTTCCTGCAATATGAGTTAAGTTAATAAAAACTCAGGGAAATAACCAGAGGCAAGAGGAAATTGTTTTCTTCTTTGGTGGGTCTGGCATTTAGGCAGATATGGGAACTTCAGAGAACAACTTCATTCTGTGCTTTGGGAGAGCCAGAGGATTGAGAGACAGTAGTGAGGGGAGGTCAGAGAGACATTGAGGCTGCTTCCTTGGTTCAGCATGTCAAAGCATCATATTTTGGGGTATTGGTTTTTGAGCCCCAATAGAGGTCTGGGACGAACAGAAAATTCTCCTGGCAGCTCTAGGCTTTCTCAGGCAGACATGTTAATACAGGGCTGGGGCCATCCTACGGACATCGCCTTCTGCTGCTAGAAGCCAGGCTAGAGTTTGGTGCATTTCTCTTTAGTACAGAGGTTTGGATGGAGTTGTTACATGCTGAAAGTTCTGCGGTTCTTACCATGAGGTCTTCTCTGACCAATCTAACCCTTCACAGGGCCAACTTTCATGTAAAAAGTGAGTAGTTCATTCACTCATTCCACAAATATTAGTTGGGAGTCTTCTATGTGCTGGGCACAGTTTGAGAGTCAGGGAGTCTTAGAATTGTTTGCACTGTTCACTAGTTGTTTTATTTGTACTAGTCCCACCTTAACTAAATAGATCGTTAAATTCCTTGAGGTCAGAGATACTATCTTATTCTTCTGTTTTCCACACTGTATGGAATTTAGCAGAGCCTATTAGTCACTTGAATTTATTAAATATAATTGAGCAATACAACAAATAAAGAAAAACACTTTGAAACAGAAGTTAAGTAACTTGAGAGTTGAGAAGAAAAAGAAAATGAAAATATTGAAGTAATGAAAGAGATTATTTAACTGCACCCCCCAACTTTTATATCTTTTTTATGGTCTCCAGAAAATTTGGTTTGAAAAAAAAATCACTTATTAAAAATAAAAGTCTGAAGACCACTGATGAATTTTATAGGTCCAGAGAGGTGAAGTCAAACAACGAGCTTCCCCTACAGCTGATTACACAGTATGATTAAGCCAAAGGGGACATGTTGCTCCAGGGAGAGTCTAATCAGAACACACGTTTCCTATCTTAGACCCCAAATCCTTTGAACTCAGAGGAGCAAATCAAAAGAGGTCTCCAAAACTGTGAGCTTAGAAAAGAGTTACAGTTAGAAGATGAGGTTTCGAGGAGAAATCATTGAAGGTGATTCAACTCAAACTTCAGAACTGCTCTCTGTCCTTCAGAAACTGGGAATTTGATGCCTAAAGAAGTTGTATCCTCACTGGCCTTTTTGACAGGAAGATGAACCTAAAGTTTACCCTAAAAGCTATGCTAACTTCTGTATTTTTGAACTATTCTGAAAAATATTTGCTATTTGCTTTCTTAAGTGTAAGGAAGGAATGAATCTCTGAGCTACATCATGTAGGTGATATTAAAACTACACTTTTTTGTGTGTCTGATTTAACATTGTTAAAAATAGTCAAAATTTCTACTAGTTTATCATGTATCCAAAGGTTAAGAATAGATACAAAGAATTTCATTCTTTCTAGATGCTGGGAATATTCTCAGATCTTGCCAGCTCTGCAGCAAATGGAGGAGGTGGTTCTTGGATGTCAGACTTTCCTGGAGGGAGGCCAGGCTGCGGTAGCCCAGTTGTAATGCTTTCCTCTGAGGTGTTGGCATCAGGGCTTGCTTCCACTGCTGTTCTCCCAACAGTGATTTCTAAAGGGAGGCCAAGGTTGGGTAAGGGTCAGGGCTGGCACAGAACTGATGTCAGGAGCTGTAAGACCTAAGGCTGCTTTTACAAAGATGCATGCATTTTATCTAACAGCCTTTTCCCCTAAAATATCCACAACATATATTCTATTTCTGTAGTTCTCAGCAGGGTAATTTTTGTCTCCCAGGAGGAATTTAGCAGTATCTGGAGACATTTGTGATTGTCATAATTGGGGGAGGTTTGCTACTGGCATCTAGTGGGTAAGAGACAGATATGCTGCTAAACATGCTACAATGCACAGGGCAGCAGCCACAACAAAGAATAATCCAATCCAAAATGTCAGTTGTGTCAGGGTTGAGAAACCTCATTATATATTTCAAGACAAGAAAACCAGTTCCTTGCTTAGTGTGCTGGCTAACGCCTTACTGATGCATGTGGTCTCCAGACACCAGCATCACTTGGGAGTTCCTGAGAAATAACAGACTCTCAGTCCCCACTTGGGATACTGGATCAGAATCTGCATTTTAACAAGATCCCCAGGTGACTTATATGTGTCTTTAATATTGAGAAGCACTGGTAACCTTCTATGAGAACTACAAGGGCAAGGCAGTGAGACAAGTGCTTCAGCATGGCCAAGTCAAGAAGAGACAGTTCTGGCCCTACTTAGGCAACATCTTTAAATTAAAAAAAAACCTCACTTTTTCTCGGTTTTGTTTTGTGTTTTTAAATTTGCATTGAAGTTTCTTCTATTTTTTTTTTTTTTTTTTTGCTACTTTGTCCTTCTTTCCTTCCTTTCTTTTTTTCTCTCTTCCTTCCTTTCTCTTCTAGTTACTCTGCTTCATCATTTATCTTTATCTCACATGTATGCAGTGCTTTTCTAGGTCCTTAATTTTGAGTTACTCGTGATACCAAAAAAAAAAAAAAAAAAGGGCAGACACTTCTCATTAATTAAAGGAAATTGTCCTAGTGGGTAGAATCTGGGAGGACAGTCATACTTTCTTAAACATAATAACGCAATTAAATTCTACCTTCCCTTCAGTAGTAAGATATTAAAAAGGAAGGCAATAAAGCTCATCCAATACTAATTTGATCAGAAGCCTGTGCAATCAGTCTCTTTGATATACCTTTTGTCAACACAGCTTTAGATTTTGAATAGGCAATCTAAAACCCTGGAAATCTACCATATTGATTTATTAGCAAAATTTCTGCTGAACCTAGGTATAATAATAGAACTGATTAAAAATAAAATTTAGTCTGTATGCCATGCAATGTACTGTAGCATTTTAGTTTCATGTTTCTCTAAAAAAAATAAGTTAAAATTTTAAATTATTAAAACAAACTTCAGTTCAACTTGCTAAACATTTACTTAGCACCTATTGTTTACAAAATGCTGGAATAAAAATTGTGGAAGATTAAAAAAGATTAAGATATAATTTTGCCCTGGTTCATAATCTGGGGTGTGTGTGTGTGTGTGTGTGTGTGTGTCTGTGTGTGTGTGTTTGTGTGTGTGTGTATGGTGGGATGGATATAATATGCAGGGTCTATTCATGTTAAGTATATTAACACACATACCAAAAAAGAGCTATAGGAGTTTACAGAAGAATATTCATACTTAGTGTTTCTTTGTTATTAAAAAAATAGATTTTGAAGTAAAAAGAAAATGACTGAAGAGGTTCCAGTTCCTAAAAAGCTGTGGTTTTCTCAGTGACATTTTACAACCTGGTTAACAATTACATTAAGTTTCAGGGAAGTTTAAGTAAGGAGCATAGATAGGCCTGATATTCTCAGTAAATTACCACTGCTATTTATGCCTATTTTCCCCAGAATTTCTTTATACTTATATTTTAAAACACATCTTATCACATCTTCATAACTTTTTCTTTTTTCTCATTTAAAACTACGGTGGTACCAAAGCAGGGAGATTTATTCTTTTTGATTGTGGATTAAAGTCATACATGTAAGACAACAAAACTGTTACGTAAGTATTGAAAAGAACTTGCTAAAAACCATATGTAATGGGTATTGTTATCAATATAACTGAATAAAATTTATCTTGCTTAGAAATGACTTTTAAATATAATGCCTAAAATGTTATTATGCAAATTTATTCACCTGGCATCTATTAGAGACTTTAATAATAACACTGTAAAAATGAACTGCAACTTTTCCCTAGGATCTAATCAGTATGCAAAAGGACATATGCTATCTGGAAATGACAAGTAATGGGAAAGTTAGTCCTTTTGCTCATACCCTGTGACCTTAGAAATGACTGTGCCAAAAATTACATCAGTATTTGGATGAATTCCTAAATAAATTCAAATTAAATTGAGTCATACTAAAGCTTTATTCAATTAGGCAATAGCATTGAAAGATTCATTTTAAAAAAAGCTAGATAGAACTGGTTTTGTGTGATAAATTTTATAGGGCAGGGCTCACCTTTTGAAATTGGAGGGTGTCTTCACTATGTGATATTGAAGATCATTAAGGTAATTATGAATGTGTGTTCACTGCTGTATAAAACAAGTCTACTTCACTAATAATTCTGACCTCAAATTTTCTAAACATACTTTTATTTTCCCCAAGTTCTAGGAGTAATGTACTCTGGATTCAATCCTGTGCTCACTTCCTCCCCCGAGGCTTTTCTACAGCCTCTGGTCACTTACTGCTGGCTTGTTTTGGCTCCACATCAACACTTAGAGAAACTAGTTTACATGGGTTTTTCTTGGTGTGTTTGCTTTTTAAATGAGGTAATGAAAAGGCCTGGTTGGAATGCTGAAGTTGTCCTGGCAACTAAGGGAGTAAAAGCTGGTAAAGAAATTCTTGAAAGGAGTTCAAAACTTCTGCTTCTGAGAAAATAAATGTAAGGGAATTACAATTTAGAAAATACTGAACAGACACATTTTGTTTTGCTCTAGAATAGTTTTTATTTTTTTCCTCTAGTCTTTCACCTTCGAGCATAAACCATGAAGTCAAAATCTTCAGGGAAAGGGAAGATGAGTCCCATCGGGGCACAGAGGTCAGTTGTAGCCTACCTGACTGAGGATATCACCAGTATTTCTCCAGGCAAGTCCTGGACAGGAAGGAAGATAAAGAGGAGAGCTGTTCTTGTGGTAGGAAGGAGGTAACAGAGGCAGCAGGAGCAGATGGTAAGAAAGCCTGTCTGCGGGACCCTCTCTGGGCCACAGTGCTGAATATAGAGCAATTTTAGGTAGGATAAGGACAGAGGGAAAAGAAGAGTGTTTTCTGCTCTATTTCCTTCTGGAAAAAAGGAGAATCTTACAGAGAGATTCTTCTCATAACCACATGGGCAACTGCAGGGTCAGGCAGGCCTGATTCCCCACAATACTCCATTTCCGGAAGCTTCCATAATGCTAGAGAGAACTATCTAGATAGCTGGTGGTACTGGTGGATGAACTTAATGGAAGGGGTATCGGGGGAACCTGCCCCCGATTTCACATAGGTTCTTTTCTATTTTCCCTAAGTGTCAGCTGGTTTGAGAAATAAAGGGACAGAGTACAAAACAGAGAAATTTTAAAGCTGGGCATCCGGGGGAGACATCACATGTCAGTAGGTTCCATGATGCCCCTTGAGCCATAAAACCAGCAAGTTTTTATTAGTGATTTTCAAAAGGGGAGGGAGTGTACTAATAGGGTGTGGGTCACAGAGATCACATGCTTCACAAAGTAATAGAATATTACAAGGCAAATGGAGGCAGGGTGAGATCACAGGACCACAGGACCGGGGCAAAATTAAAATTGCTAATGAAGTTTCAGCACGCATTGTCATTGATAACATCTTATCTGGAGACAGGTTTTGAGTGCACACAACTGGTCTGACCAAAATTTTTTAGGTGGGAATTTCCTTGTCCTAATAAGCCTGGGAGCGCTATGGGAGACTGGGGCTTATTTCATTCCTACAGTTTTGACCATAGAAGATGGCCACTCGCCGAAGTGGCCATTTTAGAGGCCTACCCTCAGGGATGCATGCATTCTCTTTCTCAGGGATGTTCCTTGCTGAGAAAAAGAATTCAGGGATATTTCTCCCATTTGCTTTTGAAAGAAGAGAAATATGGCTCTGTTCTGCCTGGCTCACCGGCAGTCAGAGTTTAAGGTTATCTCTCTTATTCCCTAAACATTGCTGTTATCCTGTTCTTTTTTCAAGGTGCCCAGATTTCACATTGTTCAAACACACATGCTCTATAAACAATTTGTGCAGTTAACGCAATCATCACAGGGTCCTGAGGCAACATACATCCTCCTCAGCTTAAGAAAATGACAGGATTAAGAGATTGAAGTAAAGACAGGCATAGGAAATCACAAGGGTATTGACTGGGGAAGTGATAAGTGTCCATGAAATCTTCACAATTTATGTTCAGAGATTGCAGTAAAGACAGGTGTAAGAAATTATAAAAGTATTAATTTGGGGATCTAATAAATGTCCATGAAATCTTCACAATTTATGTTCTTCCACCATGGCATCAGCCGGTCCCTCCGTTTGGGGTCCCTGACTTCCCGCAACAAAGGGGTAATGTGGGAGTGTGTGAGTTTTGGAGGGAAAGTGACACCCAAAACAAGAGTAGGGTGGTCTGGCTGGCTGGACATAGAATAGAAATGGGAGGTCAGGCACCATCGGGGTTGCCAATCTCCTGATCCAGCTGAGAAAGACCTGAGAGTTCCTCAGGCCCAGGTCTGAACATTAGTTGCCAGCCAGGTGCTGCAGTGATGAGGCAGAGGAGCTGGAGAGTGAAGAATGATGTGTGTGTTTGTATCCAGGTCCCAGTGCCATTCACTCAACTGCCATTTTGGAGAGAAGCAGAGGAAATGAAGGAAATTTAACATGCTCAGCTTTCTCAGGAAGCCAGAGTTAACCAAAGATGCTATTTATTTAATGAAGTTTATCGATTAGAATAAATTTGTATTTTTTCCTCTCTTGGTGGGGTAGAGGTCCACAAACAATATCAAGTGTTATAGAAAATAAACAAGCAAAGGGCTTTCTGTGCATAACAAGTGTGGGATGATAAAATTGGCAAGGCTGCTCTATAGGTGTTGTCCATTTACCCTGGGGCCTATGGATGTCATTTACATAACTGAGTTTTTTCATAGCTTCAAAAATTTCTAAGTTGTAAAACCATACAGTGAATTTAGAATGGTAGGCAAGACCACCATCATTTAGCATGGTAGACAAGGCAATATATCACAATTGTATTATTGCCATGTTAAAAGATTTTTGCAGTAAGAAGCTCTGCTCTGTAATTTTGGGGAGTGTAACTTCCTGTGGGGAGATGTTGGGTGCTGCTGGGATTTGGAACTCTCTAAATGGAACCTGAGAAGAGCTGGAGAAGGCTGTGGGGGCTCCTCCTTATTCTCCCACAGTGGACTTGCTGTTTGTCTTCCTCTTTCCACCTCCAAGTTGACTCTTCCCATCTTTTCTGTGTTCTGTGGTCCTTTTTTCCTTGTCAGAACTGCTAAGTGGGTAGACCGAGCCTGGGGACCCCAGAACAAGGACCTCTCAAGATCTTCCAAATCATAGATAACCACAGCTGTCACTGAAGACAGCTCAAAGCCACTTCTTGTGAGAAGAGTACATTTCTTCTATAACACCTGTTCTGAGTCCAAACGAGGATAATCAAAAGTCTGAACAAGCAATTTTCATTTGTTCATTTCAGTTTGTTCTTCAATGCTGCATTGCAAAGCAATGCTCTCCAATTTTTTTGTAAACTAGCATTTCTTTCTTTTAAGTGATTTTAGTTCCTTAAGGAGCCTTGTTTAGCCCAAGATGGAGTTTTCTCCATCTTTGCCCCCTGCCCATTGGCTTCACTTCCCACAAGAGGGGAGCACTCATCCATTCTCTAGACATGAAAATCCCTTTGAAGTGCTGTTTATGCATCTGTCATTCTCACTGTCAAGTTTGAGAATGCAAGTACAGTATTCATTCTGGCCCTGGTTGGTCGGGTGGGCCAGGGTCTGCAGCATGGAGGGTGTGCCTTGATTGGACGCCCTTCCCTGCTGAGTCCCCAAGACCTGTGCCATGGGATCCCAGGATGTGGTTAGAAGCCAGGGAGGTGGCGGGGTCCTGGGGTGGTGAAGAGCATGGAGTTTCTGTGTATTCCCAGCATGGCCTACTCCAGTTTCCCAGTCTTGAAACTGTGAACATTTGGGGCCAGATCATTCTCTGTGGTGGGGCCTGTTCTGTGCACTGTAGGATGTTGAGCAGCAACCTTGGCTTCCACTCACTCAATGCCAGTAGCACCTCCCTGGTTGTGACAACCACAACTATCTCCAGACATGGCTGAGTGTTGTCGTCACATGAGATACCTGGCCTGAGTGAGCAGCTGCTTACCTTCTTGTGTTGTTTTCAAGTCTGGGGAAAGGAGAATTGACCCCCTTGTGGGGATCAAGGCAGATGGATAAGGGGCAAAGATGGGGGAAACCCATGGGCTAAACAAAGCATTCTAAGAAACTATTGTTAACTATTTTTAGGTGTCATGGTTATGTTTTGAAAGGTCTTGTTGGTTGTGTTTAATTCCTTCATTGCGATAAATGTACTGTGTCTGTGTAAGACATTTACAATGGGGGCAACTGGGTGTGGGATGTTGAGAACTCTGCTATCTTTACCACATTTCTATAAAACTAGAATTATTCTAAAATAAAATGTTTATGTATAGAAAAAGAAAGTGCTGACCTTCATGGAGGAATTTCAAACAGCATTGAATCATGAGAGATTGTTGATGAATTTATGCCACTCAAACTTCACACACTGTCCTTCCACCCCATGAAACACAAAGTGTGGAGTAGCTGTTTATAGAGCACAAAGTAACCCACTGTTAACTAAGTGCTGAGAAAGACCCAGGCAAGAAAGAAAGGCAGACATGTTGAAATGCCCCTTTGGAAATTCATGGGAAAAAGAATCACAAATATTTCCCTCTCTACATAGACATCGATGGTAGTGAGGATATAGATAGTTTAAAATATCTTACTGATAAGGATAGCAAAATACATAGAAAAAAATATGAGTTTATGAGCCTGTGATTTTTTTTTATTTCAATAGTTTTTGGGGAGCAGGTGGTGTTTGGTTACATGGATCACTTCTTTAGTGGTGATTTCTGAGATTTTGGTGCACCCATCACCCCAGCATGTACACTGTATCCAATGTATAATCTTTTATCCCTCACCTCCCCCCGACCATTTTCCTGGAGTCCCCAAAGTCCATTGTATCATTCTTATGTCTTTGCATCCTTGTAGATTAGCTCCCACTTATAAGTGAGAACTCATATATAGAGTTGCCAAATGAAATTCAGGATGCCCAGTTAAATTTGAATTTCAGATAAACAACATTTTTTTTTTGGTATAAGTATATTCCTAATATTATGTGCTTGGTTCCTGTCAGCTTCAACACTCCTTTCTCCCTCTTCTGTTAGAATCAATTCACATCAGTTCATTTGCTTAACAAATATTTATTGAAAGCTGCTCTGCGTGCTGTGTTCAGGGTGCTGGGAAGAAGAGTAAACAAAACTAGCAGTTTCCTGCCCTCCTGGCGGAGGCGAGTAAAACAAGCAAATACACGCTCCATGGAATTTCAGGAATGGAAAGAGCATCAAAGAAAATGCAAACACAGAAACAAGAATGACAGGATGGTGGAAACGAAGTGAGGAACGCATAATTCATTTGCGGAGATGTCTGTGAGACGGTGACATTTCAGCAGAAACCAGAACCATGTAAAGTGTAAATCACATGGAGCTCTGGGCAAGTGTGTCCATCTGGTCAGAGGGAATAGCAAGTAAGTCCTAAATCTAATAAAATTCGAAATATTTAAAAGACATTGCCAGTTTTTAGAAGTGGTCTCTTTTGGCCCCCACCTGGCAGTCATTTTTTCATTGTCCATTTTCTGCAACAAATCAGCAGGGAACACAAGGGAACTGGGTAGCAGGCCTTTTCTGCTGCAGCAGGAGATATTTGGGGCAAAGCCCTGCTTGTTCTCATGGGAGAATTTTTTTGTGAAAGCCCCCACTGGATGATAAGAGCCAATATTCTCTGAAGCAGGTTTTATCACCCAGTGGGCTCCCCCATGCAAAACTCAGGTCAGGCAGCTGTGGGATGTGCTACCCTTTAAACAATGGAGAGTCTAGCAGTCAGGCTGCTACACAGTTCAACTCAATTAGTTAGATATGATATTAGCTTTAACATACACAGCTTCTATGAGGCATGTTTCCCCATAAAATACAGAATAAAGAGGCATAGAGTAACAGTGACTTTCTTTTCTTTTTCTTTTTGATGTTCAAAACATTATCCCATTGCTTTGTTAAAAATAGATATAAATGCAAACAAAAATGAACAATAAATATCATTTTGTATCTGTCAAATGAGAAAAATGTTTTAAAATCTTAATATCTAACACTGGTAAGGATGTGCTGATGCAGGCACTGGTGAGAGTAGAATTCTTTTTTCTTATTTACTCTTTTAAATTGAAAAATAAAAATTGTATATATTTATGTTGTACAACATGATGTTCTGAAATATGTATACATTGTGGAAATTCTAAATGAAATTAACTAACATATACATCACCTCACATACTTATCATTTGTTTGCGGTGAGAACACTTAAAATCTACTCTGTTAGCAATTTTCAAGTATATAATGCATTGCTATTAACTATAGTCAACAACCTTATTTTCTTAATCAAAAGTGCTCCACATCCCCTGGCTTCTGGGCCTTTGTGGTTGGCTGTGTACTAATGGTGGCTCACTCCCAGCTTCTGCACTGGATTTTTTCTCTGCCTATTTCAGGTCAGTGCTTTGGAAAGTCTTCCGTCTCTCCTGCAATCTCCACTTTTCCCTCTCTACTGCTAATAGCATAAAAGCATGCTATCACTTTTCTCATCTTTGAAAATGCTCCCTTTGAGCTCATATCATCCTCCAGCTGTTGCATCATTTCTAGGCTTCCCTTCTGTCAAAATTCCTTGAAAACACTATTATACTTGCTGTGTCCAGTATCACTCTTCATCTCTGTAATCTTGTCTGATCAGGCTTCTGGCCTCCCGCTCCATGAAATCACTCTTTATAAGGTTACCATGAGCTCCACACTGCTTAGGTCAAGGGTCAGTCCTTGTCCTCAGCTGTTGATGATAGATCACTTTCTGCTCTTCAGAGCAGCTGGCTTCTGGATACTTTATTCCTGAGTCTTCTCCTACTTCACTCAACACTCTTTCTTGGCTTTCATTGCTGGTGTCTCTTTCCCTTGACTTCTAAACATTGAATGTTCCAGGGTTGAGCTGTCATTCTATCTCTACATGGATTCTGATGTCTTCCAAATTTTGTATTTCCAACCCAGACCTCTTCTCTGAATGCCAGTCTCCCATAGGCAACTACCTATTCTTTAGGTCATCAGCACCACCCATGTCATCTGCCCCCAAACTCTTTTCTCTGTCACCATCACCTTGGTCCAAATCACCATAGTTTCTCATCTAGTTAATTTCAGTAGCTTACTAACTGGTCTCTCTGTCTCTACCTTTGTCCCTGTAAAGTCTGTTGTGGAAAGAGCAATCAGAATGATTCTTCTTTTTTTTTTTTTTTTTTTTTTTTTGAGATGGAGTCTCTTGCTCTGTCGCCCAGGCTGGAGTGCAGTGGCGCGATCTCGGCTCACTGCAAGCTCTGCCTCGCGGGTTCACGCCATTCTCCTGCCTCAGCCTCCCGCAGAGTGATTCTTCTTATGCATCCAGAAAATGTCCTGCCTATGCTTAAAATGCCAACTTTTCTCCATCTCATTCAGAGTGAAAGTCCAAGCCTGAGGCTGCCAAGGCCTTCCACCCTCCGGCCTCTTGTTCCTCCCCACTCCCCAACCCCTGGCTCACTTGTCTCAGTCACACTGGTTTCCTTGCTGTTTCTCACCAGTCAGCTCTTGCAGCTGACATCCCCTCCCTGCTTGGATTTGTCTTTCTTCAGATTGAAGTGACTCTCATCTCCCTAAGCTGTCTGCTTAGATGTCATCCACATGTGAAGCCTCCTTGGCCACTCCACTTAAAATGGTCTCCGCATGTATCTCAGTGTGCTATATCCCTTTTCCGGGCTTTATTCCCTCCTAACACTCCCAAGCCTGCCACACTCCAATGTGTATATAGGATGCGTGGATTTGTCTCTCCTTCATGTCCCAATCCTGTAACAAGTAAACTTCCTGAGGTCAAGGATTTTTGTTTTCTTCACAACAATATCCTTAGCACTCAGAAGGATACCCTGCATATCTTTATTGAATGGGAAGAAGAAATTAGGTTTTATCTTGTTATGTGGTAAGCCAAAGGCGCAAAATAATTAGAGTCAGGAATTAATCTGGTTGTCTTTAAAGAATGGCTTTTCAGGAGTCAATTGCTTTTCCTGTTTATGCTAATGGTTTATGAAGATTCTATTATAAATCATACTGCGAACATCATTCTAGAAATAATGATAATTTAAGTAAATGGATATAATAAAGAATGCTAATAGAGGCATAGTTTTCATTTGAAGTAATGATTATAATTATTGAAATTCCATTTGTACATTTTCATGTGTTGAAACAAATTAAATAGAAAATTTATAACAACGTAACTTTTATATAATAATGTGTTACATGCATAATGAAGTATTTAACTTTATCATCATTGCAAGTATTTTTCAGGAAGATTCTTCTAGTAAAAGTAAATTGAAATCTTGAGAGCTGTAGAAGCCAGAGAAATAATAGATGGGCTAATATTGCCCTCTGGTGGAAATATTGAGACATGACAGATTGGATCATTTATTAAAGACCATGCCTTTAGCCCAGAGAAAGCCCAGGAATTGAAAGTTTCCACTCTATTATGTGATCTTACAGTGTTGTGTTAAATTTTTTAATTTAATATTTAAAACCTGAATTATATTAGATAGAAGGCTTGAATAAGCAATGTACAAAAAATACATGATCAATCAACTTCTGGAAAAAGTGTTCAAATTTCATTAGCAATACAAAAATACAAAGTAAGAAAAGACTGATGTACTGTTTCATCTCTCAAATCAGCAGAAAGTTTGAAAACAAAGGGATAGTGTGAGCAAAAGGGCGTTCATATGGTTTGTAGGGACATAAAATGCTACTGCGTTCTCAATCTGGGGTTGTTTTGGTCGGAAGGCTCCGAAGATGCATAAAAATTTGAACATATTTGCCCTTTCCTGAGAAGAGATGCAAAATCCATCAGATTCTCAAAGGGATTCATTCTCTCAAATGTTAAGAACAAATGTTTAAATTATTTGGGAGAATAATTTGGCAAAATGTGCAAGAAAGTTATGCGTATGTGTATTCCAATATTGTTTTGAATGCTTAATCACTATAAACCACCTAAATATTCAACAGTGGGACATTTGAAATAAATCACACTCCAGTTCTATGATAGAGTCAATGTAGTTATTAACAATCGTGCTGTAGAATTAATGATGCCGAAATGTTCTTTATACATGATGAGGTAGAAAAAGCAGTTTGCCATTTAGTACATGTGATATGATCCTGAGTTTATTGAAACATAAACATATGACGTGCATGAGAAAATATTTGGGAGTATCCATGAAAAATCCCAATGCCAGTTTGGGTAACTAAATGCAATGTGCTTGTCTTTATTTTTAGATAAATTTACAATGAATATATTACTTTTGTAATAAAAAGCATGATAAATATAATATAAAAAGGAATGATTAATTTTCTATCTATTAGAAGATTTGACACAGGAGATTGTTAACTTTTAATTAATCAACTGAACTGAATAGGTACAATTTGAAAAAGCATTTTAGAGGACTGGAACAATAATTACGTAATACTCCACATTGTTACTCTCTGCAGAAAGACCTTCTTAATATTTAAAAGCAGTTTAAAAAATCTGTAAATTTCCAAGCAAATAGAAAAATCTGTGCTATTCTGGACTTTTACAAGACACTAGAGCCTTTGTGAGTCTTTTCTAGAGCAAGACAGAGTGAAATAAAATAGAATAAATTAAAATGAAATAATTTAAAAAATTAGAGCATTAGCAAAGGTAACTAGGCCACTTTAAATATACAAATAAACTCTTACAATTTTTTTTGTTATTTTTAGAAAAAAGTTTACACTTCCTTCACCTTTTAGGAGTGAAAGGAGCAAAGGAAGTAAGAAAGGCTTGGGCCGGATGTGGTGGCTCATGCCTGTAATCTCAGCACTTTGGGATGCCGAGTCGGTGGATCACCTGAGGTCAGGAGTTCGAGACCAGCCTGGCCAACATGGTGAAACCCTCGTCACTACTAAAAATACAAAAAATTAGCTGGGCATGGTGGTGGACACCTGTAATCCCAGCTACTAGGGAGGCTGAGGCAGGAGAATTGCTTGAACTCTGGAGGCAGAGGCTGCAGTGAGCCCAGATCATGCCACTGCACTCCAGCCTGGGCAACAACAGGAAAACTCCATCTCAAAAAGAAAAAAAAAAAGAAAAAAAGAAGAAGAGGAGGTGAGGGGAGGGAAGGGGAGAGGAGGAGAGGGGAGGGGAGGGGAGGGGAGGGGAAGGGAAGGGAGGGAAGCTTGGTAGAGGAGCAATGATTCCTGAACTGGCTTTTTTTTTTTTTCTTTTTAAACTACAGGTGACCAAACAGAACTTCTCCAGTACAAGTCTGTCTGTCATTCCATTTGACATTGTATTGTAGGCATAAGCCCTGCCTTCCAGTTCCTTGGCAGTGGTGAAGCAGTATGGAGCTGGGGCAGGGAGGTGGCACATTATAGGACTGTGAGAACACTGCTCCTTTATACATAAAATTCCTACACAATGGATCACTTGAGGTCAAGAGTTTGAGACCAGCCTGGCCAACATGGTGAGACCCTGTCTCTACTAAAAATACAAAAATTAGCCCAGCTTGGTGGCAGGCGCCTGTAATCCCATCTATTTGGGAGGCGAGGAATGAGAATTGCTTGAAGCCAGGAGGCGGAGGTTGCAGTGAGCCAAGACCATGCTACTGCACTCCAGCCTGGGTGGCTGGGTGAGACTGTGTCTCAAAACAAAAACAAAAAACAAAAAACAAAACAAACAAAACAAACAAAAAATTCCTACCCGAGAAGACTCATGACTCTGGAACACAGTGAGTGCAGCTGTTATGGTAAGTGAAACAGCTAATGATCTGGCAGAACCTTCAAGATACAAGGTAAAGAGAAAAAAGCCAGGCGCAGGGTAGTCCACTTGCTGTCTTTTGTGTGAATCTATCTGTGTTTTTAAATGCAGAGACTAAAGGAATTGGCGGTAGGTAGGCATCGCCTCCAGGGAGTGGAATTGGATTACTGGGAGGCACAGAGAGAGGTGTACTTTCTTTTCACTGCAAACCTTTTGTGCATCCAGCCTTCTGCCTTAAAAAAAAAAAAATCTGCATATGGATCATTCTTCAAACAACAGAAAAAGGAAACCAAATAAAAAAAAATCTACCCAAAGAAAATTTTTTCGTAATAAAAATTGTTCCAAGCCTCAGAGCTGGCTCCCATGTTTTGAGCAACATCAGCTATTCATGTATTCAGCTGAAGCTCATCCTTAGGTTTTTGATCAAGCTGTGCCATGTTTTTCATTTCCTTTGATAGGGTTTCTCAGTTCCCGTCTTGTCAGTGAAGTGGTTTTTAGTTGAACTGTTATTTGCAATAGATGAAAGTAAACAGTGCAAGACATTAATTGTGGTGTTTCTACTTTAAAAACAATCAGATAAAATTCTAGAACAAGATTTGCTGTTCGGTAGGAAGATCAGATTCTTTTCCCTATACACTTAATGCTACGTATTCATGCTCCAGTGCAGACTGCTGGCAAGGTAAAGAGGCTGACAACCAGAGTTGTAATTAGGTCCTGCTTGTTTCCTTTAGAGTTTACAGTCCAGAAAGTTCATGGAAATAATGAGAGTCTTATAGCATTTTGTTATGCATTGAAATGTATTCTCATATGTTAAAGTCCTAATCCCCAGTACTTTAGAATGTGACCTGATTTGGAAATAAGGTCATTACAGATGTAAGTAAAGATGAGGTCACACTGGAGTAAGGTGGGCTATAATCCAATATGAGCATGTCCTTGTAGAAAGGGAAAATATTTACACAGCCACATACACAGGGAGAACTCCATGTGAAGATGAAGGCAGAGACCAGAGTGATGGTTCTACCAGACAAGGAATGCTGAAGATTGGCAGCAAACTACCACATGCTAGGAGAGGGTAATGACACAGATTCTTCCTTGCAGCAATCAGAAGAAAGGACCCCTGCTAACACTGGATCTCTGGCTTCTGGGATCCAAAACGGTGAGACAATAAGTTTCTGTTGGTGAAGCTGCTTCATTTGTGGTAGTTTGTTGCAGCTGCCCTAGCAAACAACTACATATTCTAGTCCAATTAGAATCAAGAAGCAGAATAAAATTGGAAAAGAGAAGGCAGACCATGACAGGGTGGCCAAATTATCTCCTTCTTTTACAACTTTAAAATCTTTTTTAATGGTAAAAGAGCATTCTGTGTGTGAATAGCAAAATCGAGAAACTCCGGTTCCCAAATCGTCAAGAACCCTAACAGGTGTGATTGATTGAGCACTGACTACAGGTGCCAGCCCTGGTGCTTGGTGCTTTAACTGGATTATCTTTCTTTCTTACAGATAATGCACAAGGTTGATACAATTCTCTCCATGTTACAGGTGAAGACACTGAGACTCAGAGAAATAAGGGGAAAAAAAAAAAAAAAAAAAAAAAAAAAAAAAAAAATCCCAGGGCTGCACAGGTGTTAAGTAATGAGCTCAAGATTTGGGCCCAAGTTTGATCGGCACTGTCAAATTAAGAATTGCTAAACTATAAATTCATCAACTGTAATTTCGAGATGTTTCTCCAACCTTTCTTTTGAGTATGCAGGATTTGAATTGTTTTTAGAGATAGGCTCTCACTCTGTTGCCCAGGCTGGAGCCCAGCAGTGCAGTTATAGCTCACTGCAGCCTCAAACTCCTGGGCTCAAATGATCCTTCCACCTCAGCCTTCCACAGTGCTAGGATTACAGGCATGAGCCACCATTCCCAGACTGAATTTATCCATTTTAGATAAAATGCAGAGTGGCAAAGCTGGCATTGGGGACAGGTTGAATGGTGGTGCAGTCTTTAGAACCTGAAAAAAGGGGCTGATTGTGTGTGTGCGTGTGTGTGTGTGTGTAGTGGACATTGGTAGTCTGTGCTTGTAGTAAATGATAGTTCTCCTAATGAAATTGATGTGTTGCGATGAGACTCTGAAGAACATGGCAAAAATCCTTTAGCCTATTTTTTATCATTTTAAGAATGGAAGGAAAGTTTTACTGTAGGATAGCCTTAGTGACATCTGGTGATTTTGTAACCTGAAGTCAATTTATCAAGTCAAGTAGATTTTCCTGGGTAGGAAATATTATTTTCTTTTTCATTCACTTGTTGAACAGAGTCTTCGAGTTATTTGGAATTTCTACTAAGTTTTGTGGTTTTTTTAAATAGCAATTTTAAACTCTATAGCTTCCCATAGATTGTTCCATAATGCTAAAATTTATAACTTAATCCACTCAATATATAACATTTGGCCATAAGAAAATGATATGTAAGTTATGATACTTAGTGAAAGTTTTTGGAATAAATAGTTCTGGGCACATCTGTCCTCTCTACAAAGTAAGAGAAAACTTGTTTTTCTTCTAACTTGAACATATGCTGTGTTTTTTTTTTTATGGTGAAAAGATATATATATATATATATTCAGAATTAGGCAGCTGGACTCAGTTTAGATGATCCCAATTTTGTTGGCAACATCCAAAGCATCGTAATCAGGAGCCAGTCGAACATATGCCTTCTTCTCTCCATCAGGCCGAATCAGGATGTTGACCTTGGCCACATCAATGTCATAGAGCTTCTTCACAGCCTGTTTAATCTGGTGCTTGTTGGCTTTAACATCCACAATGAACACAAGTGTGTTGTTGTCTTCTATCTTCTTCATGGCAGACTCAGTGGTCAGCGGAAACTTGATGATAGCATAGTGGTCAAGCTTGTTTCTCCTGGGAGCGCTCTTCCGAGGATATTTGGGCTGTCTCCGGAGTCGCAGTGTCTTCGGCCGCCGGAAGGTGGGTGACGTGCGGATCTTCTTCTTTTTGTGGCTGTGGACACCTTTCAACACTGCCTTCTTGGCCTTTAAAGCCTTCGCTTTGGCTTCAGCTTTAGGAGGGGCAGGAGCTTCCTTCTTCGCTTTCGGCGCCATGTTGTGAAAAGGGTCCATATGCTGTGTTTTAAGGTAGATTTTTATTTAAATGCAAAACCTTGTTATTTTAAATATCAAATGAAATCTTATTTGCTTTTATCTTCTCTTATGCATTCCAATTAAATTTTGTAATATATTGGCTCTTTCCCCTTATTCATGGGAAGTTAGTAAGACAAAAAAATAAGACATATAGATGTTTCATTTAAAATTTTGTCACATCTAAATAAAGTCTAGCAAAATTGTTGTATCTAACACCCCGTAAGAATGGTATATTCTCTCACAATCTTCTCTCATGTAATTTGAGAGATTTGTATTTTTGCTCTAAAGACATGCATAACCTCTGAGCACTTTTTTTTTTTTTTTTTTGAGACAGAGTCTTACTCTGTCTCCCAGGTTGGAGTGCAGTGGCGGGATCTCGGCTTATTGCAACCTCCGCCTCCTGGGTTCCAGCAATTCTCTTGTCTTAGCCTCCCGAGTAGCTGGGACTATAGGCGCGTGCCACCATGCCCGGCTAATTTTTTGTATGTTTAGTAGAGAGAGGGTCTCACCATGTTGGCCAGGCTGGGCTCGAACTCCTGACCTCAGGTGATCCACCCGCCTAGGCCTCCCAAAGGAGCATTTTTTTTCTTTATTTTTGTTATACAACAGCATATGTGAATAACTATAAGAAGCCATTAAAAGTCTTCTCATTGGGGAATAGAGAGTTTCTTTAAATCACTTTTACAATAACATTTATTGCCCTGTTTCTTTCAGGTGTGTGATTTCCAATTTACTCATGTAAGTTCTCGGATGAGCTGCCTAGAGACCTATAACCCCGTTCCTATCTACAGCACTGCCCAAATAGTTATTGGTCTTACAGCATGACAAAGCATTTTAAACAAACCTCCTCTGTTCATCCAGACTCTTTGTATGAAAGAGCTCTGAAACCGATCCAGGCACAGATGGCCAGGTTTTACCAGTGTTCCCAGCCTGTGTAACATCCCCCCCGCCACCATTTTCCACAGTGAGATAGATGGAGTGGAAAACAGTATTAATCTTCAAAAGCAGAATTATTGCATTATTGGTCCCCAAGAACCAATCCTTTTAAAACAATTTGCCATCACAGACTGGGTGCCATTTTACAGAAACATGACCTAGAACAGAAGAAATCTATATTCTAATGATTCAGCTGATTGAGTCCACAAAAGGCATTGCCTTGGTCAATCAATTTGCTTGTGTTTTAGAGATACCAGCAAACCCTACTGTGCCTAAAAACAAACACAAAGACACCAGGAGAAAACTAGCATTAAGATCCTTTTCTTTTTTAGCTAGTTGTCATTCACTGCCTAAATCATTTCCCAGTTTTTTTTTTTTATCTAAAGCAGTTTACTTTTATTAAATTTTTCAATACAAATAACAACTGGGTTAAAAATTATTAAATCAACTCTATGGGCTGTTTTTAAATGCCCTGTTTCTGATGATGAAAGCTAGGCTCAGCAGCCTTGAACCTTGATTTAGTCAGTTCAGGCTGCCATAAGAAAATATTACAGACTGGGCGTCTTAAAATCAAACATTTATTTCGCCCAGTTCTGCAGGTTAGGAAGTCCAAGACCACGGTGCTGGCAGACTCAGTGTCTGTGAAGGCCCACTTTCTAGTTGGCAGATGGCTGCTTTTTTGCTGTGTCCTCACATTGCTGGTGGTGGGGTTGGAGGTGGTGGGGGTAGTTTGGGGAGAGAGCACTCTAGTTTTTCCTCTTCTTATAAGCACACTAATTCCTTCATGGGAGCTACACTCTCATGACCTCATCTAAACCTAGTTACCTCCCAATGGTCCCACTTTTTTTTTTTTGTGAGGCAGAGTCTTGCTCTGTTGCCCAGGCTGGAGTGCAGTGGTGTGATCTCGGCTCACTGCAACCTCTGCCTCCCAGGTTCAAGCATTTCTCCTACCTCAGCCTACCGAGTAGCTGGGATTACAGGCGCCCACCACCATGACCAGCTAATTTTTGTATTTTTAGTAGGGACGGGGTTTCGCCATGTTGGCCATGGTGGTCTTGAACTCCTGACCTCAGGCGATCCATCCACCTCAGCCTCCCAAAGTGCTGGGATTACAGACGTGATCCACCACGCCTGGCCGGCCCCACTTCTAAATACCATTACACTGTGGGCCCAAGTTTCAACACATGAATTTTGGGGGAACACAAGCATTCAGTCCATATGAACACAGATTTTTGGTAAACTAACTCAAAAAACCCTTCTAGGCCAAAATAGTTATATCTAACATCTTTTTAACGAGAGGTTTCAGCCTCTGCAGGTTAGAAAGCAAGACAGAGTTATCAAAGAAGTATCCGTCATTCCGTTTTTGTTTTGTGTTGCTTAGGGTTATCACATTATTGTGTTTATTTCCAAATTTATTCTACAAATGTATTGAGTGGCGTATATTTAGGAAATACTTTTTCTAGAATTGTAAGTGGTTTCTCCAAAAAGACAGAATGCTAAGTCACGTGGTATTTCCCACCACGGGCATGTGCTACCTTCTCTTTTGAATATAAATAAATCATGTACGCAGAAGAGATGTTGACAGGGTTTTATTAAGCATGCCTTTTCTTTTTTCAATCTGTGGCCTTTTGGAACATTGTAATGAGGTTGTTTCACCACAGTTCCAACTTGTCGTTGTCAGTCCAAAGCCTACATTTTTTAATAGGGTAAATGAGTGTCCAGGGATGCTGAAGATGAGGCAGCACTAGGGGTTATGTAGATATGGACTGAGCAAAGTCTTGGGGCATCTTATGCACCTTATGCAGTCTTGCCAGAAGATTAGTGGGCTTGCTATTTTATAGGTCAACTACTAAAGGAACTCTCATTAGTGAGACTGTTACAAGGATATTTTGAATTAGAAGCTTGATACTCCATTACTTGTGGGTTGAAACTGATGCTCTGCTGAGATCTTGGGAGGTGAGGTACATCACCATGTCCTGGGTTGAGGTAGAAGATACTCAAGACCCTGCAACCCTGACTTGGAACATTGTAAGAGGAGATGGGAAAAGAATTTCTAGGGTGAGAATTCTTCCTGTGGGAAGGAATATATCTGGAATAAAGAGGCTTGAAGATGTTATCTACGCCGGGTAGTGGGTAACATTTTCCCTTGCATGTTGCGATTCCTTTCTGAAAAGTGCCTGAACATGCCTGCACTGCCTGTTGAGCTAGTCTTGGGTCACCACAGAGTGGCAAAGGGAAAGGGAGCCTTTTCTATTCCAACTCCTCCCAGCCTCCAGGGCAGAGACAACTTCAGTCTCTCAGGGGGTTGTGCCGGCGGATGGGGATAGTAACAAAAGACAGAAAGAGTTCTCCCCAAAGCCAAAGCAGGCAGTGTCAGACCCTCCCATGGTGCTGGAGGAGTAGCCTCAACGGACTCTGCCAGATGACACTAACACAGACTTTCTGGCAGTCCTGGTAAAATATAGAGGGGGAGAAGGTGGTACAAACTCCTGAGTTGCTTCAGTAAGGGAGGAAGAGGAAAGAGGCCATGCAGAAGAGAAGCTATGAGCATGCACAACCATAGTTTTCCTAGAAATTTTAGATATATCGAAATTTCGTCTGCTACTCATGATCAATATCTGTTAATATTTTCTAAATGGAAACAAATGATTCTTTAAAGGAAATGGTGTCAAGTGCATTTTGACTTGAATGTAACATCAGTCTCTTCTCACACACCAGGCTGCAGTCATGTAGGCTTTCTGTCAATTCCTAGAACTTTCCTGACCTGAAGTCTTGCTCAGGCCATTTGCTCTGCTGGGAACACTCCTACTTCAGCTTTTTGCAGAACTGGTTCCTTTTTACCCATTATGAGGATTCTAATGTTGTAACTTCAGAGAGTGAATCTTGACCTGTTTATCTGCTTAAACCTTTGCCTCTGTTGAAGTCCCTGTTTATCTCCTTTCCAGAATATCTCAAAACCTGTAATTATTTCATTTATGTATTCCTTTTCTTGCTTCCTGTTGGCTTATCCCACTGAAATATAATTTTCATGAGGGCAAGGATTTTGTCTATCTTAGTTACCTTTTGTCTTAGTACCTGGCGCAGTGTTTGGCAATTGGAAAGTGCTAAATTTTTTTTTTTGGTAACTGATGATCAAATATAAATGTGATATATTTATATATTTGCCTTATAAATGTTAGCAGCAAATTCTCAAAAAGGTTCTGAAACCTTTGTCTCAGTGGTTTCAAGAAACCAAACCCTTAATACAAAATTGTTAGAGAGATTCTAAAGTCATTCTGACAGGTTGTAGTTCCTTTCTGAATGAGTTAATAAACAAAAGAAATCTCATTTATGTTCAAACGTTTTAAAAATTGCTCTTCCTTCTTAATTATTTGCTAATAATTTTTTTAAAGTTGGTGCACTGTGTGGTAATTGCACTGAAAGAGAAGGTAGTCTGTTTTCATGTCTGCTACCCCAGTGATTATTATTAGTATTGATCTCTTGGTTTGGCTGCATGGGAGGGGAACCACACATTTAGCACCACAGCAAGTTTCGCAGGTGGAAAAAAGCCTTTCTTTGGCTACAGGTACTGGTTTCCTGATACTTTCCCTACTTCTGGTTCAAAAATTTAGTGGACGACTTTGTTGGGAAACAATTCTTCATGGGTTTCTTGTGTTTCTGCATGTTTTGTATCAGTTTTTGTTCTCAATTATTTTTCCAAGGATGTTTGTATGGTAAATAGTTTTGGAAGATGCGATAGTGTCTATCTCTGACAAGGACAGATTTGTTTGCTGTCTGGAATAAAAGGATATTGTCTTGTTCTGGAACAAAGGTTGGGCAAGTTTGCTAGCAGCCTTTTTGTAAGATTGAGGGCTTCCTAAGATCAGGGGTCATCAGTTGGGATACAAAAGCATAGTGTGAGTAACATCTGTGCTGGCCACTGGACATATCCCTGTAGAACTTGTGTGCATTCAGAGATGGGAAAGGGAACTGAGGTGAACACGAGGCTCATGCTATCTGCTGTGCCTTGAGTAATAAAGTCCTTCTTCTCTGACTCCTGAGTTTTTTTTTTTTTTTGCCAGCATCCATAAAACTATGTCTTAGATGCTTTTCAGCTCTTGAGACTTAATTTCAAGGAAAACCTATGCTGTGATTATTGTTATTTTTTCTATGTGTAGCTTTGTTTTATTTATTTATTTATTTATTTGCCTGTATCCTTGTTTGGCAGGAGGGCATTTATCCCAAAGATTCCCTTTCCCTCACTTCTAGTGAGTTCTGACAAGCACCCAGCTAGTATGATCGATTTTTGGTAAAATAGAGAAAAAGGAGAGTGTCAGAATAATAATCTGGCCACTGTATATAAAAAGAAGCATTTAATATTAATTCAAGAAAGGTTTCCTGTGTTGACAATGTTTCCTTCTGCAGCTCTTTAGGGAAGAGATATTTTTATTTATCCACTATCCATTTCTTCACATGTGCCCACAAAGAGCCCCAAACATCCTACTCCCAAACTGAGAGAAAGACATAATTATAGCAGAGTGAAGTGATCATATGAAACTTCCCACAGATAACACTGATAAAATCTGAACAAAATATTAAAAAAAAACACCAACTATGTAGAGGAATGGGAAAGTATCCAAAAACAAACAGAAATAAGGTAAGTTTACTCCTGAGAAACTGCAACTGAAAGTGGTAAGAATTGCAAGTTTGTGGCCTGTTACCTGATAGTGCTCCCTAATCCCTGCAGGTAGGAGAAAATGTAGCTTTACCAGGCTAAACAGTGTTCATGGCTTAAAAACCTGTTGGAAATTTAAGAGGGAGACTCTGGCAGAGAATGAACTGTAGAAAGGATGAGACTCAGAAATCTGAGCATACACGCTGCCCACACCTCTTCTCATCATTAAAGTCTGTACGCACAGAGACCTCAGGGACCCAGTGAAAAAGCAGACAGAGACCCCAGAGGAACAGACCCTTCAAAGACAGAGCTGCATTGTGAACATGAGTTTATTTCTATGAGATGCGTCCTGGCTTGAAATGTCAGAGGATAGAGCCTGAGGCTGGAAGAGTAGTAGGAAATTAAAAGTTTAAAACCCTACTAGGGAAAAAATACACACTACAAATTAAGAAATGGATGAAATGCAGCTTTCTCTTTTATAGAGCATGGTATTAGTCTTGAGGAATTATTGGCCTTCTGGGAGTAGTACTTCCAGCTTATATTCCTCTCTGAACCCCTGGATTCCTTTCAGGTGGGGCTATATCCTTTCAAAATTAGCAAAGAACAACTGAGGAGCAGGTAGACAGCATAGGGTAATCTCATTTTCACCAATTGTGGGTAATATTTTTCCTTAAAATGTGACATTTTGTCTTTAAAGACATTTCTCTTCTGACTTCTTCCCTAATGTCTCTTCTTCCACTTCCATATTAATATGTGTGACTCTCAAGACTCAGTTCATTTGTCTTCATTACACTTGTTCCTTCGAAGAACTCACTCATTCTCATTGCTGTGACTATCAATTTCCTGTGGATGTTTCTCATATCCATAATTTAATTGTTTTTTCTATAAGAAGAAAATTGGATCCCTACCTTATAGTATATAGAAAAATGAACTCCAAATGGATCATAAACCAAAATGGAAGTGCTAAAACTATAAGTCTCTTAAAAGAAAACCTATATGTAAATCTTTGTGACCTTGGATTAAGCCATGGATTTTTTAGATACCTAAATACAAGCAACTGAAAAACAAATTAGACTTCAGCAAAATGAAAAGCATTGTCTTTAAAAGATACTATTAAGAAAGTGAGGATCAATACCAAGAAGAGCTCTCAAAACCACACAATTACCTGGAAATTAAACAACTTGCTCCTGAATGACTTTTGGGTAAATAATGAAATTAGTCAGACATTAAAAATTTCTTTGAAATAAATGAAAACAGAGGCACAACATACCAGAATCTCTGGGATGCAGCTAAAGCAGTGTTAAGAGGAAAGTTTATAGCACCAAATGCTTACATCAAGAAGTTGGAAAGATATCTAATTAGCAATCTAATATTGCATTTAGAGGAACTAGAAAAACAAGAACAAACAAAACCCAAAGCTAAAGGAAGAAAAGAAATAACTGAAATTAGAGCAGAACTGAATGAAATTGAGACCCCAAATCCATACAAAGGATCAATGAAACAAAAAGCTGGTTCTTTGAAAGGATAAACAAGATCTATAGACTGCTAACTAGATGAACAAGGAGAAAAGAGAGAAGAACCAAATAAATGCAAACAGAAGTGGCAAATGTGACTTACAACTAATCCCACAGAAATACAAAAGATCCTCAGAGACTATATGAACACCTATATGCACAAACACTAGAAAATCTAGTGGAAAGAATGGATACATTCCTGGAAACACACAACCTTCCAAGACTGAGTCAGGAAGAAATAAAAACCCTGAACAGACTAATATTGAGTTCTAAAATTGAATCAGTAACAAAAAACCTACTAACCAAAAAGAGCCCTGGACCAGATTGATTCACAGCCAAATTATACCAAATGTAAAAAGAAGAGCATGTACCAATGCTACTGAATCTATTACAAAAAATTGAGAAGGGACCCCTCCCTAACTAATTCTATGATGCCAGCATAATTCTGATATCAAAATCTGGCAAACACACACACACACACACACACACACACACACACACACACACACACAGAAGAAAAAAGCAAGAAAACTGCTGGCCAATATCCTTGATGAATATAGATGCAAACATTCTCAACAAAATACTAGCAAACTGAATCCAGAAGCACATCAAAAAGTTAATTCACCATGATCAAGTAGACTTTATTCCTGGGATGCAGGGATGGTTCAACATACATAAATCAATAAATGTGATACCACATAAACATAATTAAAAACAATAGATGCAGAAAAAGCTTTTGATAAAATCCAACATCCCTTCATGATGAAAACCCTCAAGAAACTAGGCATCAAAGGAACATACCTTAAAATAATAAGAGTCATCTATGACAAACTCACAGCTAACATTATACTGAATGGGCAATAGCTAGAAGCATTCCCCTTATGAACTGGAACAAGACAAAGATGCCCACTCTCACCACCCCTATTCAATATAGTGCTAGAAATCTTAGCCAGAGCAATCAGACAAGAGGAAAAAAAGAAAAAGCATCCAAATAGGAAAAGAAGTTAAATTATCTCTCTTTGTTGATGATATGATTCTATATCTAGAAAACCCTAAAGACTTCACCAAAAGATTCCTAGAGCTGATAAACAACTTCAGCAAAGTTTTAAGATACAAAATCATTGAACAAAAATCAGTATCATTCCTTACACCAATAATAGTCAAGCCAACAGCCAAATAAATAATGCAATCTCATTTACAAAAGCCACACACACAAAATAAAATACCTAAGAATATATCTAACCTAAGAAGTGAAAGATATGTACAAGCAGAACTGTAAAACACAGCTGAAAGAAATCATAGATGATACAAACAAATGGAAGAACATCCCATGCTCATGGATCAAAAGAGTCAATGTTGTTAAAATGGCTATACTGCCCCAAACAATCTACAGATTCAATGCTATCCTATCAAACTACCAAAGTCATTTTTTACAAATTTAGAAAAAACTAAAGTTCAAATTCATATGGAATGAAAGAAGAACCTGAGTAGCCAAAGTAATCCTAAGCAGAAGCATCACCTTACTTGACTTCAAACTATACTATAAGACTACAGTAACCAAAATAGCATGGAACTGGTGCAAAAACAGACACATAGACCAATGGAACAGGATTTATCCAGAAATAAAGTCACACACCTACAGCCATCTAATATTTGACAAAATCAACAAAAATAAGCAAAATCAACAATGTTTTGTTGACAAAATCAACAAAAACAACACACATGCATGTGCAGGTGTGTGTGGGCGCTCGCCCCCTTTTTCCCTGCGGCTGCTACCCCTTAAAGGTAGTATAAAAAAAGAAAAAAAGTAAGCAATGGGAAAAGGACTCCCTATTCAATAAATGGTGCTGAAATAGCTGATTAGCCATACACAAAATGAAACTAGACTCTGGTTTTGCAACATATACAAAAAGTAACTCAAGATAGACCAAAGATTTAAATGTAAGGCCTTAAACTACAAAAGTCCTAGAAGAAAACCTACTAAACACCATTGTGGACATCAGCCTTGGGAAAAAATTTATGACTAAGTCCTTGTAACAAAAACAAAAATTGACAAGTGGGACCAATTAAACCAAGGAGCTTCTACACAGCAAAAGAAACTATCAACAGAGTAAACAGAAAACCCACAAAATGGAAGAAAATGTCCACAAACTATGCATCCAACAGAAGTCTAATCTTTATAGATTCTATAGTCTATAGAATCTATAAAGAACTGAAACAGTCCATCAAGCTAAAACAAATAAACCACTTAAAAATAGGCAAAGGACATGAACAGACACCTCTCAAAAGAAGACGTACAAGTGGCCAACAAGTACATAAAAAAATTCTCAACACCACTAATCATTAGATAAATGCAAATCAAAACTGTAATGAGATACCACCTCACACCAGTCAGAATGGCTATTATTAAAAACGACAGCAACAAAAAAAAAAACAGGTGCTGGCAAGGATGGGGAGAAAAGAGAATGCTTATACATTGTTGGTGGAAATGTAAAATAGTTCAGCCACTGTGGAAAGCAGTTTGGAGATTTCTCAAAGAACTGAAAACAGAACTACCGTTTGACCCAACAATCCCATTATTGGGTGTATAAATTGTTCTACCAAAAGGACACATGCACTTGTATGTTCATTGAAGCACTATTCACAATAGCAAATATCAACCTAGATGCTCATCAGTGGTGGACTGGATAAAGAAAATGTGGTACATATGCATGATGGAATACTATGCAACCATTACATAGAACAAAATCATGTGTTTTGCAGTAACATGGATGCAGCTGCAGACCATTATCCTAAATGAATTTATCCTATAACAGAGAACCAAACACCGCATGTTCTCACTTATAAGTGGGAGATAAACATTGAGTACACATGAGTACACATGGACTTAAAGATGGAAACAGGGCACTACTCAAGGGGGTAGGATGTAGGGGAAGCCAGGATTGAAAAACTACCCTTCAGAGACTATGCTCACTATGTGGGTGATGTGATCATTTGTACACCAAATCTCAGCAACACACAATTTATCCACATAAACCTCCACATGTACCCGCTGAATCTAAAATAAAAGTTGAAAGAAAAAACAACCCACAAGAAAGATGAGGCTGGGTGCTGTGACTGATACCTATAATCCCAGCACTTTGGGAGGCCTAGGTGGCAGGATTGCTTGAGGCCCAGGGGTTTGAGACACCACCCTGGACAAAATAGCAAGACGCATCTCTAAAAAATAAAAAAAAATTAATAAAATTTAAAAATAAGATACAACCCACAATGGGAAAAATATTTGCATATTATATATTTGCTAAGGGCCTAGTATCTAGAATATATAATTTTATTTTAACCTCTCTGAAGTTTCAATGAATATTTATAATTGCCAAGTGAATACTGTTTTACTCTGATCTCTAATGCAATGAATCTTAATTGTTTCTTTTAATGGTACCATTGTTGATCAATTGATTAAGGCTGAAAGTCATTGTCTAACTTTGATTTCTTTCTCTCTCCATAGCCAATAATTTACTAAATCTTCTTGCCTATTTATTATATATATTATATATTTTAAAATATTTTTAATAGCTGTTAATTAAGCCACATCCATTCCATTTTTACATTTTTACAGTAAATCCAAACCGTTTTTACAGTTTCCCTTACCATTCAGATTCTCATCACATTACTTAGGCAATTAAAGTAATGCCCTACTAGGACTCCTTGTGCCCAGCCTACCACTAAACACTAAAATTTGTGTTTTTATTATACCCCTCTGCTTTAAACAAATAAAAAAATAGCAAATAAAAGCCCCATGCCTGCAAAAGTCCATCGCCACCTAAAGAAGTTGTTCTCAAATACTAGCATGAGTAAGAATCACCTGGAGGGCCATGAAAAATACAGATCCCCAGGCCCTGCCCCTGATGATCTGATTTATTAGATCTGAGGTAGTGCCCAAGAAACTGCATTGTCAAAAAGCTCCTCTGTAGCAGGTGGCTCTTGCTGACTTGTAGGATTAAGTCCATCTTCCTTGAGTGGGTCTTTAGTGCTAGCTCCATCTGACTGCAGCCTTTTCTTAACCTTTCTCCACTATGCAAGCCTTCTGCTTTTTGACAGACAGCAATCCATTGTCACCAAGCACACACTATGCCAGGAGTTTTAAAGCCATGGCCAATGAGTTACCTTCTAGGGGACATATCAGGAGTTTAAAAACCAGGTATACAAATACTTAGACTTAAAATTTTTTTTCAAATTTTCTTCCTGTTTTTCAGAAAATGGTATTATGAAAAAATGTTTTATGTTAATATATAAAATTACATTATTGTGGTTTGTTTCAGCTCAAATATCTTGTACTGCAACTGTTTACGAGCTAAAAATGGATTGTTATCATGTCATATAATCTAAGATTTATTGATTAGAATTAAAGCAAATGTGCTCTGCCATTATGATTATTAATATTTTTGTTTGTTTGTTGATATTGGGTCTAACATACAATTAGAAAATGTTGAAGAAAATAAAATGTGACTATAAATATAGTAGCTTGGAAAACCTAACACTCCTAAACTCTTCAAATTAAATATATACACACTCACCACAAAGATGCACAAACATACAAACTTAGATGATTCCTTCTGAATGCCTAGGTTACCTCTATTTTTCTTCCCTTAAGTAAGCACATCTTTCGAATCTAATAAATGCTTGTGATTTCAGGCAAAGAATTAATAGGAAGGTATCTCAATAGAAGATAAGAAATCAGGACGTAATACTCTTTTTATCTCCCTTTCCCCACCTTTGGATGGCATTTGTAATTTTAGTTTACTTTAACTTCCCATGCCTGTCTATGCCACAATAATATTTGAAGACAATGAAAAAATACCAGGCTAACTTTAATGCCCCAATCTAGCCACTGCTAACCAGCCGTGGAATTCCTATTAAGTGACCATAGGCCATTTTGAATGTTAGATCTATATAAAACTGCAAAACTGACTTTTATAAAGGAACAATTGGCTCAAGCTTCTGTGTTCTCTTTCCTTACTGTGATCTGTAGCTAGATGCCAGGCCCATGGATATAATGCAATGGTGACAAAAAAGGGCTGGCTCAGGATAGCCCAGTCTACCAATGGTACCATAGCAGACACTTGAGGCTCATAGCAATGGAACTCCTATTGTACCAAATTTCCTATGAGTCAAGTGTACAAAAGTATAACATAAGTATCATTCTCCCTAAGATCTAGAAAGGTTTGACTTAGTCTCTATTCCACACTCTGTGGGAAAGTCCAGTGCTGTTCCCAAGATTTTTGTGGACTCTCTAGGGACACACCCTTGGGGCATCTCTGAGTCTGATTTCTTCTTTCTTGAGTTCTGGTTCTCCATTCTGTGCTTTGTGACTTTTTCTTTACCTCCTCTCTGGCATCAATCTGAGTGTGAAATCAGCTCTTTGTTTTCTTTTAAAACCCCACTCAATGTGTATGGATATAAAAGGAAACTCATTATCACAACATTTCAAACAAAGTAAGAGTGAGTATTAGGCATCTCTGCTCTTAAAATTGTTTTGGCCACTCTCTCCTACTTCTTCTACTCTTTCTCTCTTTCTCCTCCATCCAGTCCTTTCAGTAGAAAATAAAACAATTTCCCCCCAACTCATCCCCCAAACCTTCACCCCTTTCTCTCAATTGTCATTCTCTTCAAACACACATTCTGGCCTACCTTTAGCACGGGACTCAGCAGAAACTCAGAAATCACCCCATTATTAGAGGTTCACAAAATTACTTTCTTGCGTGTGGGTTATAGGATATTCTTTTACTGCTTCATATAAAATTTGTGTCTGTATGTATGGTTTTATTACAAAATTAATAAACTACTCTGATTTGAATGATAAGTCATTGAAATTGCTATACCTGCTTTTGGCAAATGCAGAAAAAATATTAGGGTTCAGATAGAGTTTGTTGCCCAAATTTCACTTCCATTCCTCCTTTATTGTAGAGTTCTGGCAGAAGGCAATACACAAAGATTGGGAGCTAGAAAGAAAACAACATGACTATTTATTAAATGATTATAATTACCAATGTACCTGTTATTGTCTGGGAGTACTCAGGCCTATACCTGTCTTGTACCACTGGGGCAGAACTCCTGAGAACCACCTTTCCCAGACCCCCTTGACAGCTGGTTTCCAGTTTGGTTCTTCTAATGGGATGGACTCCTGTGTGATGAGAGGGAGCGGGTAGAAGTCACTTGAAGGCCCTAGACTTCTGGTTCCAGCTGCATTGCTGACATGCACCTGTGAATGCTTGCAAGGTGCCAGTGGCAGGAGTAGTGGCAGCAGCAGCAGTGCATGTGTGCTCTGTGATGGCTGCCCACTGCTTAGGGCAGACCAGTGTGGCCTCCTGCAGGTCCTGGTCTCTGAGAGACATTACTTTCCCCTCTTGTCTTCCTCTAGGCCTTCCAATAGTATAGTAGCTTAATTCTCTGGATTAGGTTCTTTTCTGTTTTAAATAATTAGAGAGCTTTCTATTTTCCTGATTGAATCCTTGACTAATATCCCTCTATAATATGGCTGTTCTGGTAAGCTAAGTTAGAGGACAGGAGAGCTACTAAGGCCCGAGGCTTGAACAGGCTTTTTCAGAACTAAGATGGCTGGATCTGAAGAGAAGATTTTGAGCAGACTTATCTTCCCAGTCTAGGGAGGAGCTGCTGGAATGCAGAAAACGTTATGAACTTGCTCCAAAGAACCAGAGCCACATACACGTGCTAATTAGACTAAAAAACAGAATAGAAGAGAAACACCAGAACATGGCTGCTAGCCTTTTAAGAAAAAGCAGCCTCAGCGGCTCATAAAATGCAGGCCAATGACCTATCCATTGATAATCTTCTTCTTCTAGGAAGAAGAGTAAGGGGGAATGTGTGGAAGTACCCAACATGGATGGGGAGAGCTGGAAACGTCTGCCTGCTCTGAGCTGTGTTGGAAACCTGAGGAGGTGGGAGAAGCTGTTTCTGCTTATAACAGAAAACTGAACTCATTCTATCAGCCTAGCAGGAATGAGAAGAGGCTTATATTTTGTAATTGAGATACTCACATGGTTAAAATGATGAAATGTATATTTCATTGGGTTTCTCTTTTATCACCAACACAAAAGCTGGCATGATTCCTGTGTGGCTGAGTTCTTGTCAATGGTATCCCAAATCCCAAACAAAACCAAGGAGATACTTCATGTCTGACCATTCTGAAACTCATTGGAAAGTGTGAATCTTTTTCTTGAAACAAAGACTTGATTTGAAACAGCCAGGATTTTATACACACTCATATTTGACCCTAAATAAAAGCCTTGACTTGATGCCTGTTAGAATGCTAATTGGGCACCAGGAAAGAAAGAAACTACTCACATCGAGAGATCTTGATGAAACCGTGTGCCCTGGGAATAGTCAAGCTAGGAGTAGCATGGGGCAGGGAAGATAATTGAAGTAGTGTCTTTCCTAAATTACACAATTCTCTATGTAGCTGTTGACATTTCTCCTAATGTTTCATGACTGATCATAAAGTCAACACTAGTTTCTTCCACAGTGTTTTTCAGTGTAGCCAGCTCCTATTGATTGTCTATTGTGTGCATTCTGATGCTATCCAAGAAGTCCCATTTTGTGAACCTCTTTTGGAAACTGTAAAGGTTGTCAACAGTTTCAAAATGATGCAGTGTTTCTTAGCCAAGCAAAATTTGCCTGAAAGAAAAATCTCAATTTCTTGTGTGCAGACAGGACCCCTGTAATGCTTGGCACCACCCTGCGCTTTACTGCTTGGTAACATGTCAGGGTGATTCACTGTTGTTGACATGGGCATGCATTGGCATCAAAAGCCTTTTCAAAATTTTTGAAGGAAGCTTTGCTTACTGCTATGAAAAGTGTTAAATTTATAACGGCATCATTTCAAGATGTTTTGTCAAGAGATGGGAGCAAGATACAAAGTTCTTCTCTATTCCACCATTTACTGGCTTTCCCAAGAGCAAATCTGGTAATAAGTGATTGAATGTCACATGGAACTTTCCTTTTCTTGAGAGAAAAAGAAAGTAAATCTACTTTTAAAATAATTTTGGCATGAGAATAGCTCGCTTGTGGCTTGACTTACATAACAAATATTTTTGGTTACATACTTAAGGTAAATCTTTCGATTCCGGGTTCTGCAGTGACAATGGGTGCTACTGAAAAATTACAAGCTCTTTGACTAAGCTGTTGCTAGAGGTGGGCAAGTATGTGAACTTTTTGATACTGGATGAAGATATACTTTTGTACTCTGGAAATGGGAAAGCCAAGGAGATAGTGATATATAGATTCCTGGCAATGTGGCAGAGTTCTTTTGAAAGTTATTTTATTTAAACAACCTTAAAATAGGAATCTGGATTTGCAATTTTTTTCCTTGCTAACAAAAATAACACCAGTAATTCAGACTTGCTAAAGATACCCTCATTGATATGAGGACAAAAGAGAAGACTTGACTCATATTCAGTTCAAAGTCCTGGGGAATTCTGGTGTTGTTATGCACAAAATTATTCTAACCTGGCAAAATGAGTGATGAGTAGCTCTGATTCCATTTGCTGTGGGCAAAATGCTGTAATATTAAAAGCTGGCCCCCAAATCTCTTTTAGAGAAAACTCTGTCTAGAGTCATACACTGATAAATGTGTAACTGGGATAGATTTTGTCGCTACTCAGTTTCTCTCAAATATGAGATTTGGTCACTTGCCCCTCCAAGACTTCCAACTGCTTCCTGGTGTTAAGGACCCCTCTTTCTGGAAAACTTCGGAAAAGTCTGGACTTTCGGAAAAAAAAAAAAAAAAAGCAATGTCTATTCAGCACATTTTGGATGGTATGTGCCAGATAAATGTCCTGCTGATCCATGGATGACAAGTTGTCTTCCATCAGCAATGGGAAGAAAACTGACATAGTTCCTCAGTGTGGTCATTGTGTTTCCTGTGACTTCTACTGGAATGGCTGTGGGTGATGGCATTGGCTCAGCTTCTATCAGGCTCCCTGTGGAAGAGGCTTTGGAAGCTTGGCTTTCCTTGATGGTGACTCTGTTCTTTCACTCCCTATCCTTTCCTCCCCCACCACAATTCAGCCCTTCTTCCTACCTCCCCTCAGGTGATGCTCCAGAACACTCTCCCCTTCCTGCCACCTCCTTATCCCAGGAACTTTCATTTAGTCACCATGGAGATTCAAGGGTAAATTTTCTGTGCCTCCTTCAATTTTTTTTCTAATGAATTTCTATGGATCAAACTCCATGTCCTGTTTCCCTTAAGGCTTTCCTGCTTTGACACCTAATAACCTATTTTACATATAAAACAGAAATCAAGAGGTGAACAAAAAACAAAAACCCTGAATCATGTTTTTTTCTTTTCGCATATCTCCCTTTCTAATTCTTTTCAAGGCAATGTAGATGCCTCTGGTGTACTGGGGAGGGTCAGTACAAAGAAGTGGCACAAGAACACCAAAAACAAGGTACAACAATTACTATTGGGTAAACAGGTTGCCTAAAGGTGTTAGGGTGTCAGTGGGTCCTAAAGCTTCAAAGATTGGTCATAACTGCTTTGTTTAGTAAAAAGGGAAAAATTAAGAGCCAGCAAAATGGTAGAGGTTTTGTTGATGGTCACATTATTTGATGTGACCTCTCCATGGGAATCCTCCCAAAGATACAATCAAATCTATTACTATTACAAAAGCTTGATATGTGGAAAGGGGCTAAGATGGGGTCAGTGCTGACTGGGATGGGGCAGAATGTAGGGATATCAGAGCTTAGAAGTGGAGGAGGCAGGCAGATGCCAGTTGCTGCTGACCTAGCAGAAACGTTGAGGTAGAATTTTAGCTTTCCATTGGCTATGAAGTTACCTAGTATAAGGGATTTTACTTAAAGATCAAGGAGGTAATGCAGCCTCCAGCTGTCTAGAGAGTTATAACAATGCACATCTTTGTGATTAAGCACTTATTAGAAACAAGAGATATAAATAAAGTGTGTTATGTCAAAGATCACTACAATTTTAACTTCTTTTTCTCATTAACTTCGGATTTCTTATTTCTGAGCAGTCATCAAGTTCATTTTCATTTCATATAAACAATTTTTATTCATTTCAACTTTTTTAGGAAGTTGCCATTAATTTCTGCAAGAAAAAAATGAAAGTGTACCAGTCAGAGTTGTTAAAGCAGAAAAGGATTTTACTGAAAGAACATAGGATTGCTCCCAGAGTTTCCAGGAGGGCTGATGAACAAGCCTTGAGAAGCCAGCAGGAAGAATGGCAGGCCAGGCAGGCAGAGCCATGGCCAAGACTGTACCACAGATCAACCTCAGGGAAGCACACTGATGCCTCTACAGGGACTCAGACATCTCAGTTTCAATCAGTACCACCAATGCCACTGAACACTGGACTTGGCTGCTGCTGCCTTCACCACTGTAATGGATTCTCCACTTTGCCTGTTTCTTTGTCCAAATTCACAGTGCCAGCCTGCTGCATTTAATTGACCAGGTCTGTTTCAGTCACCCATGACTTAAACTGCCAGGGGTGCTGGGGAACAATCATCAGGTTTTGGGGTTCCCATGCTGGGAAGTGGGCATGAGCAGTGAATGGAGTTAATAGAGGGATGATATACCAGGAAGTTAAAAAAAAAGAAATTACAGTCATCTACAATATTGAGAGAAATGATTTTTTATAAAAAGCAGTTTTTCTTCTATGCTGCCTATGTGAAAGCAATAAATATCCAAAGCAATGTTATGAGTAGTGTATTAAAATTAACATGGGTATTTTAAGACTTCTTTGGGAGGTG
Organism: Homo sapiens; assembly: GCF_000001405.40. Taxonomy (NCBI): domain Eukaryota; kingdom Metazoa; phylum Chordata; class Mammalia; order Primates; family Hominidae; genus Homo; species Homo sapiens. The sequence goes on from NC_000003.12 coordinate 161,447,522, forward strand.
AGAGCAGGTCCATATGTACATACAAATCATTTTTGAGATGGCCCCTGGAGGGGGTTCTGTGGTAAGAACCTGAGGAGGGCCTCTTAGAGTAGTCCTGATTGATAGTTGTCAAGAAAACAGGGACTTTACTTGACAACTACAAGAATCTTAATTTTTCCAACCACCAGTGAACTTGGAAGAAGACTTCAAGTTTTTGATGAGATCATGGCATTGACTGACATCTTGATTTCAGCCTCGTGAGATGTTGATTAGAGGACCAAGTTATCCTGCTCTGGACTCCTTACTTAAAGAAACTCAGATATTAGATTTGTGTTGTATTAAGTTGCTAAATTTATGGTAATTTGTTATGCAGCAATAGAAAACTAATACAGTGACAAATAAAATATTACCAAAATGTTCTTCAATAGGGACAGATTAAGTAAATGATGATACATTCACACAATGGAGTAATATTAGTTTTAATAGGAATAAAGAATATCTGTGTGAGGTGTTTTTATATGCTAACTTTTGTATAAGAAAGACTATGAATACATACACACCAATGCTTATATTTTCAATATGAAATAGTAGGATGATAAATCAAATTAAATAAAAAATGGTTACTTAGAAGAGGAGTCAAGGACCAAAGAGAAGAAAACAGGATTGACAAGAGAATTTTGTAAATATACCTTGTTATGTTTTTGACTTCGGTACTATGTAAAATGTTTACATAATGAAAGCTAAAATTAAATAATAAAAAGAAATCCCTAAACATTAAAAATGGAAATAAACAAACCTAGCTGCATATCAATTTGGTAGCAAAATTACACAGATAAATTTATTATTTAAAGTGACTTTAAAGCACAGTATTTTGACTATTTCTGCTTAGTGGGATGTATCTAAGGACAGATTTATGTATATGGCCTAGGCAACCACTAATTGACTTCAAGTAGGACAAACACAAAGAAGTCCACAATCAGGTGCATTATAGAAAATGCTGAAAAACAGACAGAGAGAAAATCTTGAAAGGAGTGAGAAACAAATTGAGTAATTTCTTCATATACGCACAAGCCCCAATAAAATTAATAAATGATTTCTCATCAGAAACAATGGAAGCCAGAGATAGTGGGATGACATATTCAAAGAGCTGGAAGAAAAAAATTGTCAACTAAGAATCTTTTATTCTGCAAAAAAGATGAAATAAAGACATTCCCAGAGCAACAGAAAATGAGACAATTAGTGGCTAGGAAACCCACCTTACCTGAAATACTAAAGGAAGTTTTTCACACTGAAAGCAAGTGAGTCCAGATCTTCATTCAAATGCACCCCCTAAAACAAAGAGTACTGGTAAAGGTAATTGTGTAATATAAAATAAGTATAAATAAAATATTTCTTTTTATTTCTTTTCTTAGGTACAGTTTAACAGCAATTGTATAAAACAATATGCATATACAGTTGAACTTTGAACAACATGGGTTTAAATTGTGTGGGTCCCCTTATATGTAGATATCTTTCAATAAATATATTGGAAAATTTTTTGGAGATTTGTGACAATTTGAAAAAAAACTCATTGATGAGCTGCTTAGCCTAGAAATATAAAACAATTAAGAAAAAGTTAGGTATGGCATGAATGCATAAAATATATGTGGAGACTATTTTATCATTTACTACCATAAAATGTATAAAAATCTATTATAAAAAGTTAAAATTGATTAAAATTTATGCACACAAACACTTACAGGCCATACATGGTGCCATTAGCAGTCAAGAGAAATGTAAACAAATAAAAATATGCAGTGTTAAGTCATAGTTGCATAAAATTAACTGTGATCATACTGTGCTACTGTAATAATTTTGGAGCCACCTCCTGTTGCTATTGTGGTGAGCTCAAGTGTTGTGTATATCTCCTTAAAATACCATATGATGCTAATCAACTCCACGTGAACAGGTCACCTCTCTGATAAACTTCTGATTGCAGTGCAAAGTGATCTCTCATGGTTATTTTATATTTTTCATCATGTTTAGTGCAATACCATATACCTTGAATAGCACCACGAGACCTATATGAAGTGCCACTAGTGAAGCTGTATGTGCTCCTGAGAAGCAGAGAAAAATCATGACATTACAAGAAAAAGTTGAATTGCTTGATAGTACTATTGATTGAAGTCTGCAGCTGCTTTTACTCACCATTTCAGACAGGTGATTCATCTTGTAAACAGGCAACACAAATTATGGTATCAATAAATACAGTACAGTACTGTACATGTATTTTCTCTTCCTTATGATTTTCTTAGTGACATTTTATTTTCTCTAGATTACGTTGGCATTGGAGCCAACTAGAAGGGAGTTCCCTCGTGGATGGGACAATGTGAGCATCAAAAGGAATGACTGCATCAAACTGAAACACAACACATATATAAAAATCAGTGAGTTTGTAATGATACCAAATCAAAACTAACAAAATATCTCACTATTCACCACTGGAGGTTGCCAGAGCACCAATTATTTCTCTGAAAAACTGAGCAAGAAAAATAATCAAGCTTATCTGCCTTACCTGTATGAATAGTATATGTATGTAATCAAAAAGCTTGTGAGTGAAAATCATTCTTTATAGAAGAATTATAGCTAATAGATACAGATAGAATAGCAGTATTAGAAATTTACTTATTTGCAAGTCCTAATGAAATAATGCTTCCAGGCAACATTCATGTATAAATGACAAAAGCATGAGGTAAAATGTGGATGGAATAATTTTATAATGGAGAAGTCAGGCTGATGCAACCTAAACCCTCTGACTTCATATTTGAAAAAATAGCTTTATTGAGAAATAATTCACATACAATAAAATTCACCCCTTAAAGTATACAATGCAGTGGTTTTTAGTGTGGCCACGAGCTGTGCAACCATCACCTCTCTGTCAAAAGACAAAATTACAACAAATTTAGTTGAAAGATATTAATTAATTGGCTTTTATTTGCAATTTTAGAATAAAACAACACCTCATTCTGATGAGCTGAGTAGAGAAAGTTGGCTTCATAGACAGAAAGGGCTGAAGAAAGTAAGACCAGGGATCTAAAGACGGATTGGTCATTTCAAAGTCACTTTCCCTGTAAAGGTTAAAGCAGAGAGGACTTTCTTACCATCCCAGCTGAAAGTGGCCTGTGTGGGGATTTGACTGTTATCCCTGTCTTCTGATTTCTTGAAGGTCAGATGAACAACTTAGCTTCAGCACAGATGAAACTTCAATACAAGTGATTCCATTTTGGTTAGGTCTGTTGGGCCTAGTGCAGGAGCTCAGTCCAAACCAATGGTCCTGTATAAATTTTATTTAACAACTACTTAATTTCAAAACATTTTTCATCACTCCAAAAAGAAGCTCCATAGTTATTAGCAGTAATTCACCATTCCTCCCTCCTACCAGTTTTTGGCAACCACTAATCTACTTTTTCTCTCTGTGGATTTGTTTATTCTGAAAATCCATATAAACAGAATCTTGAAATATGTCTTCTTTTACTTACTATAATGTTTTTATGTTTGTCCATATTGTAGCATGTATCTGTACTTCATTCCTTTTAATGGTTAAATAGCATCCCATTGTATGGATGTAACACATTTTGTTTATCCATTCATTAGCTGATGGACATTTGGGTTGCTTCAATTTTTGGCTCTTGTGAAAAATACTTCTAAGAGCATTTATGTACATTTTTTTTTTGTGTGGACATGTGTTTTCTGTTCTCTTGGTTCTATACCTAGGGGTGGAATTACTGGGTCATATGATAGCTTATGTTTAACTTTAAAATGTGGTTTCATCTTAGTATTACTAAAAGTGGTATTAACCCTAAAAAGGAGGCAAATAAGCACATAGTCAGAAATGGGGGTTGTAACCCAGGTAGCAGTCAGAGACTGCAGCACCAGTGAGAGTCAACAGGGCTTTTAGATTACCTAAACTGTGTGTCAGATTATTTCACCAGTTGATTAAACAAAGAAGTCTTTTATCATTAGTGGAATAGTGCATTTGCATTAGTTAGTCAAGGAAAGCTATAAACAGTATGTCCTTAAAGACTGAGGATCAATTTCATTGTGTTGTGTATTGTTGAGAGCATAGATGTTTATGAAGGAAATGTTTTTACAGTTTCTTTGTCCATTTCAAAGTTCATCAGCAATTCAGTGTGGAGTCAGTAGCCCAAGATGGAATCACTGGTGTCAAGCCTGGACCACTGCTAAGCTCACAGTGGGAAAATCCAGTATTGTGCGCATCAGAATGAGATGCAAAAAATTACACAGCATACATACAAATTATTCCAGCCTAAACAATTGAACTGAATATAATAAAGCATCTCGATCAGGAATCTGCAAGCTTTAGGTTTTGTAAACCATACCATCTCTGTTGCATCTTCTCAACTCAGGTAGTGTAGCACGAAACAAGTTATAGACAATATGTAAATAAATGGCATGGTTGGCTTTGCCCCAGTAAAACTTTATTTACAAAGCCCACAGAAGGTCAGATTTGGCCCACGGACCATGGTGTGCCAACAGATTTGAGATCTCACAACGATTTGCAGGAAACTGGTGACTTGGTTCCTCCAAAAAAAAGGTCAACGGCATGAAAAAGGCTTACATTCCACTTCTTAAATACTGGCTTACAATGTATTTTTCAGTAGTCTTATTGTGCTGCCCCTTCTCCTGGTGATAAAGGGTTCCTCTATCTGTACCAATTATAGTTCTCCATCCCGGTTGCTACAGCAATCACTCACAGATGTGAACATTTGCTCTAAGGTAGACCAGTCAATTTTTCCCCTAGCACTCTTTTTTTTTTTTTTTTTTTTTTTCAAGTGAAGTGCTCTGGTTGTGAGAGCATGTGAGAGTATACAAGGCCCAAGATGACTCTTATCAGAGTTTCAGGTTTGAGTGGCCGCTGATCTTGAGAAAATGAAGCTAACCTGAAAAGAGAAGGAGAGAGGTGTATGTGTTTTTGTGTATGTGTATGTGTTTGTGTGTGTGTGTGTGTGTGGGAGAGAGAGTGAGAGAGAGAGAGAGAGAGACAGAGAGACAGAGAGACAGAGAAAGAGACAGACAGAGGCAGAGAAAGGCAGAGACAGAGAGACAGAGAGAGAGAGAGAATGACAAGGGGGGAGACATGTTATTTGCAACTAAAGAGTTCTATTTAATTTTTCACTCCTAAATAATTCTGAGAAGATTAAACATAATATGTGTAAAATTCCTGGCATCATTGTGTATTAAATCACAAATTGCTTACTCTATCTCTATTGTTTATGTGCCTGGTTTTACAAGTAGACTGCCAGCTCCACGTAGGCGGGAAACGCATTCTACCCTTCCTTGCTTTCCACAGTATTTAATGTAAGCTAAATTAAATTCTGTGAAAAAGATACTCTGTATTAACATATAAGAATATGAAGTTGTATTATTTGATTAGCAGCAGAATGACCTGTAATATCTTCTAATGAAAGTAGACTTGTTTTCTGTAAATTTATCACAAGTTAGAAGTGACATTTTAATTGAAGAGTCTTTTCAGAAGTATTATTATTGTTATTTATTATTATTTCTTTTTGAGATAGAGTCTTGCTCTGTTGCCCAGGCTGGAGTACAGTGGTGCAATCTCGGCTCACTGCAACCTCCGCCTCCCGGTTCAAGCAATTCTCCTGCCTCAGCCTCCCCAGTAGCTGGGACTACAGCCATGTGCCAACATACCTGGCTAATTTTTTGTGTTTTTAGTAGAGACGGGGTTTCACTGTGTTAGCCAGGATGGTCTTGATCTCTTGACTTTGTGATCCACCCATCTTGGCCTCCCAAAGTGCTGGGATTACAGGTGTGAGCCACCGTACCCGGCCCAGAAGTATTATTATTACTTTTACATTTAGTAGAAGAAATATCATTAAATTTTAAAGAAAGTTTTCCTTGGAAGTTCATGGATGAAATGTTATTGTGCATGTAATTTAGGCTCTAATGTTGACTATTTAAGGCATATTTTTAGCTTAATTGCTGGAAAGCAATATCACAAGCTGAAATCATTTTATAATGCAGGAAGACTTAAAATTATAGTGAACATGTCATTTGGAATAATTGGCATTCTAAACAAAGTCTGAAAGAAGTCATTACAGGTATTTAAAGCAATTAGCTGATGGTTTTTAAAAGACCCATACAAGTTGAATTTATTTACTTTATACATTTAATGGCTTTAAATATATAATACTAAAATTTCTGTTCTAGTTTTTAAATAAGTAACTGAAATTCTTCTATTTTTTCTAAAAATCAAATTGCCTAGAACACTAAAATATCTATTGGTGTTCTAAATATAATGCTTACTTAGTTACCAAATTTGATGCCAGACCCACATTAAAAAGTTTTAAAGCAAATATTAATATATTCTAGTTATAATATCTAGGTGAGGTGTATCCTATAGCTTTTTCTTTATAGTTAATGCTAATTTTTAAAAACTCTTTAAAATTTTATTGTGCATAAGTTTACATTTTTAAAACATTATTTTTATTTTTAATTTACATACAATTGTACATATTTATGGGGGATGGTGTGATGTTTTGATTCATGTAAACAATGCGTAGTGATCAAATCAGGGTAATTAGTATACCTGTCACCACAAATATTTATTTTTTTGTGGTGGAAACATTCAAAATCCCCTCTTCTAGCTATTTGGAGATACACAATACCTTGTCGTTGACTATAGTCACCCTACTGTGCAATAGACTACTGTGCAATAGAACACCAGAACTTATTCTTCCTTTCTAATTGGAACTTTGTGCAAATTGACCAACCTTTTCCTATCTCCCCTGCTCTCCTACCTGCTAATGCTAATTTTCTCATTCTCAGGAAACATTATAATTAAATAAAAATTTGTCACCTCAATAGATATTTCCTTATTTATACTTACACATAAAATTAATTTTAAAAAATGTCCTAAGGATATATTTTCTTTTTTTGCTTCACGTACTTATGAGCATAATTTGATTTACAAAAGTTATGGGAAGACAAACTATTATGCTTTTGCTTGAGTTTAAATCTATATTTACTTTTATGTAAATAAATACAAAAAATTATATTCTTGACTTTCATTTCTGTCTATGATGGATTAATAGAGAGAATAATTATAATAAAAAAATTAAATAACCAAACAAAATATATAAAGCCATAGTTTTTAGACATTGGAGAACAGGAAGTACAGGAAAGTGATTTCTGAGTAAACAGAACAAATAGGGTAAGCTGTATGATTGCATTAGATTACAGGATAAAGAGAGTTTCCAGGCTTCAGCACAGGGAAAGGGAGCTCAAACAGAGCCTGGAGTCTCTCTTAACTAAGGAGACGGAATGCAGAGTTCACAAAGGCCAATGCATTTATAATGGAAAGGACAGAATACAGAAGAGAGAGCTGCCCATAAAGGAATTCTGAAGATCTGGCTCTCAAATAGCACATGGAGCTCACACAATGCCAGGAATAGTTTGTGTTTCAAAAATGTTTGCTGAGCCCCACGCTATACTAATTGCTGAGCTCTACCCTAGACTAAAAGCTGTTCTAAACCTGCCTAATAAAGCTGAAAAGCAAATTTCAAAAGTATAAAACTATTTCCAAGCAAATTAACCACTTTTTAGAACAAAGCCTAAAAACATTTAAAGGAAAAGAGTCTAGTGTACATTTCCAAGAAACTAAACTGCATCCCTGAACAATGTCCAAAAATACTTAAAAAAATACAAAGCGTCCAGTATCTAACAATGTGAAAATCACACTGTCTGGCATCTAATAAAAAATTACCAAGGCATCCAAAGAGGCAGTAAAATATGACTTAAAATGAGGGAAAAAGTTAACTACTAGAAAGAGAAATGACATTGATGACATAATTAGTAGAAAAGGACGTTAAATCAGTTATAATAATATACTTCTGTGTTGAAGAAGGTAGAAGCATAGTGAAGAGAGAAATAGAAGAAACAAATAAAACCTAAACTGACTTTCTAGAAATGAAAAAAAACAGAATGTATGAAATAAAAAGTACACTGAATGGGATTAACAAGAAATTAGGCACTACAGAAGGAAATGTAGTGACCTTGAAGACATAGTAACCAAAACTATCCTAATTGAAACACTGAGAGATAGAAGACTGAAGAAGATGAGCACAGCACTAGTAAACTGTGCTTCAGTTTCACTTGTCAATGAAGTCATACATGTGTCATAAGAATTACAGAGAGAGAGGAGAGAGATGAGAAGGGGGCAGAAAAAATATTTTATGAAATAATGGCTGAAATATTACCAAATTTGATAAAACCATGAGTCCCATAGATTTTAGATCAACAGAATTCAATCAGAAAACACATGAAACACACACACACACACACACACACACACACACACACACACTCATAAACCAGATAATTGAATTGCTTAAAACCAGGAATAAAGAGAAAATAATTACATAAGTCAAAGAAAAAAAAAGAGACATATTACATACAGAGAAACGAAGAATGACAAAGAAAGAATATAGCCAGAAAATAATGGAGCAACAAATTTAAAGTATTGAAAGAAAAAAACCTCCATCATTGTAGAAATCTGTGCTTAGCTAAAATATGTTTAAAAGATGAAGGTGAAATAAAGGGTTTGTCAGACATTAACAAGCTGACAGAATTTATCACCAGCAGAGCAGCACTACAGGAAATGTCATAGTAATCCTTGAAGGAAAAAGAAAATGATGACAGATAAAAATTTATTTCTACTCAAACGAATGACAAGAACTAGAAGAATAAATATTTGGATAAATATAAAAGAGTTTTCTTTCTTATTTCAAAAATCTCTTTAAAGAATACTTGTTTTAAGCAAAAATGGCAACAATGTATGGTTTATAACACATGTAGAAGAAAACTGTATGACAATAGCAGTACAAAGTCCAGGATTGGGAGAAATGAAAATAAGAGTGTTATATAGAGTTCTTATGCTATGTATAAAGTAGTATAGTATTAATTTAAGGTAGAGTACAATAGCTTAAATGTATATATTATAATCCTAGAGCAAGGGCCAGCAAATCTTATAAATATTGAAAAGAATATATTATGAATACATAATGAACAATTTTATGCTAATCAATTCAACAGCTTAGATGAACAGAAAATCCTTTAATAGATAAAAACTTCTAAAGCTCAAGAATAGATTACTTGAGTAGCCCAGATCACATGGTGAATTCTACCACATAATTGGGAAAGAAATCATAACAATTCTATGCAATTTTTTTTTCCAGAAAATAGGAGAGGACACTCATTTTATGAGACCAGCATAATCCTAATGCCATTAAATCAAAAACATTGTAAGAAAGCTAGAGATCAATATTCCTCATGGACATAAATGCAAGAATTAATTTAAAAACTAGTAATTTGAATTGAGCAATGTTATAAAAGGATAATACATTATGTCCAAGTGGTGCTTATCCCAGGAATGCAAGGTTGGTTTCACAGTCAATGTAATTTACAATATTAACAGACAAAAAGAAAAAAAGTATGAACGTCTTAAAAAGATGTGGAAAAACATTTGACAAAAATCAACATTCTTTTCAAATAAAAATTATTAAAATCTAGGAATATAAGAGAATTTTCTCAACTTGATAAAAGGCATCTATTAAAAACTTCCAGCTAACATTGTACTTGATAAAAGGCTGAATGATTTCCTCTCAATATTGGTAACATGGCAAAAGTGTCTACTCTCACTACTTCTCCTTAACGTTGTAGTAGAGGTCATAGTCAGTGAAATAGGCAAGGAAGAGAAATAGAAGTCATACAGATTGGAAAGGAAGAAATAAGACCATCTTTATACATAGACAGCATGATAATTTATGTAGAAAATCCTGAGGAATCTGTAAAAGGTTACTAGAAGTAATATGTAAAGTTGGCAAAGTGTTAGGATACTAGGTAAACAAAATCGGTTGACTTATTTCACTTAGCATAATTTCCTAAGGCTCATCCATGTTGCATATTGCAGGATTTCCTTCTCTTTTAAGGCTGAATGGCATTACTGTGTATATATATATATATATATATATATATATATATATATATATATATATGTTATGTTTTAAAAATCCATTCAACTGTTGGTGGATATTTAGGTTGTTTCTTCATATTGGCTTTGTGAATAGTCCTGCAATGAATATGAGAATACTAATATCTCTCTGAGATCTTGATTTCAATTCTTTTGGGTAAATACCAAGAAATGAGATAGCTGGATATTATGGTAGCTCTATTTTTAAGGCTTAAAGAAGCCTTCATACTGTTTTCCCTAATGGCTGCACCAGTTTTCATTTCCACCTACAGTGCACCAGTTTCTCCACATCCTTGCCAACAATTGCTGTCTTTTGTTTCTTGATAGTAGTCATCCTAAAAAGTGTGAGATGATATCTCATAATAGTTTTGATTTGGATTTAGCTTTTGTTGAGTACCTTTTCACGTAGCTGTTGGCTATTTGTATGCCTTCTTTGGAGAAATGTCTCTTCAAGTCCTTAGCTCATTTATTTAATTGGGCCATTAGTTTATTTTTTGCTATTGAGTTGTAGGAGGTCCTTATATGTTTTAGAAATGAAACCCTTATTATACATATTGTTTGTAAATAATTTCTCACATCTGTTGGCTTCCTTTTTGCTCTCTGTTTTAAAATTTTTATTTAATTATTTATTTTGAGACTGAGTTATGAGACTTGCTAAGTTTTGCATTTTTAACAGCGATGAGGTTTCACCATGTTTCCAAGGCTGGTCTTGAACTCCTGGGGTCAAGGCATCTACCCACCTTGGCCTCCCAAATTGCTGAGATTACAGGCATGAGCCATCACCCCCAGCCCCTTTTTGCTCTTTTGATTGTTTCTTTTGCTGTGCAGAAGCTTTTTAGTTTGATGTAGTTTGTTTATTTTTGCTTTTGGTGTAATATTCGTAAAATAATTGACAGACCAATGTCATGTGAAATAAATCAGTCACAGAAGGACAAGTTGTTCATGATTTCACTTGTATGAACTATCTAAAATAGTCAAATTCATAGAAGTAAGGAATAAAATGGTGATTGCCAGGGCTTAGAGGAAGGGAGAAATGGTGAGTCATTAATCAATAGGCCCAAAATTTTGGTGACACAAGATGAATGAGTTCTAAAGATCTGATGGGCAACATTATGCATATAGATAATAATATTGTATGGTGCACTTAAAAATCTATTAAGAGGGTAGATCTCATGTTAAGTGTTCTTACCATAGAAAATTATAAAAGCATGTCTGGGAAACACTAAAAAAAACTTCAACCCAAACCAAATGAAACAAAAATCCAAAAAAAAAATGACAGATGGCCAGTGGGTGAATAAAAACCCCAGCATCCTAACCCATCAGGTGGAATAATTCTGAAGTGTGTTCCACACTGTCCCTGAGTTCTCAGATGGTATTGAGACGTTTTTGTCCATAGGAATAATCTCCCTGATAACTCACCATATATATGTTTCCTTCCCTGCCCTGTCTCACTTCCCACTCCTCCTTTGGTCCTATTGAGCACAATAAACTATTTGTACTTGTTGGGGCTCAGGACATACCACCCCAAAATATGAATGTGAGTAACCAGAACATGCCACCCCAAAATACACATCTTTAGCATATTTCGCACAGGTTATTTTGAGAAACTGCAGATACAGGAGTAACTCCTAAAAGCTTCCCTTTTATAAAGAAAATTTGCAACTATAAAGTAAATCTGCATTAGTAAAGATATCTGCATTAGTAAAGATATCTGCATCAGGAAGAGGGCTGCTCCAAGACAACTTTTCTTATCTGAGAGACTTTTTATCTGTATAATAAGACAGATTTTATTCACTATACATTTTCTCCCCTCAGCTTCCCATAACTTGTTTCTACCATTCTCCATAGACCCCAAGCCTTTATTCTTTGCTGAAATTCAGGATGCTATATAAGCTTTAATTATCTGAGCTTCTTTGGGTTTCATATTTTGTGGGATTTCCATGTGTATGCATGTAATTAAAATGGTTTTTCTCCTATCAACCTGTCTTATGTTGATTTATCTTTATTGTATTTATTTTTAAAAATTTATTTTCAATTATCATGTAATAATTGTACATATTTATGGGATACAGAGTAATATTTTGTTACATGTATACAATGTGATTATAATCAGAGTAATTACCATATACATCACCTCAAAGTTTTATTATTTCTTTCTATTGGGACCATTGAAAATCCTCTCTTCTGGCTATTGGAGAATATATAATCAGTTATTATTAACTGTAGTCACCCTACAGTGCTATAGAACACTATAACTTATTCCTCCTATTTAGCCATAACTTTATATCCATTAATCAGACTCTCCTTGTTCTCCCTTCCCCTCTACCCTTCATATTCTCTAATAACCACAATTCTCTTTTCTAATTCAGAACTCAACTTTTTTAGCTCCCACATATGAATGAGACTTGGGGGAATGTTGAGGAGAAATAATTGCATTTTGCAATGTGAGAAGGACATGAAATTTGGGAGGGACCAGGGGAAGAATAATATGGTTTGGATTTGTGTCCCTGCCCAAATATCATGTCAAATTGTAATCTCCAATGTTGGAGGAGGGGTCTGGTGGAAGGTAATTAGGTCATGGATGTAAACTTCTCCCTTGCTATTCTCATAATAGTGAGTTCTCATGAGATCTGGTTGTTTAAAAGTGTGTAACACCTCTCCCTTCTCTCTTTTCCTCCTGCTCCAGTTATGTAAAATGTGCCTCCTTCCTTTTTGCCTTCTGCCATGATTCTAAGTTTCCTAAGGCCTTCCTAGCCATGCTTCCTGTACAGTCTGTGAAACCATGAGTCAATTAGCCTCTTTTTGTATTGTAATGGAATTGTATTCTTAATTTCTTTTTCAGGTAGTTTGTTATTGGTGTATAAAAACAGTAGAAATTTTTGTATGTTGATTTTTTATCCTTCAACTTTGCTGAATTCATTTATTCATTCTAAGCATTTTTTCCTGATGAGGGCTTTAGGCCTTTTTATGTATGAGATTATGTCATCCACAAAGAGAGACAATTTGACTTCCTTTTTTTGCAATTTAGATGTTATTTCTTTTCTTTTGTCTTGTTGAATTGGCTAGAACTTTCAGTACTATGTTGAATAAGATTGGTGAAAGTGGACATCCTTGTCTTTTTCCATTCCAGTTTCATTCAGTATGATGTTAGCTTTGAGTTTGTCATATATAACCTTTATAGTGTTGAGGTATGTTCCTTCTATAACTACTCTGTTTAGAATTTTTATTATGAAGGGATGTTGAATTTTATAAAATGATTTTTTTCTGCATCTATTGAGATGATCACATTTTTTTTGTTCTTCATTTTGTTGATATGATAGATTGCATTTATTGATTTGTATATGTTAAGTCATCTTTGTATCCCTGGGATAAACCCCATTTGACCATGATGTATTATCTTTCTGTTGTGCTGCTAGAGTCAGTTTGCTAACATTTTTTTTGAGAATTTTTGAGTCTGTTTTCATTAGGGCTATTGGTCTGCAGTTTTCTTTTTTGTGTGTCCTTGTCTGTTTTTGGTATTAGGATAATGCTGGCCTCATAGAATGAGTTAGAAAGAATTCCCCCTTCAACTTTTTGGAATAGTTTGAGAGGAATTTGTTTTAGTTCTTTCAAAGTTTGGTAGAATCAGTAGTAAATTTATTTGGTTGTGGGCTTTTTTTGTTTTTTAAATTGGGAGACTTTTTATCACTAATTTAATCTTGTTACTCATTATTAGTAAACTCAGATTTTCTGTATCTTCCTGGTTCAATCTTTGTAGGTTATATATGTCCAGAAATTTATCTATTTCCCCTATGTTTTTCAACTTGTTGACAGTTTTTTCATAAACATTTCTAATTATCCTTCTTATTTCTGTGGTATAAGTTGTTCTTTCCTCGTCTTTTTAATTTTTGATTTTATCTATTTGGGTCTTCTCTCTTATTTTCTTAGTTAGTGTAGCTAGTTATTTGTCAATTTTGTTTATTTTCACAAAAAACAATTTTTTCATTGATGTTTTGTATTTTTTAGTTTCAATTTAAAAATTCTGCTCTAATTTTTATTTCTTTTTTTTCTACTAATTTTGGATTTGGTTTGTTCTTGTTTTCTGGTTCTCTGAGCTACATGATTAGGTTGTTTTTTTGAAATCTATCTACTTCTTTAATATAGGCGTTTATTGCTATAAACTTCTCTCTTGGCACTGCTTTTGCTGTATCCCATAGGTTTTGGCATGTTGTGTTTTAATTTTCATTTGTTTCAAGAAATTCTTAAATTCCCTTCTTATTCATCAACTTAGTAGTCATTCAGGAGTCTGTTTTTAAATGTATATGTATTTATATGTTTCCAAAGTTTCTCTTTTTATTAATTTCTAGAATTTTTCCATTTTGGTCTGAGAAAATAATTGCTATGATTTTGATTAAAATTTTTTTTGAGACTCATTTTTAGCTCTAATGTATGGCCTTTCCAATATCCCATGTGCTGATTAGAAGAATGTGTATTCTGCAGCTGTTTGATGAAATGTCCTGTAAATGTCTATTAGATCATAATGGAGTATAGTGCAGTTTAAATTGATGTCTCTATGTTGATTTTTTGTCTATATGACTTGTTCACTGCTGGGAGTAGGATGTTGAAGTTCCCAAATTTTATTTTATTAGGCCTTATCACTCTCTCTAGCTCTGATAATATTTGCTTTGCATATCTGGCTGCTCTGGTGTTGAGTGCATATATCTTTATAATTATATCCTCTTGCTGAATTGATTTTTAAATCATTATATAATAATATTTTTGTCATTTTTTGTGTTTTTTAAATTAAATCATTTTATGATAATATTTTTGCCACTTTTTGTCTTTTTTAAATTTATTTTTTAAAGTTTTTATTTTTATGAAAAATAGAGAGGGGGTCTCACTCTGTTGCCCAGGGTGGCCTTGAACTCCTGGGCTTAAGAGATCTATCCACCTCAGCCACCCAAAATGCTAGATTACAGGCATAAGTTACCATGCCTAGCCTATTTTTATGTTATTTGACATAAGATATATTTTGTTTACCATGAGTAACACTACTTCTGCTCACCTTTGCTCTTCATTTGCATGGAATATCTGTTTGTATTTCTTTACTTTCTATTTCTGTGTCTTCACAGGTAAAGTGAGTTTCTTGTAGGCAACATATAGTTGGGTCTTGTTATTTTTTATTCATTCAGCCAGTCTATATCTTTTGATTGGGGAATTTAAGTCATTTACATTCAAGGTTATTATTGATAGGTGAGGACTTACTCCTGTAATTTTGTTGTTTTCTGGTTGTTTTGTGTATAGTCATTTCTTTATTCCTCTCTTATTGCTTATCTTTGAGGTTTGGTGGTTTTCTGTAGTGATAGTTTGATTCCTTTCCCTTTGTCATTTGTGCATTACACCTACCAGTGAGTTTTTAGTTTTGTGTGTTTCATGGTGGTAGATATCGTCTCTTCATTTCTAAATGTTACTCTTTTAGCATTTCTTCTAGGGCTGGTCTAGTGGTGATGAATTTTCTTAGTATTTGCTTGTCTGGGAAGGACTTTATTTCTTCTTTATTTCTGAAGGATAACTATGGTGGGTATAGTATTTTTGTCTGACAGCTTTTTTTTTCTTTCAGCTGTTTTGAATATATGATTTCATTCTCGACTGCCCTGTAAGGTTTCTGCTAATATAACTGCTATTAGTCTGATAGGATAACTTATGTATGACTTTACACTTTGCTATTGCTGTTTTTAGAGTTCTCTGTTTGTCTTTTGACAATTTGACTGTAATGTACAAGTTTTCTAAGTTGAATCCACAAGAGAGTCTTTGAGTTTCTTGTATCTGGATGTCTGTATCTCTCCCAACCTACTTGGGAATCTTTGAGTTTCTTGCATCTGGATGTCCATATTTCTCCCAAGATTTGGGAATTTTTCAGCTATTGTTTTATTAAACAGGTTTTTTTTTTTGCTTTTTAATAACCTTTCCTTTTGTAATTCTCATAATGTGAATATTTGTTCACTTAATGGTATTCCATATGTCCTGAAGGCTTTCTTTTCATTCTCTTTTTTCTTTTGTCTGACTGGGTTATTTCAAAAGACCTGTTTTTATGTTCGGAAGTTCTTTTTTCTGCTTGATCTAGTTTATTGTCAAAGCTCTCAATTGTATTTTTAAATTTCATTCACTGAATTTTTCAGCTACACTCTTTCTGTTTGGTTCTTTTTTTTTAAATGATGTCTACGTCTGCTGAATTTCTAGTTCAGGCTATAAAGTGTTTTTCTGATTTTGTTGCATTGCCTGCATTCTCTTGTATCTTGCTGAGTTTCCTTAAGTTTATTATTTTGAATTCCTTTTCAGGCATTTCATAAATTTTCTTTTCTTTGGGGTCTGTTATTAGATAATTATTGTGTTACTTTAGAGATAATATGTTTCTTTGATTTTTAAATGTTTCTTGTGTCCTTTTGTTGATATCTGTGTATCTGGTTGAAACAATCACTTCTACCGATTTTATGGAATAGCTTTCATAGGGAAAGATTTTTTTCTTGTAGATGTTTCCTACAGTGTCATTTGAGTAGAGTGCTTTGACATTGGTTCTGGCTGGGCAAAATAGTGTATTCTCCATATTATTTCTTCAACTGTAATCAATGTCAACAGTGTCTGTGAGTTTCTCAGTGGCCTAGGCTGTGGTTGTTTGTAAAAGCTGTGATGTAGCTTTATTGGAGATGAGGACACTGGGCAGGCAGGTCCTCAGAACCTATGGGGGAGTTTGCATGTTTATGGTGGCTTTGCTGCTGGAGGAGGTGGGGTTGCCAGTTTCAGTGTGTTCCAGGTATTCCTGTCCTCAGGCCCCTGGGAAATTGCTCATGGGCACACAGCTGTTCTGCGGCTGGATGAGGTGCGAATGCTGGTGGCAGCTGTTAACCCAGATCCTTGGGTTCTTAGCGGGGCTTGCATGGCATGTGGCTGCTTCCATTGCTGGAGAGGGCAGGGTCAGAGGCAGTAGCAGTGGGGCCCGGGCAGATGGCTCTCAGGCTATGGGGAGTCCACACATTAGCTTTCTCTGTATTGGGGGCAGCCTTCCTGATGGGCTAGACCACCTGTTCCTTGGGGTGTGGGGAGATACACAGGCTCATCTGGCATGGTCATGGCTGTACCACTGGGTTCAGCTGGTGTTGCAACCCTGCAGCCATCTGGGTGGATATTGGTGGATATCAGTGGGGTTCCAGGGACGTGGAGATGCAGGGGCTATTGGTCTCCAGAGCAGGATGCACTCCGGTGGTGGCCCTGCTTTCAAAATTGTCCTGTGTTACAGCACTCTGAATCCCGGGGAATAGAGGATTTTCAGAGGGAATTCTTCTGTAGAATAATGCAGTATTGTGGACTCCAGGTAGTTCTTTATACTCAGTTCCGTGCTTGTGAGGACTATGAGGCTCTCCTGTAGCCTGGATTGCAGGCATCCATGATGAAAGTGTGGACTTTTAGACCTACTTTTTTCTTAAAATGGGAAGACCCTATTGGCTTTGAATTGATATCATCTGGGTGCTTTGCTTACCTCTTTATAATGCCTTTCTGAGTTTCTATACCTCAGAGGGCCTTTATCACTTATTGGCTGAATTCCAGTGTTGTTCCTTAGGGGAACACCTATTCAATATGTGGCTATTTATTTGTTCTTTGGGCCCTTCTTTGTGGAGGAGGTGACTGCTGAGTGCCTACGGTCAGTCATTTTGATCTTATGTCAAGTTAATTTGTAGCCCAGCCAGGGAAACTACGAGAGTTAAGGGAATACATTTTCCCCACTTATACACTAAAAAAAAAAGTGGTCTTTTTAATCCTTAAAAATTAATTGGTAGTCTTTAGTACTGGTTCAATTAATTAGTAATTATTATATTACTTCACTATGAAATTTGTGCTTGGAAGAGTTCTAAAAATTGTGGACTCTGTCATCCTACATGTTTTGAAATAATTTTATTAGCTTGAATGGCAATAAAGGTTAAGATAATAAAATGCTAAAAAGGAATTAGAAGTTTAAATTAACTAAATAATACTCTTTACAGTATCACCAAAATATGAAATACTTAGGGATAAAGTTGACAAAAGTTGGTTAAGATCTGTGCATTAAATAGTGCAAAGCATTGCTAAGATAATTTCAAGACAAATAAATAGAAGGAAATACCAGGCTTATAGACTGGAATAGTCAATATCGTTAAAATGTTACTGATCTATATTAAAGCAACTCCAATAGAAATTCCTGCAGAATTTTTTAGTAGAAATTGATAAACTGATTCTAAAATTTATGTGGAAAGGTAATGAATCAAGATACCAAAACAATTTTGAGAAAGAAAAAAGATTTTTCATATTTGCAATATTGTGATTTATAATAGAATATATATATACACACATATATATGTGTGTGTGCGTGTGAGCATGTGTGTGTGTGTGTGTGTATATATATATATATATATACATATGTACATATATTTGGTCTTCCTCCTCATTTAAAGATATTTAGTTTCTATAATACTTGAAATCTCTAGAGTGATGAGTGTCTTTTTTAGGTGAATGAGACAACTATTGACTGGGGGCCCTTAGATAGCTTTAGGATTGGGGCTAGTTACCAGAAAAACTAAGGCAGGATTAGAGGACTGGGACTTTTACTCTCACCCCTTAATAGAGTTTAGATATTTGTCTCCTTCAAATCTCATGTTGCTATATAATCCCCAATGTTGAAGGTGGGGCCTGGTGTGAGGTTTTTGGGTCATGTGGGCAGATCCCTTAGGAATGGCTTGGTGCTATTCTCCCATTAGTGAGTAAGTTCTCACTCTTAGTTCCTGTGAGATCTGTTGTTAAAAAGAGTCTGGGACCTCCCCTATTTCTTCCTTCCTCTTTTGTCATGTGATGCTTGTCTCCATTCACCTCTGCCATGAGTAGAAGCTTCCTGAGGCCCCCTCCAAAGCAGATGTGAAGCCATGATGATTCTTGCACAGCCTGCAGAACCGTAATCAAAATAAACCTTTTCTCTTTATAAATCACGCAGTCTCAAGTATTCCTTTATAACAATACAAAACAGGGGAGCTGAAGGTTAAATTGATCAACAGTGGTCAATGATTTAATTAATCATGTTTACATAATAAAAATTTGATAAAACCCCTACAGGACTGGATTTGGAGTGCTCCTGGATACCTGAACATGTGGAGCCTCCTGGAGGGTGGCAAGCCTGGAGAGTGCATGGGAGCTCTGCACTACTTTCCATATGCCTTGTTCTATGCATGTCTTCCATTTGGCTGTTCATCTGTATCCTTTGTAAATACACTTTACCATAAACTGATAAATGTAACTAAAGCATTTCCCTGGGTTCTGTGAGTTTCTATAACAAATTAATTGAACCCAAGAAGGGGGTCTTGGGGACCCTGATGAATAGTCTGCCAATGAGAATCACAGGCCACAACCTGGGATTTGATTGGCATCTGAAGTTGGAGGCAGTATTCTGGGACTGAGTGCTCAACCTGTGGGATCTGATGCTATCTCCGGGTAAGTAGTGTCAGAATTGAACTGAATTAGAGGATACCTAGCTGGTGTTCACTGAATTGCTTGGTGTGAGGGGGAAAACACCCACATATCTGTGGTTGCAGAAGTGTTCAGTGTTGATGTGTGAAAGAATGGGGAAAACACTTTGAGTTTTCCTATTTATATGCACAGCTGACTTTTAACAAAGTTGCCAAAGTATTTCAATGGAAAAAGGATAAATTTTTCAACAAATGGTGCTAGAACTATTAGACAGCCACATGCAAACAAATAAACAAACACAAGACCTTAACTTATACTACATGTACCCATTAATTTGACATGAATCAGACCTACATATAACCTGAATGAATTATAGACCTAAACCAATAAAATTTCTAGAAGAAAACACAGGCTAAAACATTAGTGATCATGAGTTTGGCAAAGCTTTCTTAAATAAGACACAAAATGTATAACCTGTAAAAGAAATAATCAATAAAATTTGACTTCTTTAAAATTAAATAATTTGTTCTTCAAATAACACTGTTAAGATAATTTAAATGCAAACGGCAGACTTGGAGAACTACTTGTAAAACATATGTGACAAATACGTTGTGTCTAGAATATATATATCTAAAATGTTTACAATCAACTGAGTTCACAATGAAAAAATGAGCAAAATATTTGAATAGACACCTCACCAAAGAAGATACACAAATGATCAATAAGCCTGTGAAAAGATGTTTAGTATCCTTAGTCATTAAAGGAAAGTAAGTTGAAACTATAATGATATACCACTACACACCAACTAGATGATTAAAATTAAAATGTACAACTATATTAAGTATTGATAAGGATGTGAAGTAACTAGAATGCTCATACTCTGCTATAAGAATGTAAAATGGTACAAATACTTTGGAAAACATATTTGTAGTTTATTAAAAAGTTAAGTGGGCATAACTGCTGTATGCCTCAACCAATCTACTATTATTAATTGCCCAAGAGAATTGATAGTATATGTTCACATAAAATCTTGTATATGAATATTTAGAATAGCTTTGTTTGTTAAAGCTGCAAACTGCAACCAACCCTATGTCCATCAATAGGTGAAAGAATAAATAAATTGTGGTATATACATACATTGGAATACTACTTAGCAAAAAAAGTAATGAACTATTAATAAAGATATTAACATGAGTAAATTTCAAAAGATATTATGCTAGTGAAAGAAGCTGGACCAAAAAAGTACATTATGAACTGTATATTCCATTTAAGTATAATTCTAGAAAATGAAAACATATTTATACTGATATAATGCAAAAAGTCATTGCCTAAGGATGGGGACAAAGGGAGGAAGGGATTACAAATGGACACATGGAAACTTTTGAGGGTGAATGTTCATTATTTTGATTGTGGTAATGGTTTTATGGCTATATCTACAGGTTAAAGCTTCTCAAATTGTACATTTATATATGTACAGCTTATTGCATGTCAAATATATTTCAATAAACTGTAAAGAAAAAAAATAATAAACAATAACAAGGACAAAACCCTAAATAATTTACATTTTTTTGCCTAAAGTACTTTTTTTACTTGGTATTATAAAAACAATTTATATATTATATATGAATTTGCATAATAGTTGATTTTTTCATCTTGAAAATATTTTTACACGAATGGTTAAACTAGAGTTTTTCTTATTCATTATACAACATCACAATTTCTTATTCGTTATACAACATCATAATTAAATATACACCGTATGAAAATCTATGTAAGCAAAACGGATCAGTTCAAATTAGAAAGCAATCCAACCCAAAAATTCTTGATGAAACTTTTTTTTTATGAGGCAGGGTCGCACTCGGTCACCCAGGCTAGAGTGAAGTGGTGTGATCACAGCTTACTGCAGCCTCGACCTCTTAGTCTCCAGTGATTTTCCCACCTCAATCTCCCAAGCAACTGGGACTACAGGTGTGCACCACCATGCCTGCTTAAGTTTTAAAATTTTTTTTTTTTGTAGAGGCAGAGTCCCTATAAATGTTGTCCAGGCTGGCTTCAAACTTCTTGGGCTCAAGCAGTCCTCTCTCCTTGGCCTCCTAAAGTGTTGGCATTATAGGTGTAACTACCATGCCCAGCTGAAACATTTTTTCTGTCCATTTTTTTTTCTTTTTTTAGAGATGGGGGTCTCACTATGGCTCCCAGGCTAAAGTGCAGTGACTATTCACAGGCATGATCCCACTACTGATTTACATGGGCAATGTTTTTTAATGTGCTTGAATATTGTTTGATTTCACAACTGAGAATTTTGCATTTTTAAGTTCCAGCCTTCATCCCTTCCTGGAAGGAGAGGATTGAAGGCCCAGGATGGCTGGTTATGGGCAAAGTGAAGTCAGCCTGTTTTGTGCAAAGGAAACCAGTTGCTGAGGCTTTAGTATTCTGCCTCTTCAACTAAATTTTAATTGTAGATGTACAAGATCAATACTGGAAGATAACCAGCATCGGAAATGGATGGAATAACTACCAAAATAGGAAAATACCAAAAAGATAAATGAACTATGGTAATAGAAAAAATAGCTAACACTTGTTTTTCCGGAGTTTAAAAAATTTCTTCACATACATTATCTCCTTTAAAGGATACTTGTTACAGTCCTGGAAACAAAGTAGGTATGCAATAAAAGCTTGCTGAATGGAGGAATTAGAATTCTTACCAGTGTCTAGCACATGGTAGGCACTCTGTGTTTGGAGACAATTATCCATTTGTTTCTTACATTTCTGCATATCTGGTGAGCAGAGAAATTGATTCCCTTGTTATGAACTGTCTCTTCTAACATGTTTGTGTAGTAAACTGGCTTGGAAGATAGAGATAGCGTCTCCTCCAGAACAGTGGCAAGGCTTGCTTACTATCCAATATGATAAGTATATCTTCTTTAGGAGCAAAAGTCAGAAAAGTTTCCCTCCTATTATAGAAGATTTGGGACGTTATGCTGAGGATTCCTCCTCTGTAATATACTATACTACACAGCAGGTATCATTTGGCCCTCTTTGTTTTACATTATAGAAATTGAGCCTTGGGGAACAGGCATGAATGTTGATGTTCTGGCTATAGGCATTGCTCTGAGCAGTCAACTCTCCGTCTCTGATCCAGAAGTCTCATTTTTTTCTACCTGGATCCATTAGACTGTGAGAGGCTAATGTGTTAATTTGTAAGTAGGTTAAAATCTCAGATACTGCACAGTTTTTGATTCTCTATACATGCTTTTGATTCTCTATACATGATTCTCTATACATGCTATGCACTAGAGTGCATAATCTCAGGAAAGCTTAAAAATCAGAATAAGTAGCAAAATATATTAGATGAACAAAATCTAACCAAAAGTACGACTTCCCCAACTGTGCAGAACAAAGTTACTATCTTACCTCTTTCTGAGGAAAAATAGAAACCATCTTGCAGTTGGGAAGAATAAGAGAAGTGAAAAAGCCTAATTGATGGTGAGGTAAAAGGCCAAAGCAATTGCAGAAATGAGAAGAAAACATAAACATTGGAAGACAATAGAATCCACACATATGAGAAGTTAAACATAATCTTAAGGAGAAGTTGATTCAGGAAGATTTCAAAGAAATATTGTGCCATTATGCTGGTATTGCTTCTTCATCAATCTCTGGAAGGATTCACAAAATACTACAGAGAGTGGTTGTTTCTGAGAAGGAGAATCGGGTGGGAGACAGAGCGCTACTTTGAGTATTTTAAATTTTGTACCATCTGCAGCTAGATTTATTTTAAAAACATATACATATATATATAATTTTAAAAACCTTTAAATGACTTTTAAAGTAAAAAAACACTAATTTTTTTAGATTAAAAAACTTATATAACAAGGATATAACTGTTTAAAAGATTTACTAAGGACATTTCTTTCCAGGGTTGCTGGCAGTTTGGTTTTATGGAGGTAAAGACATCTTTACCTCTGAAACTGACTACTTTTGTTAAAAAAATTCTCCAGAATAGGCTCTTTCATTCCAGGTATGTAAGATAAGTAAATACCCACCCAAAGCCCTTGGATAAAAGTATGAGGTTACTTTGAATCAAAATGGATGCATTGTGTTCTGTTTAATAATGTCAATTAGGTATACATATTTTACTTCTAAAAGAGGAAACAGAGGTAGTTTTCCTCAAAGATATTCAATAGGGACTATTAGTGCCCTGTACTGGGTTTGTTTAAGATTGAATGATTAAGAATTTGAGATGGTCTTGTCAGGGCTATAGTGCTTGCTTGTAGTTGTGCCTTTGGGAAGTCAAAGGGGTATAGTTCAGCCAGGTTTAGAGCAATTCATAAGGAAGGCTGGTTTGGGGCACAGAATGTATCTCTTGCTTGAGTTCCCTGGCCCAGCACCAGGAGAAGAACTGTCATAGCAAATTGGTCTGGATGGCTCTGATGGCCATTGGCAGAAACCAAAGGGGTGGTTGGCTGTCTGAGGAGGCTCAGACAGTAGTCATTAGAAATTAACATTTTAGATTAATTAAACTATGCTGGAGGTCCTTGGGAATATCTCCAGGGAAGAGCCATGAGAAAAAGACGGCATCTTTTTGCAACTGTAGAAAGGGGCTTGGAATTACAGTGATAGCGATAAACTTTTTTGGTACTCTACAATGTTAAAATTGAACATTATGATTATTTGTTTAAGCATGTTTAGATTTGTTTAAACATTCTCATCCTTTAGTAATTTAACCACTTAAGACATTGATAAAGTCAGGACTCCAGCTTGAATCTAAGTAGGATTTGGACATGGCTAGAGTAAAAGTGTGGGTTGGGCTAACAGATGTCTATTTGCAGGGGAGGCTTGAGGAATATATGGGGAGAATGGGCCAGGTTTGCTGAAAACAAACAGTCTTTAGTGAAAAAGACTTAGTCATCAGTAAGGATGGCATACTCACAATAGAGTGTAGTTGTTATTGGACTTCTGTTTGAGTCCCACATCATTCAGGAAAGCTATAGAAAACAGGAAGAACTGTTTCAGGGAAAGTTTGTAAAACATTGAGGACCCCCCAGGAATGCTTTGGAATCCTGCAAACAAAAGCAAACACTAAGAAGCGAGTTATATCTTTTGCTTTGCTATAGACCCTTGCATAGGTTAAGTCTCTGAGAAAGCCAGACAGTTCTACTGTAAGCATCACCAACATGATAAATTGAGTGCAGAGCTTCCTTCCTCAAGATGCTCACTTCCAAATTGAAGTCTCATTGAGTACATCTTATTGGTAGAGCCTGGGTCACTTGCCTAAGTCCTAGTTGCAAGGGAGGCTGTTTCCTGAGTTCTACCTTGAGGATGAGGGACTAGTAAGCTTAAAAATCTGCCAAACAAAAAGAGAAAAGCTTGTCAGTCAGGATATCTACAAATGTCTACAACAACGTGTACCTCTGAAGTTAAGCTGCAAGTATTTGAAATTGTAGGGCAAGGAATCAGAGCGCTAGCATTGGAAGTGGTTGGCTTGTGGGTCATAGGGTAGTAAGAATTTACCAACACCAGTATAAGTTTGAAAAGGAAAGTTTTATTAGATAGAAAAAACATTGCTGAAGAGTGCAGCGGGGTGTCTCAGCAAGAGAGGACTGAACACAATGGAGTGGATTTTTCTTAGGAACATTTATGGACCTTAAAATAGGAGCTTAAGGGTCATTTGGACCATATTAGCCACATAGGTCATGATAAATGATTACATTTGTAGATATTTTTGTGCCTTAATGTCAGCAAGGACTGCACAATGAGTTTCAACATGCATGCATTCTGGAGATAAATAGAAATTCTAGTTGTTTTGGGGAAAGAAGCCTGGTACCAGATGCTGGCTTTAGATAATAAGGAAGTCTAATTACTTCTAAATTCCCCAGGTAAGGAGTTTTGCTTCTGGATGGCCTGCTTGATGGTCACCAGGTGATCATTTCTCTCCTCAGAAGTTCCTATTTTAATATGAAAATATAAATAGTTTTGAAAATGTCTTAGCTATATCTACCTGTTACTTTTATTGTGGGTAATCACCTAGAACAGGGGTCTTAAATCTAAGCAGGATCCAGATATTTCTAGTGTTACTGTGTAGGGGAGGAAAAATAATTTTCCCTCTATCCTCCATAGTTCTTAGTTGAGACAGATCCCTGCAATAAAAAATAAATTAACAAGAGAAAAACAAGCAAAATTTAAAAACATGTTGTCTTATTCTGTTTGGGCTAATACAACAAAAATACCTTAGACTGGGCAATTTATAAACAACAGAAATTTATTTCTCACAATTCTGGAGGCTGGGAATCCCAAGATCAAGGCCTCAGCAGATTTGGTGAAGGCCTGTTTCTTGTAGATGGTCCTTTTTCTGTGTACTCACATGGTGGAAGGGGTGAATACTGTGTCCTCCTTTCAATCTCTTTTGCAAGGAAACTAATGTCATTCATCAGGGCCCACTGCTTAATGCCCATCACAATGCAGATTAGGTTTCAAGATGAGTTTGGTAGGAACATAAACATTCAGACCATAGCACATGCACACATCCTATATGCATGAGACATCACTCAGAGAAAGGAGTGAATATCTGAAGTAGATCTCAAAGGGGTGGTTTAAACTTCAGGCTTAAATACCATCATTCTCTGAAACAAAGAAAGAAGGATGGAAAGGTCTGGTTAAGATGAGAAGGCTGGGAAAGGACCTTAAACAAAGCTAAGGGTTGCTATGCAGATTTGAGTCAATGCTTTCTCCATTGATTAAGAGTTCTAGTGATTTAGTCATCATTTTCTTCTGCTACAGAGAGGGAGATAACTTTACAAATGGAGATTTCTATTAAATGTAAATTTCTTTACAAAAGGGCAACTTTTCAGAGCTGTTCCTGTGTCTGCACTTCCTCAAAGTAACCAACTCAAAATAATCCTTATGCCAGAAAGCCATATTTTGGGATGGCATATTCTGATCTCCTAGTCATATTTTGGGATGGCATGTCCCCCTTATGTAGAAAATGGTGGATTAACATTGAGGAAAGTGAAGCTGACAAGCATAAGCACTAAGAACCCTCAAGAGAGAGGAATTCATTCTTAGGTTTTAAGTTGCCCCTTAGAAAGGGTAATTTTAATATGTTCATGTTATTTAAATTCATCTCCCAGGCTAGCCCTCCTTGGACTCTTATGTGGTGCAAGACAGAAATGGAAAATGTTTTTTACTTTGTTAAAAGAAAAACTCTAGAAACATTAAATTTAACAGAATTTGAGCAAAGACTGATTCATCAATCAGGCAGCTTCCAGAACCAGAATAGGTTCAGAGCAATTCCAAGGCTGCCATGTGACCAGATAACATTTATGGATAGAAAAAAGGAAGTGACAAACAGAAAACAGAAGTGAGATACAGAAACAGCTGGATTGGTTACAGCTGGGTCTTTGCCTTACTAGAACCTGCTGTGATTGGCTGAGACTCAGCTACTTGTTACAGGAATCGGTTACAGTCTGTTTACACATCAAATTACATTACAGTTCATTACGGGGAAACCTTTAGGCTGAACCTAAATATGTAAACCTTTAGACTGAACTTAAATTTGTAAATATGAACTTAAATAAATATGTAAATTTCTAAGGAGTAGGTTACAGTCTGTTTACACATCAAGTTAGGTTATAGTTCATTACGTATGGAATAACCTTTAGGCTGAACTTAAATATGTAAGGAGGCAGCTTTAGGTCAAACTTAGTTTAACAACTTAAATCTCTTGAAGACATCAAGTGAATAAGAAGTTTACACTCAGGCTCCTCCAAGAAGGCCTAAAACAAGGCGGAAAAGTACATTTCCGGCTTCACAATGCACCATCATCCTCTACCGCTGAAAGAGCACAGATGGTGTCAGGAAAGATTCAGGGGAGGCTGAGATGCAGTAGCATGCAGGGCCCATGTGGTCACCTGGCAAGAAGCCACCAGGAATCCTAGACATAATGGAGGGTGGATCTTAGAACATGGATATAAAAGCAAGGAAAAATTTAAAAAATTGCTTGTAAGGTGACCTAGAACCTGGGAGAAAAAGCAGTTTATACATGTATTTTATTTTCGATCTATCATTATATTCTTGGGATTAGTTTGCTGCTAAATAGGACTATTTCCAGATACATGAAGTCACTACTCAGATTGAATTCAGATAACTACAAAAGGTTTTTATTGTAAATGGCACCTTACCATGTATTTAAAGTAAACACTTAGATATTAATGTATATTAGTGATGGATGCATATTAGCAAATATTAATTGGTTTTATAGAGGAGAAGTATACATATGTAAGACTTAAAGTGAATATATGATATAAAAAGAACTATTTTTAGTGATTAAATTGAATTGCTGGCATATTGCAATATTTCAAAGGTCCCTGGTGGGAGATTTGCTTATATTCTGGAACTTTACTTTATTGAAAAAAAACTCCTCAATGTTATAAAACTTGACTATTTTCAGGAAGAAAAAGCATTTTCAAATATAAGTTGTTCAAGGAACATTAGGTCTCTTATTGCTTGAATCAATGGGGAAAAAGCTAAATGATTTTTGAAAAAGGTTTGAAGCAACCAAAAAGATAATCTTTCTTTTCTTCTGGCAGTCAACTTAAATGATGAACAAGTATAGTGAAATGCCTAGTTGTTAAATTTTGACTTTATTTACACATTAAATTACAAAAATAGAAGGAAGCTCTGTGCCATTTAAATTTTGCAATGTGAGGTTTGTAACTTCACCAGAGCTGAAAACAAATGAATATTTTTGCAATAAGATTTTCAATAAGAGAGAGGATGAAACAAAAACTTCACAGCAATTAAAATCTTATAAAGAATAAAATTAATTTCAAACTGCTTGGAACTTTCAGAGCTCCATGTTACCAATGTAACTTTAATTTTTAAATAGGTAAGTTTAAGGAAAAAATTATATTCTTAAAAACAAAAGGCTCTGAAAGAGCAAGATTTTCTGTTTTAAGGGAAGCTTTGTCCTTTAATTCCTTTATTTATTGTGTTTGATCAAAGTAGTCAGGGTCAAGTGTGCAGACCTGTTACATGAGATACACATCTGGGGAGTAAAGGTCAGTGAGAGATAAAGTGAGTTAAGCAGAGGCTTTCTGGACTGAAGCCCAACAGGACTGATTTACTTGGAAAGAATGTAAGCTGACAAGCTCCTTCAATTCAGGGTCAGGAACATGATCTAGTTGGTGATGCAGCTGTTTTATGAAAGGAGCTTTATTCTGGGCCTTCATTGTTATCCTCCTGATAAATTATTTTGAGTATAAATGCTTTCTTGAAGAGCACAAAACATTTTATGAAGTAATTTTGGAGGATATGTATATTATACATATGTATATATATATATATATGAATGATATTCTAGTACTAATAATTTGAATGTAACCTTGACACACTTCATTTTCTCAATTTTAATACATGAAATGACTTCTTTATAGATCAATGTGATGGCCATTGAAGAAAAGGTAGTATTTAGAGGCTGCATTAGTGCAAGAATACTGATTTTCAGGTTAAGATGCCCAGCTATATGGATAGTGCAGTTTAGTGCAAAATAAATCAGAAGTCAGAGGCACAGCTCAGGGTTGAATTTTATTCCAGAGTTCCTGATCTATATCGCCCAGCAGGGATGATAAATTAGGGCAGCTGCAACTGGTTCCATGTTTTCTGGGATCTTGAATGACTGGAAACCTGGCGGTATTCAAAGAAGCATCTGTTTTTTATTTTTTTATTTTTTTGGGGATGGAGTTTCGCTCTTGTTGCCCAGGGTGGAGTACAATGGTGTGATCTCCACTCACCGCAACCTCCGCCTCCTGGGTTCAAGCGATTCTCCTGCCTCAGCCTTCTCGAGTAGCTGGGATTACAGGAATGCACCATCATGCCCGGCTAATTTTTGTAGTTTTAGTAGAGACAGAGTTTCTCCATGTTGCTCAGGCTGGTCTTGAACTTCCGACCTCAGGTGATCCACCCTCCTCGGCCTCCCAAAGTGTTGGGATTACAGGTGTGAGCCACCGCGCCTGGCCAGAAGCATCTCTTTGTTTAAATCACTTACCTGACTACACACACCCTTTCATCAAGCAAAGTGAGTAAGAGTGTTTCACACCTTTATGCCTCCATTAGATTGTGCCTTGTAACATGATTTCTTCAGTGTGGCTTCCCTTGATTTTTAAAAACTGAACGTTTTTCAAAAAAACTTTGTGTTGTATTTAGTATAAATACTCTCTTTTTAAATTTATTTTATATATGTTTTTTGAGATGGAGTCTTGCTCTCGCCCAGGCTGGAATGCAGTGGCCCGATCTGGGCTCACTGCAAGCTCCGCCTCCCGGGTTCACGCCATTCTCCTGCCTCAGCCTCCTGAGCAGCTGGGACTACAGGTGCCCGCCACCATGCCCAGCTAATTTTTTGTATTTTTAGTAGAGACGGGGTTTCACCTTATTAGCCAGGATGGTCTCGATCTCCTGACCTCGTGATCTGCCCACCTTGGCCTCCCAAGGTGCTGGGGATTGCAGGCGTGAGCCACCGCACCCGGCCAATACTCTTTGTCTTACTCTGGGATATGTCCTCTTTCATCCTTTTGATATTTAAGAAATGTTTTCCCTGACACAGATTGTATTATTTGTCAATCATTCTTTTTCTCCCACACTTGCTGTGGTTCACTGTGGGTATAATATTGATCTTGGAATTGACCACGTGTCTTGCTTGGGCTAATGGAATATGGAAAAAAATGACTATACAAATTCTAATCTGAAGAGACATTGTATATTCTCTCACCCTCTTGCATTCTGCCATCTGCTACAAGTTGAATAGGCACTGGAAGCTTCTAGTTCCAATATGACAGACATATAGCACAGAAATAAACCTGATTTACAACTTGAAGTAGAACTACCTGTCCAACTTATAAACTTTTGGAAAATAAAGGAATGCTTTTTGTTACAAACCACGAGATTTTTAGACATGTTTGTTATGTAGCAATATCAGAGCAGAATCTAACTTATACATCCTCAACTTTTAATTCTTCAAAATCAGAAATCTATAAAACCATGAAAGAAGAGTAGAATGAATATCTATATGATCTTCACTTAAATTCATCCAATGTTAACATTGTGTCATTTTTATCCCATCTGTCTTTCTTTTATTTTTGGGAGACCATTGAAAAATTTTAGGCATCTGATACTTTCATAAATACTTTAGTTTATAGAATGTCTAAGACTAATAACTGTCTTAGACAGTACAGGCTGCTGTAATAAAAATACCATACAGTGGTTGTTTAAACAACAGAAATTTATTTTTTACAGTTCCGAAGGCTGAGAAGTCTAAGATCAAGGTAATGGCCAATTTGGTTCCGGGCAAGGACCCTCTTCCTCACATGGTGGAGACAGAGAGATCATCTGTCTTGTATCTTTTCTTATAAGGGCACTAATGCCCTTATAAGGGACCTAATTACCCCTCAAAGGCACTAGCCTAATACCATTACCTTGGGAATTAGGGTTTTAACGTAAGAATTTTGGGAGGACACAAACGTTCAGTCCACAGCATAACATTCTGTCATTTCCATTAGTTCAACTTAATTTGAAATAGCGTATACATGATTAAAAATTATCTTAACTTTATCTCAAAAGAAATGCACAAAAATGATCTAAACAATGTAATCTAATACCATAGAAAAAGTGATAATAGTGTAGGGACATGGTGTATAAAAAGCAACCACAGCCGACCCATAGTGAGTTGAAACTGTCCAACAACTTCTTGGAAAACATTATTTTCAATTTTATTAAATGTAAGTAAAGATGATGATTTATAAGTGAAGCTACATATATTTTATCAGCATTACTGAGGGCTCAGGCAATGAAGTGTTTTAAGCTATCTAAGTTTAGTGGTGCATAAATCCATCCAGTGCCAACATGCTAGGGAGTGTAGAGAATTATAGGCTGGCGTGAATTCCTAATGTGACTCAACATAATGTGTGTTGCCTGCTGAACACTTTTGAATGAATTGATGAAGATTTCCATGGGCCACACTCCTTTAAACTTCATGCTCAAGGTTGTTTCTTCTACGTTAGCAATAAAGACGTGAATAAATACCCAGAAAGGAGGAAGGAAAAAAAATCACAAACAGGTGTGGTTTAAAGAGGTAAAATAGTGTAAAAGGGACTTCTGAGCTAGACTTTGGCATCAGAAAGACCTGGGTTTTTATGCTAGGTCTATCCTTCGTTTCCTAATTATCTTGGGCACATTTTTTTTTTTTTTTTTTTTTTTTTAGACAGAATTTTGCTCTTGTTGCCCATCAACAGTAAGGCGAGATCTCGGCTTACTGCAACCTCTGCCTCCCGGGTTCAAGAGATTCCCCTGCCTCAGCCTCCTGAGTAGCTGGGATTACAGGCACGCACCACCATGCCCAGCTAATTTTCTGTATTTTTAGTAGAAATGGGGTTTCAACATGTTAGCCAGGCTGGTCTCGAACTCCTGACCTCGGGCGACCCACCCGCCTCGGCCTCCCAAAGTGCTGGGATTACAGGCTTGAGCCACTACGCCCAGCAATAGGCAAATTTTTAAACTTCTCTGTGCTTGGTTTTCTCATCTATAAATTGGGAATAATAATGTCTACCTCAGTAGGTTTCATTGACTAGTAAATTATTAATCAAATACAATTATTTATGTGTTCATATTTACAGCATCCTCTGTAACTTTCCTGCTCCACAATAGACATGTGCCTTTGCTCATTTAGCTTGTCTTCCTTTCCCCATCTCTAAAAGACAGAGGCTTTTCAGGCTGATTCGATAATAACAGAGGAAAAAATAAGAGAAAAACCAGAGTCAGAGCAGCATGCTGCTGATCACACCCCTGCAGGAGGCAACATTAATTAGGGGGACAGAACTCATTGGGAGGATGATCACAGGGGTGGGATGTAACTGGGGGGTGAAAGAAGACTCTTCTGGGGCACAGCTTACTTGGGAGGGAAGCACTGTGTCCATGAGCCCTCATATATTTTAGTAGATATATGTCTGGACTGGAATCTGGGTTTAGTTGCAAACCACCCCAGGTTCTGGACTATGAAAGTTATAGTTCAACAGGAAACATGCGTACAGCTCTTAATACAGTGTCTTGCACATGGAAGTGGTTGGTAGCTAAGCATTTGAGTACATTTTTAGAGACAGTAGGCATCTTAGGGCCACCTAGTCCAGTGGTTCTCCAGCTTTAACTGTGAAAACCACTGAAGGTGCTTGTATAAATCATGGCTTCTGGCTCCCATATCCATGGATTCTGGTTCTAGTCTGAGGTGAGACAGAAGCTGCCACTTTCTTTATTTTTATTTGTTTCTTGCCTTATTCTTAATAAACACTTCTATGATTCTGATTCAGGTGGTCTATGAACTATAGCTTGAGCCTAGATTCAGATGTTTCTATTTGTTAGTCCCCCTTCCTGGAGCTATTCTAGAGAAACTAACTCTCTTTTGCACGCACAATAAGGAATACACAAGGATAGTTACTCCAACATTTTTAGAGGTTAAAAATTGGAAACAGTTTAACTAGCCCTCAATTGATAGACAGCTAACAAAAGTGTAGTACATTCTTATAATGCAATGCTATGCAACAATTAAAAGAGACTAAGGGAGATGTGTATTTTCTGATGTGGAAAAGTCTCTAAGACATATTGCTTCGCTAAAGCAAGTTACAGAACAAGATGTACAATGTGGAACTATTTATTAAACACAGAGTGAACAATACTACCTATTTTAATGGGTATGTATATATACACACATATGGACATATGATATAAATGCTTAAAAGGGTTTGAAAGGGTTGATACACAATAACTGTGTTCATCTTAAGACAGCAGAAGCAGGAGATAGCAATTGAGGTGTTCTTTGTAATGTTCTATATGTTTACAGGAAAAATGTATTTATATATTACTTGTGTAATTAAAAAAATCTATGAATAAAGACCTAGCTCAACTCCTTCATTTTATTAAGATAAGGAAACTGATATTTGTCTGCCAAGGGTCTCGGACAGTTTGGTAAACTCATAGATACACCTCGTGTGCTCGATTGCTTATAACTGCTTGTAGCCAGTGCAGTAGCTTTCTTCATCATGCTCAGTTGAGCTAATTAGGCATTTTAGATGAGGTTGCAGTACCCATAGCCATATCCTCAGCATCAGGAGGAGGCAGTGACTGTTAAGAAAAGGCCAGCTGGGGCTGGACAGGGATATGCTAGGTAGTGGCTTGATTAAACTTGAACTTGTCAGTGTCTAACAGTGGTCAGTTCCCCAGAGGAGAACTAAAATGAGGAGGAGATAGATAGCTTCCAGAATGCCCATCAATTTGCAGTGAGAAGTATAACTGCATGGGCTGCTGTCATTACATCAGCCTGACCACAACATTCTATCGAAGTGAACAGCTAAGGAGAAAGCCAAGTGGTAAATAGAAATCTACTTTGTAACTTAGATGGCCAATCACTATATCAAATTATTTAAAGTCTTATGATCAACACCTTCTCTCAGAGGGAAGAATCAGAGAGCACTTGGTGAGTGTGGAATCTGAAGGAGAGGATTTACATTAATCAAAATATTTAATGGCATCTGGCTAAATTAATTAGCTGCATCCAGCTCATCATGGAAATCAACTTACTAATGGGAGTGAAATATTTAAGTCAGGTCATTGGCTTATGTTCCTTGGGACTGTCTGACTGGATGGTAATTCTGTTTATGCCATACACCCTCCTTTCTCTATGTTTTGATAGTTGTATATTATATATGTTAATATATTAAATCATATCACCATTTTTCTGCTCCAGGATTTAATTTGGTTATCTTTGTATCTCTGCTCTGATCCTCTTTGTGTTACTCTTACAGTTCAATGCCCGTTGCCATCTCTGGGTCTCCAAAATTGGGGTGCTTTTATCCCTCTGATTTCCTCTACCTAGATGATTCCTTTGTAATTCAGATTGTAGCAGCTTAAAGGTCAGCTTGTTAGAACAGCCTTCCCCAGCACCCAATCTAAAAAAGCCACTCATTCATTCTCTATTACTTTATTTTAGTTTGTACGTGATACTTATTAGCTTTTAATATCTGATATTTACTGCTTATATGTGTGTGTTTTAATTTTTGGTTGTATTTCCCACCAGGATATGACCTTCATGAAAGCAGATCCTTGTCAATCTTTCTCCTCTGCTCTTTGCTCAGTACCTAGAACAGAATGCGGCACTTCGCAGGTTCTCATGAAAGCTGTTGAATGAATCAGTCAAGAAGCCCATAGCACTTTTGTAATTTACAAGTTTTTACATTGTAGCCCCCAGTGAAGACAAAGATATCTTTTTAGAAGTAAATCTGGCCAAGAATCTATATATCTTTGTCAATTTTCAATGGGTGGCAGCTAATTCAGTAAAAGGGAGGCTGTGAGTGGAGGAGAGGAGTGTGTGGTTCAGAAATGCCACCTAAGTGTCTATTCTGCTGCAGTGAGGGCTTACTCAACAATGGAAGCAGATGCTTCTGAATGCCTACATGCTGTCCAGATCACAGATTACAGTGGACACACTTCAGAAAACTATAGTATTTACTAAACAGGAGAGTTGTTTGTTGCTATGGTGCCATGACCTTAATGTATTAAAATGAAAGATAGTCCTATAAACCAATGGCAATGGTGGACAAAGTCAGGCCATTGAAGAGCTAAGCCTTCAATATTCCCAAGACATTTGCATTTCATCAGATTTCAGAGCTTTTCTTTAGAGTTTGAAAAGGTTACCACTCCCCTTATCACAAGGCACTCACTTCTTATTGGGTAGGGGCAAACCTTGAAAGAAATAAAACAGACTACTGTGTAATGGTAAATGAGATTGAATTTTCCAATGTGCCACCTGGGAGAGGAATTGCTGACAAGGAAAGATCCATAAGGTAGGAGATGATTACAAACACTGATTTATTTTATCTTCCAACCCAGCTTTTGCAATAAGATCCCAGGCTGAAAAAGGTCCTGTTGACATAATTTGCCTCTAGGAAATAAGAATATGAATAGAAATGATAAAACTATGCAATTGATAAAAGGTAGTTTTTCCTTTCTGGTATTAAATCTGTTTTTGTTTGATTTTTGGAGTATGGAAGTTTGTGGCATGGAGCATAGAATCATTCTTCATTTTAAAGTTACTAAATTTGTGAATATCTGTGAGATAAGTAAAATAAATTCTAAAGAGAGAATATAACATATTGGCATTACTGAGGTAGAACTACACATTTTTGGTATTATGCAGTAATTAATATCTGTCAAGATGATGTGCAACAAACTTCTTAAAAATCAGATTTTGTTCAGATTATAACAGTGTGGTATATCTTCAGTTAAGACAATACAGGTGCATAAAAATATGGTTCCTCTCATAACAATGATCTGATAAGAGAAAAAGGTATTTTGCTTTTAAAAATGTATTATGCCTGTGCTATTTATGGAACAATTATGAATAATAATAAAAATTTAATATGCATTTAGTTTTCTGTGATAGAATTAGTGGAACATTACATTTTTACATATATTTTATTTTCATTTTATCTTCACTCCCTCCTGTAAAGGATTTATAATTCATGAATAAAAATTAACTGCTGGCTTAAACGTGACTTGTGGGTTTTTAGGAAAGAAACTGATGTTTATATATTATGTTCTGTCTATCAGTATTCAGGGAAAATCTGTGTTGCTATCTATTTAGATGCTAAAAGCTATTTGCATTTTGAAATTTCATAAAGAACTCTGTCATTTATTTTTCATTTTGAAAAGCCAGTTTTTCTAGTAATATATCTGCACTAAAAGAAAAAAGAAGAAAATGCTATGCTTCTATGATAATGAAGTCAGACAAGTCATTAAACAGGAGAATTTCATCTAAAGATCCTTCTAAGAAACAATGCTTCTCCTGAAATTCACATTTTATCAATTCCTATTCTCTTCTTTCCCCTTAAATTCATTGGCAAAAACCCAAAATAAAACTAAGGTATAATTTTGAATCTTTAAAACAATTAACTAGAGATATACAAGGTATCAAAGAAGATATTTAATTAAAACATGACATCCTTTGTCCCATTTCCTTTATTCTTGAGTAAAGACTAGACAGTTGGCTGCTTTTTTCAATTTCTGGGATTTATGAGATATTAAGCAAGAGTCCATATTAGAAAAGAAACTTTATTTTCATTTATGTGATACCTGCTGTAGTAATATGACATTTACTATAATTTAGTCCTACTGGTAGCTTATAAGATTTGAAATCTCAGTGCTTTGCATAACCTCCTTCCAAGTGTTTTAATTGACATTCTGCTATGATGAACCCCACACACCATTACCTGGCTAATTGCTTGAGTTACAGTGCTTATACAATGTCATTCTTTGTCCTTGGTCTTTTGGGGTATTAAATAGCAAGGCTGTCCTGAGAGAGGAAGTTACTGCTGTGTTTTCATGTGATGCATTAACCTCTTGGTAGCTTTGTCAGGGACAGACTCCCTTCTGTTCTTCTCTGGGCTGATCCCAAACCTGATGCTTATCAGAGCTATCTTATTCTCAACTTTCTAGGGGAGCCCTTGACTTCTAAAGGGTCTTCCAGAGCCACCGCCACAGGCAGAGTTTTCCATGAGCTGACTCTGAAGCCATGGAATGGGCTCTGGACCAAGTGACAAAATGAGAATGTAATGATATTTAAATCTTCAGCACTGACTATGATTAGACAGGATTTGTTAGGAAAAGAATCTTAATACATTAGAAGTAGAAAAGGGTTTAGAGCTGGCTCTTCTAGTCTGAATTCATTGTTTTTAATGGAAGGACACTACTTTTCTCCTGATAAAGGGACTTACCCTAGCCTCAGGCAGCTGTTAGTGACCCAGGATCAGGGCTCCCTTTTATGAGCCCAGATCCAAGATTATGTCTTGAAGTCTGATGCCAAATTGTGGAGTTTGAGCAAAGCAGGAGAGTGCTAGGGTCACCATGCCAACACACCCCAAAAAACTGCCATGTAGCCGATAATCCTCTCATGTTTTCTACCACAGGTCAGTGACGATGGCTTTGTGAATAGTGAAGGGTAATTAGGGGGTTCTCGAGGACTTTTTGAGAACTAGAGACAGAGTAAGAACCAACTCTGGTACCTATTATTTAGATTGTCCCTAAATTGACTTTTCTTGGAAACTTCTGATTAAAATGTAACGGGGCCTGCTCTTCCCTTGATCCATGATTCTAAATGGCTCTGAAACTAGTTCATATTCCAATGGACAACATAAAAATGGATATCTTTTGGGATATGTAATGTCTGTTGACATCTTCAAACTTCTGATTCTTCTGATGTTTGTTTATAAGAATATCTGAGCCCTGGAATAGGTTTAGAACTCTCTGGATTGAAAATAAAAAGATCTTAAACATTGTAGAAATGAAAGACATATGGGAGTTGGGTAATTGAAAATAGTTTAATAATAAAGCATTTATTTAATGCCATATCTTTAGTAGTTATATTTCATATTCGAGTGCCTTACATGCGAGCATTCAAGTAAGCTGATAAAAGAATCAACACAGGCTTTCAACACTGAGAAGCCAGGTTATCAACCGAAAGTAAGCTGTTAGTAATGAAAATTCCGTATCTATCACCTTATCTGAAAAACATCTTTCGCTTCAAAGACAAATTCCTTTTCTTTAAAGCCCACTCATCTGTTAGATTCTGTATCCTGATGCTTCCTCAGAACCTCCCCTTTAGGACAGCTCTGGTTAATTTTGGATAGACTGGATGGAGCAGGAATGAGCTAGCTCCCATTTATTTTACACAATAATTCCCTCCTGAGAAATACCCTACAACAGGCATTCGGCTTGGTCTCCAAAAAGGTGAAGAGCTTTGCTTACTTATTTTAATGGATATATAAATTCTTCATATCAAAGAAGCAGAAAAGTCTCAGTGAAATTTTACTTCATGGAGAGTTTCTAACATGGAACTGGTTTGACTCCATCATGGGTTTTTGTTAACATGCCAAAATTTAACAAAAATGTATTATGGACATATATAAGTTTTAAATTCAGGAGTGCAATAACAACTTTGATAGATTATTAACTGCTGCCAGGACCAGTTTATTAACTGGTAAGTGAACAAATCCATTAACATGTCTGGACCCCATTGCTTTATCTTTTAAACCATTAACGAACTTTATTTTTTAAAGCAGTTTTAGGTTTACTAAAAAATTAAGCAGAAAGAACAGAGAGTTCCCATATACCACCCTCCCTCACTCTTCACACCCAACTCCCCATTGCTTTTTTAATCAGTGGAATATATCAGCCTGCAAAATTTAATTCAGGCTCGTTATCCAGCCACACACCCACAGATGCACACTGTCCCTTTCCCTCACCTCCTTTAGTTCTCTTTTTTCCTAAAATAAGAAAACTACTATAGCGGATATACTCAGAATCACTGTGAGGGAAATAAAAATGGTGAAACTAAGGAGTAATAATTTTCTT
Source organism: Homo sapiens (assembly GCF_000001405.40). Classification (NCBI taxonomy): domain Eukaryota; kingdom Metazoa; phylum Chordata; class Mammalia; order Primates; family Hominidae; genus Homo; species Homo sapiens. Next base: position 161,486,457 of record NC_000003.12, read on the forward strand.
CTTGCCTTTGCCTAATCTGATCCTTAAAAGTTTCTTTAAAGGTTGTGGAGACATGGAGCTAGGGCTTATTGTTGTGACCAAATTTAGGCTACATTTTTACCTGTCTACTCACCCATGCAGGTGACTTAACTTTTCTACCAACTAATTGCCGAGTTATTCCTTGGTCCTGCCCTAGCTTGATTGCTCTGATAAGTGCAGTTCCTTCTCCTATGCCGTGGGTCCTGACTGTCACTTGTAACATTCTGCTTCCTGTTCTACAGCTTTGATTTAAGGCAGGATGAGAGGAGAAGAGGAGGAATTGAAAAAGTGATGGCATCCATAGAGGCAAAAAGCCTCCACATTTGCAGCTGGACTGTTTTTATGGTATATTCTGAACGAAAGCCAATCCCTTTCCATCTGAGAGAAAAATGCTGAGAATGTTTTAATTTTCTTCATACTTCTTAAATACAAGAAGCATTTAACTTGGTAGAATGTAATGTTATATTCAATGTCCTTAATAAAATTGTAATGGATTCACTTATTTAGACACTCTGGAAGAAATAGCCTTTCACTAGACAATAGAAATAATGATGCTTTTGCTGCATCTATCAACACAAAGAGATGGGCACGTCTATCAGAGCTGATTACAATCACTCTGGAATTGCTCTTAAAAAGTAAAGTGGGAAATAGAAATCTGTAGTTACAAAGTTTCTCTTTCTTCCTTTTGATGTGGCAATTTGTGAATGAACTCAAGATTTGAGCTCTAAATGACTCCCTGTCTGAGTTTACTAGAAGAAGTGGGGCAAGAGGAAATAACTTATCAGAAATTCTCCCCTAATTTATCTTCACGGCTGCATAGCGTTGAAGGTGCAATGCTAGGCACCTTAAAAAGGAAAATAGGATTGTTTGATGGATGTAGCTCTGAGGAAGGCGATGTAAGTAGTGGCAGCAACTGCCTCTACCCATTTTCCTTCTCCTGATATTCTTGTGTAATATTCTCTTGTCTGAAATAAACTTTCCTTGTCACTCTTTATCAAATACTTCTATTTATTTTCTCTATAGCACCTAATTACAGTCTGAAATGTTTATTTCTTTACCACATGTTATTTATTACTCTCATTGGAATGTAAGCTTTATGAGAGCATATATTTTATTCTATAACTCCTGAATATAATTTGGTGCCTGACACAGAGTAGGTTTTAATAAACATTTGTTGACTGAATATAAGGAAGAGTGAAAAGAAGAAAGAGAAGCATGAGTATGAGAAGAAACACAGCATGAAATATTGCTCTAAATAAAATGATGTGAGACATTAAAAGTAGCTATTCAAATAGCAAACGAATGCTATAGACATAATGGTTCATTTTATAATTCTATAGAACTGTACAGGGTCAGAGGAGAAGAATGCTTTATATAAGGTTAAGAAGAAAAGGTCACCAGTTTTGCAGCCCAAACAATATATGCACACATATCCATGTGCCTAAAACTATTTCAACAGTATTTATATTAGAATTAGCATTCAAGAGTACAACTGGAATACAATATTCGTATGGGAAATATATTTGAAGGCTCAGAACATTGTGGGAGTGCTATGGTTTGAATATATCCCCCAAGGTTCATGTGATAAAAACCTAATTCTCAATGCAACAGTGTTGAGAGGTGATTACCTAATCCAGTGCAAAAAGTTAAGTCTCTCGTTTCTGTGTTCCCAAAGACTAGTATAATGTTTGGCAAATAATTGGTGTTCCATAGATGTTCTGCTGAACTGAAATGAACTAAACGTAGCAGAATTGCATTATTGTTCCCAATTTTTTATCCCTCCTTGTACTCACACCCTTTGCTAAATGGATTTTGCACTGCCACACACAAAAGAAATGGGTTCTATGCTCCAATCTCTTGACTCTGAGTTCAGCCATGTGACTTCAGACCATAGAATGAGGTAGAAGTGACAGGGTATTAGGTCTCAAGGGCTCTTGGGTGTTTCCACTTGCTCTCCTGCAGTTTTGCCATTGCCATCAAAAGGATATGAATGACTCAGCTTGCTGGTCACTGGAGGAGGAAGAGAAACACATAGAGTGGAGCTGTCCCAGATAAGCTGTCCTAGCCAAATATGACCTAATTAGGTGATTACCTAATCACCTCTCAACACTAATGTCACTATGTTTGGCGTTGGTTCTTATAAAAGTGAATTCAGCCCTCTCTTGAACTGTCTTGCCTTTCTGTCTTTCTTCATGGGAAGAAGGCCTGGACCAGATTCTGATTCCCTGATGTTGGACTTCCCAGCCTCCAAAACTGTTAGAAATAGATTTCTTTTCTTTATAAATTATCCAGTTTGTAAGATTCTATTACAACAACACAAAATGGACTAAAATGGGAATAATTTTTTGAAAAACTTTTTTGGACATAATTTGATATAGCTATCTTCTAATAGACAAAGATGTTGTGGATGGATGAGGAGTGATCGTGGTATAAAGAAAGAGAATGTAGCATTGACTATAGAACAAAACAAGGGAGGCAGGCTGGGATTTTATAATAAAAGAAATAGAGATAAAATTAAATGGAGGAGAAGATATGATAACAAAATTTGCTCTCAAGGCACTACAGGCATGTTAGGCAGAAAGGGATTTAATTCGGGTAACTAGGTGCTTATTTAATCATTGAAGGGGGAAGAAGCAAAAGGCAGGGATGGCTGTCACTAGCTGTCAGGTTTGCCTCTAGCCTTCAGAGAATCAGAAAATTGCTACTGTTGCTATCGTCTTCCTCCCCTTCTCCTTCTCCTTCTCCTTCTTCTTCTTCCTTTTTTCTTTTTTTCTTTTTTTTTTTTGAGACAGAGTATCGCTCTGTCACCCAGGCTGGAGTGCAGTGGCGCGATCATGGCTCACTGCAACCTCCACTTCCGGGGTTCAAGCGATTCTCCTGCCTCAGCCTCCCAAGTAGTAGCTGGGACTACAGAGAGCTTCTATTTTCTTTCTGTATCTCCAATTCCATCAAATGCTCTCATTGGAAGATACTAAACTGAGAACAGGAAAAACTTGTCACTGCTTCAAAATATTTCTGGCTAATTTCATTAGATCTAATTCTCATTAAAAAATAGGCAACAGTTACTGAGGGCACTATGCTGAGAGCTTTTCATGTATTACCTCACTTAGTTTCACAACCATACAAGATGAAACTACTATTATTATCTCCATTTTAGAAATGAGGAACCAAGACTTAGAGAGGCACAGTGTCTTGCTCCAAATCAAACAATTAAAAAGGGGAAGATTTGAAACTTAAACTCAGGACTTATTCTCTACAAAGCTAATGGCTTTTAATCCTTATACTACACTATTTGATAGTCACTTACTAAAATTTATTTATAATCCATGGCTTTAGCCTCAACATAAAACTTGTTGATCATCTTCCAAATGTGCACTATTAGGTCAGTGTGAACATCTTATTTCTACCGGGAAAAAAACTAATAAATCTTCAAAGAATGTTCTCCCAATCTTGGGCACTTTCTTTTTAATGGGAGTAAAGAGTACACTATTAGAAGAAACATAATGCCTCCTATATTTAGAATAAAATTTTATAGAATGAGCTAAATTTTATGTATTAATAGAGTGCCCGCTGTTATAAAACCTCATCACAGAATCTCAGGGAAGGTACATTCAAGATCATAGCATCTTCAAGAACCTTTCTAATAGCAAGCATCTCAACAAGGGGTGGCCCAAATTCTGCTTGAACACTTTCAGTGGGAGAGATTTCCAGCGTTATGGGGGCTAATTGATGAGGGAGAGGAGCTCAAAGGTTGTCTTCTGTCAGGGAAAGGTAAGATGACATTGTCTGGAGGCTGCTTAGTCAGTTTTGCTTCAATGGTAAAAATAATGTTAGGCTAGAGGCTGGAACCGTGGTGTCAGTTAGCTTTTGTGGCCAAATCTTGCTAAAACTCCATTGCTTACAAAGTATAGCTTGTGTATCTATGGTAGATTCAAGATGATCAGAAATTGACATGCCTCACATTAAGAAATGAGGTCCATGCCCCTTTCATTTGAGTATGGCTGGCTTCTGAGACTGCTTTGGCTAAAAATTTAGTGGAAGTGTCACTATGCCACCTTAATATATTAGCAGTTTCCATGTTCCTGGAAAAATGTCTTTAGGAGCCCTGAGTCAGGTGGAAGTTTAAAAATCTTGAGACTGGCATGCCAGAGAGATTATGTGATTGAAAGTCCTAACGGAGCCCAAGTATTTTCCATTGCTATCAAGGTATCAGACTTGTAATTAAGCCTCTCTACACCAGTTCATCCACTAGCTGAACACTCTGAGTGACCTTAGTTCATTCCCCATGGAGCAGAGGAATCACCTAGTTGATCCAGACCTGAATTTCTGACCCACAAAATTGTTGGCTAGAATAAAATGGTTGTTTTTGGACCACCGAGTTTGAAGTAGTTTGCAACACAACAGTAGATAACTGGAACATATCTGTGGGATTGGTGAGGGTTGTTTAATATTGATTGGCCTCAGCTGGTCTTACCTGGGGTCACTCATGTGTCTTCAGGTCAGTTGGGGACTGTGATCTAGGTCATATTTGGCTAGGACAGCTTATCTGGGACAGCTCCACTCTATGTGTTTCTCTTCCTCCTCCAGTGACCAGCAAGCTGAGTCATTCATATCCTTTTGATGGCAATGGCAAAACTGCAGGAGAGCAAGTGGAAACACCCAAGAGCCCTTGAGACCTAATACCCTGTCACTTCTACCTCATTCTATGGTCTGAAGTCACATGGCTGAACTCAGAGTCAAGGGATTGGAGTACAGAACCCATTTCTTTTGTGTGTGGCAGTGCAAAATCCATTTAGCAAAGGGTGTGAGTACAAGGAGGGATAAAAAATTGGGGACAATAATGCAATCTACTACGTTTAGTTCATTTCAGTTTAGCAAAACATCTATGGAACACCTATTATTTGCCAAACATTATACTACTCTTTGGAAACACAGAAACAAGAGACTTAACTTTTTGCACTGGAAATGTTTGCAGTCTAGGCAATCTTCAGGATAAGTAAAAGGGTTTCCTGTACTTAGGTTCTCTAATTAAGGATCCCAAACTCCTATTTTGATTTTTACTTCTAGCCCTTCTGTTAAGATCTACACCTACTTTAGGCTTAGCATTTAAGTTATGTTTTATTGTTTTAGCGACTTAAAATTTGGTCAGGGGCCCTTACTTGCTTCACTCATTGTGGAAATTTTGTTTGGCTGGAATTTTATGTTTTTACACAATCATGAAAAATTCTGGTTACAAGAAGTGACGTATTTGCATCATCAGTCAAGTTACTACCAACTCCTGTTCCACTGTCTTTCGAAGAACTTCATGTTTTCCTCATCTCCAAATTCTTGGGGAGCCTTATCACAATCAAAGTGCTGCCAACATTATCCTTTAACATCTGTGTTTAAATCGGGAAGCAGGAAACCACAATGCAAAGGAAACATATATGAGGACAATCCATGCCCTTCAATAGGGAGGCTGAACACCTTCCTCATACTGATTAGCTCTGTTCATTACTTTCTGTAACTCTTTGACCTCTTGTCAGATATGCTGTCTGTAACTTTGTTTGCCTCACACCAATAGGTTCTTACTGCAGACTTCTCATCTCTCTCCTTTCTCATTGCTCTCATTAAGTTCCCATTTCCTGTCTGCAGAAAGTCACTTTCTTCTACTGAAAGACCCAGAGTTGAGCTTCATGAAGGGGCCAACTCAGTTCACTTTTGCAACATCTCTGATCACTCATTAATCCCCAGGAAGCATGGCACAGTGGGAAGTGCATGGGATGACTTTGGGGTCAAAACCTAGATTTTAATCCCAGCCCCACTACTTGCTAATAATGTGATTTTGTGCAGGCTACTTAATCTCTCTGTGCCTCAGTTTTAGAATCCATTATATGGGCATAGTAAATCTTATCTTGCATGGTTCCTGTGTGGTATAATTGAATAACAATTATAAATAACTAGGACAATGTCTCCCATGCTCTCCCTTTTCCTCCCTGTCCCACTGGCTATCTCTTGCTTGCACCCTCAGGACTGGCTTACCAAGATGCTGTCATAACGTCTTTGCAGGGTCAAAAATACTTTGTATGTATGGAAGACTAACACAGATACGTTTAGTAGGGAAAAAGAAAGGCTATTTTCTCACATGACCTCACTTGTCTAAAGAATGTAAGAAATATCTTAGAGTATTAACACTGAGCATTCTGCAAACCCTAATTCTTCTTAAAATGGTGAGAGAATTAAAAGCCACCAATATTTCCCTTCAAGCCTTCTGCCAAATCTCTGATTTTTCTTTTGCCCAAATACGTGGGCCTGGTTATTTTTGAATGTTTACGGCAAAAAGGATCCTTAGGGATGGGGCCAGGTTTTACTTTTCCTTGTATTCTGGGACCCCACATAGACTTCTTAGATGCTCAAATAAATGTTTGTTGAACAAACGAATATTTTATTGAATGCAATTGTGTGAAGCAATGAAAGTTTAATTATTTTATATCCAGACAGAATATTTCTGTGTTCTAGTTTTTGCTGGGACTGGATTTAGCTGGCTGATGCATTGTATCTGTGTTTGATGTCCTCATTCTTGTGGAATGAAGAGTATATATGTGTGTGTGGGAATCTGCATTTGGGGACAGAAGGGCCTATATTTGGGAAGATGCAATGTGATCAGCTGCTTTTCACATTTTCTTCCATTTCCTCTGTTGTGTTTCATCTCTCATTACTAGACTATAAATTCTCTGAGGACAATGACCATGCCTCATGTTTGTTGTTACCGTATATAATATTTTCGGGCTTGTTAAATATTGGTTGAATGGATGAACATGGTAGCAAAGACAACTCAAAGGAAAGTTAGCATTTTTTATCTTTATATGATTTTGGAAACAAAGCATCCTATCTTTCTCCTTTTTTTATCTGCACTGATTTATATTTGTTTCATCCATAGCTCTGTTCCATGGAGCTACCTTTGGATTTATTGTTCTTTAATCTCATTACCTTTGGATTTATTGTTCTTTAATCTCATCTTTATAAATGCCACATGATTTGTGGAAAAGGGTTTAGACTCTGAAATTAAAGAGAACTTGATCTATAACTTACAGGTTATGTGACCCTGGGGAAGGTACGTAACCTCTTGGTGCTTTTTACCTCATCTGTGAAGGTGAATAATAGTGTCACCTACCTGCTGGAGCTGGCTTTGTTTCCCCTTAAGTTAAGAATCTTTTCCAACTTTTATTTCAGGTTCAGGGGGTATGTGTGCAGGTTTGTTACCTGGGTATGTTGTATGATGCTGAGGTTTGAGGTACAAATGATCCCATCCTCAGGTACTGAGCATAGTACCCTACAGTTAGTTGTTCAAAACTTGCCTCCATCCCTCCCTATGCCCTCTAGTAGTCTTCAGTTTTTATTGTTGTCATCTTTATGTCCATGACTACCCAATGTTTAGCTTCCACTTATGAGAACATGTGGTATTTGGTTGTCTGTTCTTGCATTAACTTGGTTATGATAATGGCCTCTAGCTGCATCTATGTTGCTTCAAAGGACATGATCCCCTTCTTTTTTATGACTGCATAGTATTCCATGGTGTATATGTACCACATTTTCTTCATCCAGTCCACTGTTGATGGGTACCTAGATTGATTTCATGTCTTTGTTATTGCAAAAAATGGTGCAATGAACATGCTAGTGCATGTGTCTTTTTGGGAGAAAAATTTGTTTTCTTTTGGAAAATCCAGTAATAGGATTGCTGGGTCAAATAGTAATTCTGTTTTAAGTTCCTTGAGGAATCTTCAAACTGCTTTCCATAGTAGTTGAATTAATTTACACTCCCATCAACCGTGTACAGGCATTCCCTTTTCTTCTCATCTTCACTGAAATCTGTTAGTTTTTGACTTTTTAATAGTAGTCATTTTGATTAGTGTGAGATGGTATCTCATTGTGGTTTTGATTTGCATTTTTCTTTTGATTAGTGATGCTGAGCATTTTTTCATGTTTGTTGGCAGCTTTCATGTCTTCTTTTGAGAAGTGTCAGCTAATGTCATGTGCCCATTTTTTAATGTGATAATTTGTTTTTTTGCTTGTTGAACTGTTTAAGTTCCTTATAGATTGACTATTAGATATTTTCAGATGACAATTTGAGAATATTTTCTTCCATTTGGTAGGTTGTCTCTTTACTCTGTTGATTGTTTCTTTTGCTGTGCTGAAGCTCCTTGGTTTAATTAGGTCCCACTTGTCAATTTTTCTTTTTGTTGCAATTGCTTTTGAGGGCTTAGTCATAATTTTTTTGGCCAAGGCTGATGTCCAGAATGGTATTTTCTAGGCTTTTTTTTTCTTGGATTCTTATAGTTTGAGGTCTTACATTTAAATCTGTAATCCATCTTGAGTTAATTTTTGCATAGAGTGAAAGGTAGGGGTCCAGTTTCATTCTTCTTCATATGGCTAGCCAGCTATCACAGGACAATTTACTGAATAGGGAGTCCTTTCTGCATCGCTTATTTTTGTTGACTTTATCAAAGATCAGATGGTCATAGTTGTGTGGCTTTATTTCTAGATACTCTATCCTGTTCCACTGGTCTATGTGTCTGTTTTTGTACCAGTACCTTGCTGTTTTGGTTATCGTAGCCTTACAGTATAGTTTGAAATCAGGTAATGTGATGCCTTTGGCTTTGTTCTTTTTGCTTAGGATTGCTTTGGCTATTAGGGCTCTTTTTCTGGACCCACATGAATTTTAGAGTAGTTTTTTCTAGTCATATGAAAAGTGACATTGATAGATTGAAAGGAATAGTGTTGCATCTATCAATTGCTTTGGGCAGTATGACCACTTTAACAATATTGATTCTTCTAATCCATGAGCATGGAATGTTTTTTCATTTATTTGTGTCATGTCTGACTTCTTTCAGCAGTGTTTTGTAGTTCTTCTTGTAGTTCTCCAGATCTCTTACTTCCTTCCTTAGATGTACTCTTAGGTATTTTTTTTCGTGGCCATTGTAAATGGAATTACAATCTTGATTTGACTCCCAGCTTGAATGTTATTGGTGTACAGAAATTCTACTCGTTTTTGTACATTGACCTTCTTTCCTGAAACTTTGCTGAAATTATTTATCAGTCCCAGGAGAATTTTGGCAGTCTTTAGGGTTTTCTAGGTATAGAATAATATTTTCTGCAAAGAGAGAGAGTTTGACTTCTTCTTTTCCTATTTGAATGCCATTTATTTCTTTCTCTTGTCTGATTGCTCTGGCTAGCACTTTCAGTACTATGTTGAATAGGAGTGGTGAGAGAGAGCATCATCGTCATGTTCCAGTTCTCAAGGGGGAATGGAGAGCTGTTGTGAGACCTGATTGGATTGATTAATGTACGGCATCTACTCAGAGTAGGGACTGTATAAACAGTAGACCTTTTTAATCTCTTTATTTCCATTCTATTTACTCTCTTACTATTTATCTTAATTATGGCTGCCTTCTCCTATCAGGAAATGTGGATTTATAACCCTGGCTATCTGTTAGCACCCCTTAGACTACTGGGAGTTGATTTGGAATGGAATACTCTGAACTATCAAAATTTCACCTCATTAGAAACCTTACATCATATCACTTTGGACATTGCCAAAGCTCTTTTTAGAATAACCACATTTTGCCCCATTAAAATAATACAAGAATAAACATGAATTTCTAGAAAAACTCCCCAAATTACAAAGCAAAGAGGTGGAGAGTTAAATGCCATGTGAAGAATCTAAGAATGTAGCATATATTCAAATTTATTATTTTTAATTGTCTCTCTCTTCACTTATTAAAATAGATTTTAAAAAATTGCTCTCACAACAGGACCATTATCCTTAGTAGATTTAAGGACTATTTCACCATATTTTTTCTTGAAATAATTGAGTTTGCTGGAATAAACTACTCAGTTCAATATTTTTCATCTCCCTCTAATACAAATGTATTTGATTTCTATAAATCTGAGTGAAATCAGTGAGGAAATTATACACATTTATCTTCCACAGGGTATATGAGCTATTGAGTCATGTTGTATTTATTGTAGATCATGTTTGCTATTTGGCCAGATAGTTTGAATAGTTGGGAACAATATATAATACTAAGAAAATAACCAGAAAGATGAATGGAAGTAAAGTGTTCTTTATAATAAATAAGTACATAAAATATTCTGTAGTGATTCAAGTACACATTTACATGTAAAATATATTGAAAATATATCATTCTATATTATGCATATCATTCATTCTTATGATTCATATACATATATATTTCTTTTATATGAGTATATGTTTATATGACTTAGTCTTTTCATTTGGACCTCACATAATATGTATATATTTTCCTATTATATCTTTCTTCCAGCTTCAAATATGTGGATGTTTTCTTGGCTTTGTGCTATTTTAATTATTTTGGCTATTGCTGGTATGAACACAATAGCAAAGACCACACCACATACCAAATTTACGAAGAAATCTGAGGAAAGAGAGATGCCAAAGGGTCTAAAGCCATCCAGTGGCCCACCTCCAGAAGAAGAAGAAACCCTCTTCACAGAAATGGCTGAAATGGCAGAACCAATTACCAAACCCTCGGCCTTGGATTCTGTCTTTGGCACTGCCACTCTCTCTCCCTTTGAAAACTTCACTCTTGACCCAGCTGATTTCTTTTTGAATTGTTGTGATTGTTGTTCACCTGTACCCGGGCAGAAAGGAGAACCTGGAGAGACTGGACAGCCAGGTATTAGAAAATATAAGAAGTCATGTTTCTCACTTGTACATTGGTAGAGTTGAGAGGTAGGTTGTCGGGTGAAATTGCCCCAGGAGTTTCTACGTTGTTATGCAAATAGTAACAGGTCTAGGTGTCACATTGTTACAAATGTAAATGGGTGCTGTGTTGCCCAATGTGGTAATTAATAAATATTAAAATTAAAATTGAATAAGGTAAAAAATTCAGTTCATCAGTCACATTAGCCACAGTTCAAGTGCTCAACAGCCACTGTATTGGGCAGCACAGATAGCATTTCCATCATTGTAGACAATTCTACTGGACAGTGCTGGTGAGAGCAAAGTCAGGAATTACCAACTCCAGCATGGTGCTCTGGTTCTTCAAGATGCACAGGTTTATTACCAGTACAATTTTTTAAATTAGTGGCTGATTTAAAAAGGGTAAATGAAACTTCTGTTGCCTTGCAAGAATGTGTGCTGACTGATGGATTTTCTGAGTGCTATTTGTAGTTAGGATTAGAAATGGAATGGCTCTGAGGTGGAGAATAAAGCTTAGGATTCCATTTGCTTCTCATTGAATTTCTGAGGCAATACTGTGTCATTGCCCAATGATTTTCTCCATTGAACACCATGGTTATGTATTTCAAGATTTCAGATGTCTATAATATATACATAATGAATATAGTCTTGGCTTTATTCTAATACATTTCAGCTTTTACATGTCATCTAGAAGAGAATTCAAGGTAAAGTTAAGATCAGAATGTCAACTTAAAATTCACCATTGCCTGAGGAATTTAATGTTATAAACTAAGCAATTATACATCTTCACCAAGCTTTTCATTCATTTCATCCCTTTGTAGGGACCTTTTGGGAAATGCGGTTAGTATTTATGCAGAGCTGCATTAAGGAGTAAAGGAGATGGGCCGTAGCTTGGGTACCAAGATGTCAGGATTGCTAAAACATTACTGAAAATTTAATGAGACTGAGAAAATTATATTTACCAGAAGTCTTAGTATCCTATCTGGCTGGTAAGCTGCTTGGCGGTGAAAATCCCAAGGGCATGGTCAAGTAGACACAGCTGGTTGCTAAACTATTTGCTAAGGCTGTGAGTTCTGTAACATCAGGGCTTTTGTTTTACCCAGTGGTGGATTTAGCTGTGCTGTTCTCAGGGTTCATTCTCTCCTCTAAATATATATGACAAATAATTCCAAGGTGTGCCAAGTTATTACCCTGCCTGGGGAGCTCATATGTCTTAGTCTGACTGGTTCTGCCACAGAGCATAGTGCTTGAGAGCTTAGAATGCTGAGACTATCTTGGTCCTACTTAGGGAAGCTACTCTGCTTTGGGAAATCTTAATCTATTCTTTGGGTCTTAGCTTAATACCATTTTCTCAAGGAAGCCTCTGATCTCATCAGTTAAGTCCTCAATAAGACCTTCGTATTTTTCTTTATATCATTTACTACAATGTGACAATTTCTACGTATTTGTGTGGCTATTTGTTAAATGTTTATCTTTCATAGACTCTCAGCTTCATGAGAGTAGGGACTGCTGGAATGTTGATGGCTGCATTCCTAACACCTTGCAGGGTGCTTGGTGTATAGGATGCCTCAGAAATAGTTAATGAATGAATGAGTAAGTGAATAAAAGGGAAATCCAAAGGTGCTAGGTGTTGTTTTTACTTCCAATGTGAAAGTGTGGTCCATATGAGGTTAAGTGTCAGATTATCATTTTGTTCTTGTTTGATATAGTGCTGCTTCCCTGAATCATTTGATCACTGCCATGAATACAGTGACAAGTACTAATGGTCTCAATTTATCTATTCAGGTAGTACGAAATTGCAAATCAGACAAAAATATTGCCCTTAGGACTCTGTGTGGTTTATTCTTACTCAGATTTTACCATTAGGTCATTGATACTTATTGATTGCAGTAAAATGCTTTTTTTCTTTCCTGAACTAATGAACTTTAAAAGAGAAATTTTATATTCTGATGTATTTAAAATCCCATTTCTAGGTCCTAAAGGAGAGGCTGGAAATTTGGGGATCCCAGGGCCACCAGGAGTTGTTGGGCCCCAAGGCCCTAGAGGCTACAAAGGAGAGAAAGGTAGGTAATTCATTCATGTCAAAACTCAAGGGACATTCTGCATCATTTTTCAGGAGAGCAATTTGCTACTTAAAGACTAGATTCTTGCAGATGAGTCAATTTTAAAAATGTAAATACTTGATAAAGCACATTATATTTGATATAAATATGTTAACTTTATAAACAGCCAATTGAGAAATTTTAAACTTACCTGGGAACACTGCACACATGCATGCAGGCACACAGATTGTCACACAGCTTTTCCATCTCTCATTGGTCACCTAGCTGACCTAGTGACAAGCAGCCACAGAGTATAGTCTCTGGGGAAGGGTATAGAGATACCCTTCCTGTACATGCTCATGTTAGCCTACTTCCTTTGGATGCAAATAATTTTGTATTAGATGGAACTAACTAGAGCAGGCAATTCTCTGAATATTCAGTTTAGGTGGATAGTATGCCTGCTAAGAAGAATTTAATATATCCCTTGGCTCACTCTGAAATCAGAGGCAGTGTCAGTGGTGGGAAGACAACTTAATTAAAACAGAAGTAATCAAGCTTATAATAATGACATTGGGCAAGTCATTTTCTTTCACCTGGAAATTGAAGGAAATGAACTAGATATTTATTTATATCTTGTTTACTATCGAAGAAGATTTGTAGTTATGAGTGGCTTTATAGCTCTTTTCAAGCTCAGAAATTCTGTAATTCCATAGGTGTATCAGTAAAGAAGGCTTTCTGCCCCAGGAAATCCCTGGTTCTGTAAGTGCTTAAAGGTACTGAAGGAAGGCTACAGATTCACTAGGATATTTAGAAATTCCTCAGTGAATACCAGCAGCCTGTAGAAATACCATCTATCCATCAAGTTAAATGTTTTAGCCTCAGTGTCACATGTCAAAAGGCCTAATACCATCTATATATCACCCTCCACATGGCTCAGGAACTGCCTAACTCATTTCTGGTAGAACATTCAGTGAAGTAATTACTCAAAAAAATGCTAAGGGAAGAGAGAGCTACTTCACACTTGTCAGTTATGTGATTTTCATTCTTGGAAACATTTAATCCTTTTGTGCCTGAATTATGTTAGCAGAAAACCTTGTGAAATAAAGATGAGTGATGAACCTCCCCAGTGATTCATACATTTTGGAAGCTAGACTTCTGGAAATAGAAGAAAAAAATAGGGAAGTGTAATAAAATAAGGTTCTTAAGAATACACTTTGATGAAGGATCAAAAGTAGAAATTCATTCAGCCATTCTTTATAAAGTAGCAACTCTACTTTCCTTTCACTTCCAGACTTAGCTTGGACTCTTGGTTAAGATAGAAAGTTAGAAAAAAAAATGAGTTGAATGATTCCATTCTAGTTAATCATTACCTGGTTGAGTAAATTAGGGGAAGCAATTAAACTCTTTCGAGGAATTCAAGAAGCAGTATAACTCTGTGTGGTGAAGGTTGGTATTTGAGTATTGGCAAAGGCTAGGAATACAATCGGCTCTTCCCTTCCATTTAGGGCTGGGTTTCTCAAAATGCGTCCAGTTATTTTCCTGATGGCCTAAGGTTTAATTTCCAAATTTTGCATTTCATGCGGAGTGGTGTTGGGGTAGCTAGCAACTTAGAAAACTCTGCTAAATGACCTATGGTGGGATTTCTCTAGTTGATCTTGTGAAACTGGAGGGAGTCTATTCTCACCACTTTTAATTTGGCTTAGGATTTATTTTTTCCCTCACAAAAATAAAACAAAAGATGTTAGTTATATCATAAACAATATAGGTAGCAAATTGATGCCAACCAATGTTATATGTAGTTGTATTTGACTCTGTCCAGTGCTTTAAATTTTTTCATATCTCAGCTTCTTTTGTTGATAAAATGATGACAAAAATATCTTCCCTACTTTTCTTGAAGGGCAGGTGCTATAAACTTTTGTGAATTTGAAATTTTCCAACTGATTAAATGTGTTCTGCTATATGAACCTGTGTGCTATAGAAGAGGCTGTGTTAATGTCAAGTAAAAATTATATTAAATAAAAAGGCTGGATTAAGTAAAAAAAAGGTAAGAGCTTTGAACAGTATCTGTGCAAAGTAAATGTGTAATAAGAGTGAGATATTATTAATACCATTATTATTGTTATGGTAATTTATAGTTGAAATCAATTCAGTGTGACTGAACTATAATAGTATGGGCTGTTAGGCCCAATATAAAAATATATTTTATGGTAATATGACAAATATCTGAAAATCCAGATGTTTTCATTTTTTTCAACTATGAATTCCTACAGTTCTATACTTACATAGATACTCTATATAAAGAACAGTTTTTTTTCCCGGACTTTTTTTTCTTATCATTGGTTTTAGCCAACTACAGGATGTTGTGCACTCTGTTTAAACTTGTAGGGAACATGGCATTATTTCTCAGGTGTTGTGGCCATATAAAGAAGGCATTTTAACTTTATTCAAAATTCATATTGGGAAAAACATGAATACATATATATATAATACAAGCAGAATGTCATGAGTTTTATGAGAGGTTTGAAGAGCCATGGAAATGCTGAGGGCAAAGATGAATTCTGTTTGAAGGGATCACTGCCTCCAGATCGCTAAAATAGTTTACCAGTTGAAATTAATTATTCCTAATGACCCTCAATACATTTTTTTTGACCAAGTCTCACTCTGTCACCCAGGCTAAAGTGCAGCGGTGTGATCTCAGCTTACTGCAATCTCCACCTCCTGAGTTCAAGCAATTCTTGTGCCTCAGCCTCCCAAGTAGCTGGGACTACAGGTGTGCACCACCAAACCCGGCTAATTTTTTGTATTTTTTGTAGAGATGGGGTTTCACCATGTTGGCCAGGCTGGCCTGGAACTCCTGACCTCAGGTGATCCACCCGCCTCGGCCTCCCACAGTGTTGGGATTATAGGAGTGAGCCGCCGTGCCTGGCGTACATTCTTTTTCCACACGATTTAACTTTAGCCCATTTTGGTTAAAGAAAACACTAGAATGTGACATGGTTGTGAGAGGAATATTAAATATATCATAAATGATGTAGTTGGTAAAAAGTTAATCTTGGTATCATCTTAGGACTCAAAGGAGAACGTGGGGACCAAGGAGTTCCAGGATACCCAGGAAAACCGGGAGCACAAGGTAGAGCATGAAATGTATCTACTGTGTACAGTCAGGTGCGCAGTATAGCCCTTCATTCTCTTCCTGCTTGTATTTAAAATTATCAGAGAGGTAAGCTGAAAATACAAATTACTGTTATTCTTCTAATAATTCAGTGTACTGACTCAGTGAAGGAGAACCAGTCTAGGAATTTGGAGACCAGGTAATAGTATCTGTGCTCTGCTTCTCTCTCTAGCTGTCAATGGAAAATAAAAATCCCTCACTCGTTCTGGGTCTCAGTTTCCTTGCCAATAATAATTTAGGCTTGAATGGACAATATGGGGATTTAGGGGAATACCTGGGTTAGGCCAAAATGCAAAGGGTAATGGAATACAACGAACAACTACAGTCCTAATATTCTTTATTATCTTAAAAGTGAAAAAACAAAAAGAATTAGATATATGGCATCTGAATATAAGCCACTGTTTCTTGGAAACATTAACTATTCCCCTTCTAAGAGCATGGCATAATATAAATTATTCATTGTCAGAGCCTCCTAAGTGTGCACAGTTTTTACTGAGGAAAGAATCAGGTTTCCTAATTAGTAGGTTTGTTTCTACTTTTTTGAGCTCTGTGGTAATAGCATGCTGTTTATGGCCTATGTGATCCTTAAACATTATTTTAATTTTCCATTTCAGGTGAACCTGGCCCTAAGGGAGATAAAGGAAACATTGGTTTGGGAGGAGTGAAAGGACAAAAAGGCTCCAAGGGAGACACATGTGGGAATTGTACCAAAGGAGAAAAAGGAGACCAAGGGGCTATGGGCTCACCTGGCCTGCACGGAGGGCCTGGCGCCAAGGGAGAGAAGGGGGAGATGGGGGAGAAGGGGGAGATGGGGGATAAGGGCTGCTGTGGAGATTCTGGGGAGAGGGGAGGAAAAGGACAGAAAGGTGAGGGGGGTATGAAAGGGGAAAAAGGTAGCAAAGGAGACAGTGGAATGGAAGGCAAAAGCGGCCGTAATGGTCTGCCTGGGGCCAAAGGTGATCCAGGGATTAAAGGAGAAAAAGGAGAGTTAGGTCCTCCTGGTCTCCTGGGACCTACTGGGCCGAAGGGTGACATTGGCAACAAAGGGGTCCGAGGCCCCACTGGGAAGAAGGGCTCTCGGGGCTTTAAAGGCTCCAAGGGTGAGTTGGCTAGAGTGCCCCGGTCGGCTTTCAGCGCTGGTTTGTCAAAGCCATTTCCTCCTCCTAACATCCCCATCAAATTTGAAAAGATTCTCTATAATGACCAAGGGAATTACAGTCCTGTCACTGGGAAGTTTAACTGCTCTATTCCTGGGACATATGTTTTTTCCTACCATATTACGGTGAGGGGGCGACCTGCTCGAATCAGTCTGGTGGCCCAGAATAAGAAGCAGTTCAAGTCCAGAGAAACTCTCTATGGTCAGGAAATAGACCAGGCCTCTCTCCTCGTCATCTTGAAATTAAGTGCAGGAGACCAAGTCTGGCTTGAGGTGTCAAAAGATTGGAATGGGGTGTATGTCAGTGCTGAGGATGACAGCATTTTTACTGGGTTCCTTTTGTACCCAGAGGAAACTTCTGGAATTTCACCATAAATTTGTGTCCTGAATCCTGTAGTTTAGATTCAGTGGAATAAGTCAGTTAACACAGAGTAGTGCTATTAAAAAATAACTTCCATTTTTTCAAGATTATAAAAATAATACAGAAAAATTTAAAAAGTCACCTAGTCAATTATTATTCCTATTTTAAGGCACCTCCTTTAAAAATATTTATATGTATTTCAGAGCATATGTCTATTAACTTTGTAGGTAGCTTTTAAAATTTGGCATTATTAGCATTAGTCATTCCATTTAAGCATAATAATTAATATTTGTATACAAAGTATGAATGGGATTTATAATTAATAAATGTATTCTTGCTAAATATCTTCTATATCTCAGATCAATGTGTGTCACTTCTTTCTGTGTGAATTGCAGAGTATGACAGCAAGTTTTTGACTCTCTTGGGTGGGTTGCCTTCTGACAAAATGGAGCTATTCTCATGTTAGTTTAATTCATGGAGATGACACAGAAAGGGTGGCAAAGACTAGCTAAAGGATATTTAAAATTTATCAGTGTGTAAAGGTTTGCTTAGAAAACTTATATTATATGGACTTGTGTATTGGGTAAAATGTAAGAAAAAGTTGATGATCATAGTGAAGATGAAATCATTCATCAAATTATTGTGCTTAGAAGAACTGAATGTCCCCAAAAGAATCAAGAATAAAATGAAATCATTATGGATCTGAATTTTTGCCTTTTCTTCATGATAGAACATTTAATTAGGATAAATTCTTTGACATCATTATCATCATTTCTATAATAATTAATTCCAGTTATTCAGAGATAACATTGCTGGAGCAGGTGGGGATTTGGGAGTTCATTTGCAATGCAAATGTATAATAATTGTGAATATTTGATAATTCAGTGGTTTCATTTTTTTTTTCTGTTTTTTTTTTGTTGTTGTTGTTGTTGTTTTGAGACAGGATTTTGCTCTGTAGCCCAAGCTGGAGTGCAGTGGAGTGATTCTGGCTCACTGCATCCTCAACTTCCTATGCCCAAGTGTTCCTCCCACCTTAGCCTCCCAAGTACTTGGGAACACAGGCCTTTGTCACCATGCTTGGCTAATTTATTTATTTATTCTTTATTTTTGTATAGATGGAATCTCCCTATGTTACCCAGGCTGGTCGTAAACTCCTGGGCTCAAGTGATCCTCCTGCCTTGGTCTCCCAAAGTGTTGGGATTATGGGTGTGAGCCACTGCGCCTGGCTGGTTTCATCTTTTAAGAAAGAAAATTTATTGAATCCAAATTGAATTTGGTTCTATGAAGGTATAGTTATGCAGATTTGGAAATCTTGGTGCATCAAGACAGGGAGTGGGTGATAGAAAACTTTCTGGTCTGCTCTGCCTACTTTGTTGCACTGCCTACTTTGGCAAACACCATTCACTTTTGAGGCTGTCACTCATATATATATATATATATATATATATATATATATATACATATATATATGTACACACACATATGTATATACACACATATACATACACACGTATGTATATGCACACACATATACATACACATATGTATATACACATATATATATACACATATGTATATATTTATATATGAGTGAGAGCCTCAAAAATGAACGATGTTTATATACATGTGTTTCTCAAACTGTGTTCAGAGGAATACCATTTCTGGAAGTTGGTATTATGAACTACTGGAAAAAAGTGGGTTCTGCCTCAAACAAATATTGGAAGTACTATATTCTGTCTTCCTGTTGCAGATCTATAAAGCACATTAGTGTAGTCTCGGATGTTCCCGCAGAAAATAAGTTTGTTTAATTTTATTTTATCCAATGATCACGTTTATTTTGGGTATAGAATTGATCAAGTAACATACTGTGAAAGAGCATTCTGTAGTATATCCATTTTGGAAATGTTGCATTTGTTTCTCATTTAAGGATCCAAGTGGGGTAAAGTTAACTCCTGACGTTTCTCCCTTTCTTCAGCAGTTCTTCCCTGTTGAGAATGAAATATTGCTTTAGTTGTAGCTGTGCTTGTTATTTGTCAGAGGGAGAATAAGATAATTTGCAAGTGATTTAAAAAGTGATGTTTACACTTAAAGATTTTTCTTTTTCCAATTAGAATTGAATAATAAAGAAATTCAGGAACTTAGAGTTTTGTCTCTTATTCCTATGTTCTTATGTTTATTTTTTTTTCTTTATATCATCTCTATGAGTGGATTGGAACAATCTGGGGAGGCTGAGAGACAAGCAGCCCAGAAGATAGAAGAAAAAAACCACGCCACAGGATTTGATACAAAAGAGAACCAGGCAGAGCACCCGTAGGGGTACAACAATTCATGTGTAAGATTTGGAGTATCTGTCAGCACCTTACACCAGTGTTTGTGGCTGACATTTCATAGGAAGTCTGGAGTTACGAGCTCAGGGTTAGGATCCAGGAGTAGTAGTTGATTATGAGTTCTCTCCGGGGCATCCAAACCAAGGAAGTTGCTATTCTCTGGTAGTGGCTTTGGAGGGAGGTTCTAGGTTCTTCACTCCATTTTCTGCTACGAAGGTGGAGAATTGGACAACCGACTATCACCATCTTTCAACAACATCATGTCTCCCATCTTGTCAAAAGGAGAAAAATCAAGGAAAGCAGAAAAAAAAGAGAAAATTAAAATCCCATCCCAAGGATTTGAACACAACCCCTAGCTTGTTCCTACCCTGATGATTACCAAATATACACACCTGACTGCCAGCCCTGAGTACTAAACTGCTTGAGTGAAATGTACATCCCAAGCTTAACATGACAAAATCAAGTTGCTCCTCCCACATTCTACCTTAACTCACGTAGTGACAAGTTCTGTCTAGCTTCTCAGGCTAAAACCTTGTGTCACTTGATTTTTCTCTTTTATACTTAAATGTAATCTGTCAGATAATCCTTTTGGTGCTTCCTTCAGAATGTGTACAGAGTTTGAGGAATAGTGCCTCTTCACTGCCACAACCCTGGGTCAAACTATAGCCAAGTATTGCAATAAATGTAACTCTCTCACATATAAGAGATCCAAGGACCTAATGCAAATAAAGCTCAACATACCACATGTTGAAATATTTAAAGCTTAAAAATGAAGCTAACAAATGTTTATTTAAAATATCTTCTATCCTTCTACTTTGAAATATAAGCATTTTTGTTGAAACAAATAGAAAATAAAGTATGGCTTTTTACATCACTCACAGTAAACAAAATATCAAAAGTGACTTCATTACTATGGTGTATGTCTAGGTGTCCTAGTAATAGGCAGGTGATATTTGGATGAGTAATAAGACAAAGACATTAATTCATAAATTACTCTATATTTATCCCATAAATGTTATTTTTAAAACTGAATTTCAGACAAATATGATATATTTTGTAATCAAGCTTTCCATACAGTACATGTTCTGTTGACAGTTCTGTCAAATTTGACCACCTTTGTTGAGTCATTGTATTTCTTACTAATTTTAAAAAATTAATTTCTATTTAGAGAAAGTTTTCTCAGCTGAATTGGCAGTAAGACTTGAAAATGCAGTAGTAATTTTATGATTAAGTTTTGGTTCAAATTGTAAGGGGGTTTGCATAAGATGCATTATTACTATTGCAGACAATATTGGAAGATACTGAAATTGTATATATAAACCAATGATCAGTTATATTGCCATTTCATCATCTCTTAAAATACTATTTTAGAATCTACATTCATTATGAATTTTCAGTCTAGACCTGCATTAATACAAATTTGGGTGATATGAGTTCTTATCCTTTAGCCATTAAATGTGCAACTTTTCCAAATGCCATGCAATTCATGAGTATCTCAAGAATGGTAAAATGAAACACAAAGAGAAAGTAGGAAAATGAATGCCCAGGACAACTGATATATAACACACTGTTATCTATGGTATTTGTGCTCCCCAAAAGGAAAGACTTGATAAGTTAAGTTGCATTTCTCTTAATCAAGCCCACCTGTTGCTCAACTCTTCCCATGCCAAACCCATGATAGCAGCAGTACAACCCAGTAAACCTGATGGTGTTTGGAGACGGTCATCTTTTGTTTGATGTGCAGAGGGTAAGAAGCATGGAGGTGAGTTTCTCAGGGTTCCTGAAGGGTGTTAGTCAAAGGAGCACATGTTTAAGATTACAGATTGTACTGAACCAGAAATGAACCCTGATCTCTAATCAAGGTGCTCTGAGTACTATAATAAATTTATACATTGTTGTGCTTGTTTTATGAAGAACTCTTTAAGGCATGGGTCTAGGGCAGGGCCCCTGTTGCATACATCTAAAGGCAGTATTGCCTATTTCCATCTTGGAAAAATAAAATTATTCATTTTTATTTTGAGGTGGGGTCCTGCTCTGTCAACCAGGCTGGAGTGCAGTGGTGCTAACATGGCTCACTGCAGCCTCACCTCCCAGGCTCAAGTGATCCTTCTGCTTCAGCCTCCTGAGTAGCTGGGACTACACATTCCTCCCACCACTCCCAGTTTATTTCTGCTTTTGACTCCTTTGATCAAAGCAATCCTGTTAAAAAAAAAAAGTGGCTCATCTTACCCCTCTGTGCAGAGTCTCTTGAAGCTCCCATCTTATCTGAAGTAGATGTTAAATCCTCACTGTGACCAGAAAGGCTCCGTGTGATCTGGCCCCATGTGTCCTCTCTGTCTTCATCTCCTGCCTTCTCCTCCACCCTTGCTCTGGACATTGGCCTCAACCCTTTTCAAATTCACCAGGCATTTTTCTACTCAGTACTTTTTACGTGCCATTCTATGTAGATGGCTCTGACTCCAGGCAATGGCGTATCTGGTTTTGCCTCTTTCAAACCTTTATTCAAATTTTTTTCAGGTGAGGCCTTCTTGGACCACTTGATTTTAAATTGCAATTCCCCTTCCCTGATCCTTGTCCCTGCTTTATTTTTGCTCTATAGCACTAATCACTGTCTAATGCGTTATGTATTTCATGTATTGTTCTTGTTACTTTTCTGTCTTCTCACTAGAAAGTAAGTTCCACCACGCCAGGGAGTTTTGCCTGTTTATTGTTCCATCCCCAGGGTCAGCATATTAAATATGTGTTCAATGAATCCAGATTGATAGGGTCCAAACAGATGTGATAGTTATAGATACCTCCACAAGGTGGTGCTCACAGATTATTTTTGCTTTTGGTTTCCATTTTAATTAATAATAAAAACAAACAAACCCCAAAGCCCTAGTCTGTTACAAAGTAAATAAAATATTGACTTAGATTTCAAAATTGAGAACCTGATTTCATAAAATACCATGTTTTATGTTTCAGTGTCAGAGAGCTACACATTTTTTTTTTCCTTGTTGGGACATAGGACTATTGGGCAGTTCTATACAGTTGCTATGAAAAACTTATAACTGTGGAAGGAGACCATGTATCCTGTCATCTGGATAAGATGCTCTTGAATGGAGTCCCAATCCACTTTTATCTCCCTCTTCAGTATAAAATGGGTCATCCTGAGTCCTGGGATAGAATATATTCCAGGTGTTAGTGCCTTCAGGAACTGCCTCAGCTGCAGAGGTGCCTCATTTGAAGTTATGCCCTTCCCAGGACAGTCCAAATCTGGTAACTCAGCAAGTTGGGTATATAAGGTCTGGCCATTTCAGTTCTCCAAGGCCACTTTGACAGGCCATATTTGCTCCAGAGCTCTCTGCTGGTTGGCCAAGTCTCTGCCAGGACTTACTGCAGCTCAACTTCTTCCCTGCCCTATTCTACCCAATTCTGCCTCCTCTTCTTTCCTTTCACAGGGAATCTGTGAACATCTTGCACTTCAAACGCTATCTCCACATCTGCTTTTGGAGATCCAACTGGTGACAATGAGGTGTAAAATGTGAGAGAAAGTGGTAGAGTGTACAATTTTGTGGACTACTTGTTTGTTCCCTTCTCCCTGACCTCTCCTTTGCTCTGGGCCAGAGCTGAAAGAAAAAATGAATACATTATTGGAAGATTTTGGCCTGACATTTAGGTCCAGAGAACCTCTGTTGTCTGACCGTAGTGGTTGACAGCACAGGCTCAAGAACAACATGTACTTAGTTAGAATTTCATTTACTGGTGATACGACTTGAACAAGACACTGAGTCTGTCTGCACCTCAGTTTCTTCATCTATAAAATGAGATTTTACTGTAATAAAGGAGTTTATGATTACAAAGCTCTTAGAATTGTGTCTGGCACATAGTAAGTGCAAGATAGGTGCTTGTTTAACAAATAAGAAAGCTAGCTTTATTCAAGTCAAATGTCAGAAAGGAGGCATTTTTTATATGGGTCGAACTCCTTTTCATAGTCAAGTGTGTATGAGTTTTTTAGCTGATGGACGTAGGACTGTTGAAGGAGGTAAAATCAGGACTGGTCTGGGCTCAGTGTAGGATCAGAGGTGATAGGATTGATTGAATTGTAGCTTTTCATTTAATCAAGGTCTTCCCATGGAACATCTAAATTATATAGACATAAAACTAGTGTGGTTTATGAAGGATACATTAAAATAAAGTGTTACTTCTTTGAAATGAGATTAAAATTTACTTGCTCTTCAAAATCACTATTAATAAAGTTTATATACCAAAGTGCATAGATTTGCCTTCATATTTAGGCACCCAGGGTCACTGTCTTGAATTGTCACGCTGATCACATGCTTTTTAGACACCTGAACAAGACACTGAGAGAGGGCCCACCCAAAGATGGATATTCTGCTGATCTGAAAGGTAATGACAGTGACAAATGAGACCTCCCAGTGGACCATAGTGAGGATTAGCAGCAGGAAATTGCATCAGCTCAGTGATTAAGGCAACATCAGCAGTCAGAAGACAGCAGCAGGGCAGGTGGCCTTGGTCTTGCTGCTGTCTCATCTGATCCGTCTCACAGGGTGATGAGTCTGAGATGTGTCTGCCTGGTCTGCAAACACAATATTCCCCTGCTTCCCCCAACTTTCTTTCTTTCTTCTTCTTTTTTTTTTTTTGAAAATAAATGAGCAACAAGAAATTTGGAACATCCAGATTATTCAATGTCAGAGCTATTGCCAAAGCAGCACGCCCACTCTCCTCGGATATTGAATGCAAGTTAAAATTGCCTCTGGCAAAAGGTTTTGTGAAGGCCTTCCTCATTCATTTTAATTCAAGAAAAATTAATGAGCACCTACTATGTACCAGGCACTAGGCTCAATGCCAGGGATACAAAGATAAATGAGATAATTTCTTGGCTTCAAGGAAGTCACAGTTGAATGAAAGAGGCATCTAAGTAACAGCAACGGTTGTTCCATCTTTTTTGTCTCAGGGATGGACGAGGACCTAAATGCCATGGCAATTATAGGAGAAATTGAGAAAACACTTGATCTAGCAAGTTGGTTGATTAATGTTCTAATTTCAACTGCTCCAAGGAGTATTAGGCAAGAATTTATTTCAAAATGTTCTGCCTCAGCAGAAGAAAAATGTTAAATAAAAATTCTAAGAACAACATTTTCACAATGGGGTGTTACCATGTGGGACTCTAAATCTTGTTTCTAAGACCTTGGATTGATAAGGAGAGAGAAGACTAAAGAACTGTATGGGGAAATTAGAAGTTGAAACCTGGCAGAGTCAAGGACCAAAGTAGGCAGAGGCATTATTGTCACTCTCACCTGAGCCTGGAAAGATCTCAATAATCATCTCACCAGCTCCTTTTGAGGGAAGGGAATCCAAAGCTTGTATGCTGTATCTCAAAATGTGTGGCCCAAGAACCCACAGATATATCATTCACATTTCCAATAAAGACTCCCGATTTTAAAAGTGAAATAAATTTTGGGGATATCACATATCAACAGAAAAAACACAAGTATTAAATGTGCAGCTTGATGACTCTAAACATATGACTATGCCCATTAAACCAAGACCATATCATTATATGGCTATTTTCCAGTACCTGGAAGTCTTCTTGTGCCCATTTCCAGTTAAATTTCCCACCCCACAAACATAGCCACTACTCTAATTTCTATTACCATAGGTTAATCTTGCATGTTTCTGAACTTTTTATAAATGAATTCATGCTCTTGCACATCTGCTTTCTTTCTTCAACATTCTGTCTGGGAGATCATCCATGTTGTTGTGGAGATCAGTAGTACTTAAGATGTTGAACATCTAATTGGTCATGCTGACTGGCCATTTGTGTATCTTCTTTTATGAAGTGGCAGCTCAATATTTTGGCCCAATTTTATTGGATCGTCAGTCCCTTTCTTATTGACATATAGGAGTTCTTTAGATTGTCTCCATACAAGACTCCTGTATTTTAATTTACTTCTATTGTTTTCTCCAAGTAGCTTAAGTTTGTTCCCTGAATCATCTTCTCCCTTTCATTCATTACCCTTAAGTTTCCAAAACTTTTGAACTTAAGCTTCTCTGCTGGCTTTCTACCTTTGTAGACCCCAAATTTGCATCCAAAAAAGTGAGTTAGATGTAATTGACTGAAAATCCTTTTAAAATTTTATCCTCTAATATTCATCTTTTTTAGTTTTTTAATTTTTTTATTATTATACTTTAAGTTCTAAGGTACACGTGCATAATGTGCAGGTTTGTTACATAGGTATGCATGTGCCATGTTGGTTTGCTGCACCCATCAACTCGTCATTTACATTAGGTATTTCTCCTAACACTATCCCTCCCCCAGACCCCACCTTCCAACAGTCCCTGATGTGTGATGTTCCCCTCCCTGTGCCCACGTGTTCCCATTGTTGTTTGGTTTTCTGTTCTTGTGATATTTTGCTGAGAATGATGGTTTCCAACTTCATCCACGTCACTGCAAAGGACATTAACTCATCCTTTTTTGTGGCTGCATAGTATTCCATGGTGTATATGTGCCACATTTTCTTTATCCAGTCTATTATTGATGGACATTTGGGTTGGTTCCAAGTCTTTGCTATTGTGAATAGTGCTGCAATAAACATACGTGTGCATGCGTCTTTATAGTAGCATGATTTATAATACTTTGGGTATATACCCACTAATGGGATTGCTGGGTCAAATGGTATTTCTAGTTCTAGATCCTTGAGGAATTGCCACACTGTCTTCCACAATGGTTGAACTAATTTACACTCCCACCAACAGTGTAAAAGCGTTCCTATTTCTCCACATCCTCTCCAGCATCGTTGTTTCCTGACTTTTTAATGACCACCATTGTGATGTGAGATGGTATTTCATTGTGGTTTTGACTTGCATTTCTCTAATGACCAGTGATGATGAGCATTTTTTCATATGCCTGTTGGCTGCATAAATGTCTTCTTTTGAGATATATAGACCAATGAAACAGAACAGAGGCCTCAGAAATAACACCACACATCTACAGCCATCTGATCTTTGGCAAACCAGACAAAAAGAAGCAATGGGGAAAGGATTCCCTATTTAAATAAAATGGTGCTGGGAAAACTGGCTAGCCATATGTAGAAAGCTGAAACTGGATCCCTTCTTTACACCTTACACAAAAATTAACTCAAGATGATAAATTAAAGACTTAAATATAAGACCTAAAACCATAAAAACCCTAGAAGAAAACCTAGGCAATACCATTCAGGACATAGGCATGGGCAAAGACTGCATGACTAAAACACCAAAAGCAATGGCAACAAAAGCCAAAATAGACAAATGAGATCTAATTAAATGAAAGAGCTTTTGCACAGCAGAAGAAACTATCATCAGAGTAAACAGGCAACCTACAGAATGGGAGAAAATTTTTGCAATCTATCCATCTGACAAACGGCTAATATCCAGAATCTACAAAGAACTTAAACAAATTAACAAGAAAAAAAACAAACAAACAACCCCATCAAAAAGTGGGCAAAGGATATAAATATTTATCTTTGGAAAGAAAATAAAGGCAATAGATAGAATATCTGATGGTAGAATTTCAGGAATTAGAAAACTGATGGAATTTTTTTTTATTATTTTTTACAGAGATTGGGAACAAGAATGGCCAATGAAAGCTATATTTTTATACCTCTGAAGTCCAACTATGCTGTAATGTCTTAAATTTTTTTTTAAATTTGGGATAATTAGCTTTAAGGGATGGGATGTTGACCAAAGGAAGAAAAAATTTATTCATCAATAAATGATGCTTCATTAAAAAAGAAAAGATTAAGGATTATATGGCTATTCCTGTGATATTGTGAGTAATATCTTCCTCTCCCCCACTGGATATTAGAAACAATATCACAGGTGAGGTGTACATTCCCTGCGATATTGGGAGTAATATCATCCTTCCCCCACTCCTTGATATTAGGAACACTATCACAGAGGGCGTGTCCATGCCCTGTGATACTGGAAGTAATATTATCCTTTTCCTCCCTGGATATTAAGAACAATATCACAGCGTGAGTATACACCTCCAGCGGTATTGTGATTAATATCAAACTCTTTCCCCTGGATATTAGAAACAATATCACAAGGGGTGTGTACACACCCTGCAATAATGGAAGTAATATTATCCTCTCCCCACCTAACTATCAGGAACAACATCACGGGGGGTGTGTACACCCCTTGCGATATTGGGAGTAATATCATCATCGCACCTGGATATTAGGAACAATATCACCAGAGGCGTGTACACTTCATGCAATACTTGGAATAATATCCTCTTCCCTACTGGATATTAGGAGCAGTATCACAGGGGAGGTGTACACCCCCTGGAATATTAGGAGTAATATAATAATCTCACCCTGGATATTGGAAACAATATAACAGAGGGTATTAGAACTCCTGCGATATTGAGAGTAATATCATCCTCTCCCCTCCCTGGATTTTAGGAACAATATCACAGGGGTGGTGTATACTCCCTGAGATATTAGCAGTAATATCAATTTATCCCCTTCTGCATATTAGAAACAATAACACTGTGGAGGTGTACACCCCCTGCGATATTGGGAGTAATATCAGCCTTTAGCCACCTGGATATCAGGAACAATATCAAAGGGGTGGTGTACCCCCCCCCTGCGATATTGGGAGCATTATCATCCTCTTCTCGTCTGGATATTAAAAACGATGTAATGGGGGGGAGTACACCCCTTGCGATATTGGGAGTAATATCATCCTAACCCCTTAAACATTAAAAACAATATCACAGAATGGGTTTACACCCCCTGCGATATTAGGAGTAATATCATCCTCTCCCTTCCTGGACATTAGGAACAATATCACAGGAAGGGTATATACCCCCTGCGATATCGGGAGTAACGTTATACTCTCCCCTCAGATATTAGAAACAATATTAGAGTGGGAGTATACACTTCCTGTGATATTGGGAGTAACATCATCCTCTCCCCCTCTGCATATTAGAAACAGTATCACAGGGTGGGTACACACCCACTGCGATATTGGGAGTAATATCAATCTCTCCTCTTCTGGATATTAAAAACAATATCACGAGGGGGTGTACACCCCCTAGGATATTGGGAGTAATATCATCCTCTCCCTCCCTTGATATTAGGAACAATATCACGGGGGGGTGTACACACCCTGCGATATTGGGAGTAATATCATCCTCTCCCTCCCTGGATACGAAAAACAATATCAGAATTAGGGTGTACACCCACTGTGGTATTGAAAGTAATGTCATCCTCTCTTCCCCTGAATATTAGGAACAATATTACAGGTGGGGTGTACACCCTCTGCAAAATTGACAGTAATATCATCCTTTCTTCACCTGAATATTAGAAACAATATCACAGGATGGGTGTACACCCCCTGCTTGGGAGTAACAACATCATTTCCCCCGCTGGATATTAACAACAGTATCACAGGGGGAGGTTACACTCCCTTTAATATTGGGAGTAATATCATTTTCTCCCCTCCTGAGTACTAGGAACAATATTACAGAGAAAGTGTACACCCGCTGCGATATTGGAAGTAATATATTCTTCTCTCCCTCTTTATATTAGGAACACTATCACAGGGGGAGTGTACGCTTCCTGCGATATTGGGAGTAACATCATCCTCTCCCCCTCTGGATATTAGGAACAATATCACAGGGTGGGTATACACCCATTGCGATGTTGGGAGTAATATCAACCTCTACTCTTCTGGATATTAAAAACATTATCACGGGGTGGGGAGGCTGTACATCCTGTGATATTGTTCCTAATATCCAGGGAGGTGTACAACCCCTGCAATATGGGAGTAATATAATCCTCTGCCCCCCAGGATATTAGGAACAATGCCACAGTGGATCTGTATGCCTCGTGCGATATTGGGAGTAACATCATCCATTCCCTCACTAAATATTAGAAACAATATCACAGGTGGGGTGTACACCCTGTGCGATATTGGGAGTAATATCATCTTCTCACTCCCCTGGATTTAGAAACAATATTACATGGGGGGTGTACACCTGCTGGGATATTGGGAGAAATATCATCCTCTCCCCCCTTGATATTAGGAACAATATGACAGTGGGGGTGTAAACACCCTGTGATATTGTGAGTAAAATCATCCTCTCCCCCCCTGAATATTAGAAACAATAACACACAAGGGGTGTACATCCCCCGCGATACTGGGAGTAATATCATATTTTCCCTCACTAAATATTAGGAACATATTATTGGGATATTGGGAAAAATATGATCTTCTCACCCCCTGGATTTTGAAACAATATCACAGGAGGTTGTACAGCTGCTACCATATTGTGAGTAGTATTATCCTCTTCCCCTCTGGATATCAGAAACAATATCACAGGGAAGGTGTACACCCCCAGCAATATTGGGAGTAATATTATCCTCTCTCACACCAGATATTAGAAAAAATATCACAGCGGGGGTGTACATCACTTGCAATATTAGGAGTAATACCATCATTTCCCCCACTGGATATAAGGAACAATATCACAGGAGGGGTGTACAGTCCCTACCATATTGGGAGTAATATCATCTTTTTCACCCTGGATATTAGGAACAATATCACGGGGGGGGGGGGGGTTACACCAACTGCTATATTGGGAGTAATATCGTCCCCTCACCCCTGGATGTTAGGAACAATATCATCCCCTCACCCCTGGATATTGGGAACAATGGGGTGGGGGTGAGCACCCCCCCGGGTTATTCAGAGTAGTATTATCCTCTACCCCCTTGGATATTAGGAATATTAACACAGGGGTGTTGTACACCCCCTGCGATATTGGGAATAATATCACCTTCCCCCGCTTGGATATTAGAAACAATATCACAGAAGGAGTGTACACCCACTGAGGTATTGGGGATGATATCATCCTCTCCCTCCCTGAATATTAGGAACAATAATCATAAGGGAGGTGTACACCCCCTGCAATATTAAAAGTAATATTATCTTCTCCCCATCTGGATATTGAAAAGCAATATCATAGGGGGGTTGTACACCCCCTGCGATATTTGGAATAATGTCATCCTCTCCCTCCTTGGATATTAGGAGCAATATCACAAGGTGGGTGAATACTTTCTGCGATATTGGGAATAATATCCTCTCCCCCCTTGATATTAGGAACAATGTCTCAGGGGAGGTGTTCACCCCCTGCGATATTGGCTGTAGTATCATAATCTCCCCCTGGATATTAAAAACAGTGTCATAGAAGGGGTGCAGACCCCCTCCGATATCGGGAGTAATGTCATCCTCTTCTTCCCTGGATATTAGGAACAATATCACATGGGAGGTGAACACCCCCTGCGATAATGGGAATTATATTATACTCTCCCCCCCTAAATAT
This sequence comes from Homo sapiens, assembly GCF_000001405.40. NCBI lineage: Eukaryota > Metazoa > Chordata > Mammalia > Primates > Hominidae > Homo > Homo sapiens. The sequence continues at coordinate 161,517,630 of NC_000003.12, forward strand.
TACGAACAATATCGCAAAGGGGGTATACACTTTCTGCGATATTGAGAGTAATATCATGCTCTTTCCCATGGATGTTAGGTACAATATCACATGGATGTTGTACAGCACCTGAGATATTTGGAGTAATATCATTCTTTTTCTTCTTGGGTATTAAGAACAGTATCACAGGGGAGGTGTAAACCCACTGCGATATTGAAAGTAATGTCATCTTCTTCCCACGTGGATATTAGGAATAATATATCAGGGGGTTGTACACCTCTGCGATATTGGGAATAATATCATATCCCCCACCTTGATATTAGGAACAATGTCATGGGGGAGATGTATCCTTCCTGCGATATTGGGAATAATATAATCCTCTCCCTTCCTGGATGTTACGAACAATATTACAAAAAAGGTGTGCACGACCTGCGATATTGGGTGTAATATCATCCTCTCCCCACCTGGATATTATAAACCATATCAGGGGTGTACACACCTCACGATATGGGCGATATGGGGAGTAATGTCACTCCCACTCCTCCTGCATATTACGAATCAGATAACGGGGGTGAACACTTTCCGTGATAGGGGGAGTAATATCACCTCTCCCCCCCCCCGATATTAGGAACAACATCACAGCAGGGGTGTACATCCCCTGCGATACTGGGCGTAATCATCCTCTTCCCCACTGAATATTAGGAACAATCTCACAGGGGGATGTACACCCCTGCGATATTGCAAGTAATATCATCCTTTCCCTTCCTGAAAATTAGAAACAATATCACAGAGGTGGTGTACACCCCCTGCGACATTGGAATTAATATCATCCTCTCCCCGCTGGATATTAGGAACAATAAACGGGGGAGGGGGGTGTACAACCCATGAGATATTTGGCGTAATATCCTCTCTTCTCCTGAATATGAAAAACAATATTACAGGGGGGGTTGTACACCCCCTGGGATATTAGGAGTAATATCATCCTCTCCCCCCTTGGATTAGAAACAATGTCATAAGGGAGGTCTACACCCACTGTGATATTGGGAGTAATATCATCCCCTCTCCCCTTGGATATTAGGAACAATATCGCAGGTGGGCTGTACAGTCCCTGCGATATTGGGAGTAATGTCATCCTGACCCCTCTGGATGTTAGGAACAATATCGCACGGGGGGTATCCACCCCCTGCGATATTGAATGTAACAAAATCCTTCCCCTCCCTGCATATTAGGAACAATATCTCTGGGACAGTGTACACTCCCTGTGATATTGGGAGTGAGATTATCTTCTCTTCCCTTAGGAACAATATCACAGGGGGTGTACACCCCATGCGATATTGGGGATAATATCATCCTCTCAGGCTCTGGATATTAGAAACAATATCACAGAGGGTGTGTACACTTGTAGGGATATTGGGAGTAATATCATCCTCTCCCTCCTTGGATATTTGGAAAAAATCACAGGGGGTTGTACATTTGCTGCAATATTGGGAGTAATATCATTTTCTGACACCCTGGATATTAGGAACTATATCACTGGGGGGGTGTACACCCCCTGCAATATTGGGAGTAATATCATCCTGCGCCCACCTTGATATTAGGAACAATATCACAGGGGGGTGTACACAACCGGGGATATGGGGTGTGATATTATTCTCCTTGCCCCTGGACATTAAGAGCAATATCAAATTGTGGGTGTACACCCCATGCGATATTGGGAGTCATATTATCTTTCCCAGTGAATATTAATAACAATATCACAGCGTGGGGCTACATCCCCTGTGATATTGGGAGTAATATCATCCTCTCCCCCCGATGATTAGGAACAATATCACTGCGGGATTGTACACTTCGTATGAAATTTGGTGTAATTTCATCTTCTCCCCTCCTGCATGTTAGGAACAATATCACAGGGGAGGTGTACCCCCCAGGCGACACTGGGAGTAATATCATTTTCTTTCCCCCAGGATATTAGGAACAATATCAAAGGGGTTGTGTACACTCCCTGATATATTGGGAGTAATATAATCTTCTCCTCCCCTGGATATTAGGAACAATATTACGGGGGGCGGGGTGGTGTGTGTCTACCCAGTGCGATATTGGGAACAATACCATCTCTCAAGTTGGATATTAGGAACAATATTTCAGGAGGGGTGTACACATCCTGTGATATTTTGAGTATTAGCATTATTCTCTCTCCACTTGGATATTAGAAATAACAGGGGTTGTACCTACCCCTGCAATATTGGGAGTAATTTCATTCTCTCCGTCCTTGAATATTAGAAAAATATCACAGGGATGTGTACACCCCCGGCGATATTGGGAGTAATATCATCCTCTCCACTCTGAATATTAAGAAAAATATTACAGAAGGCTGTACACCCCCTACGATACTGGGAGTAATGTCACCCTCTCCCCTCCTGAAAATTAAGAACGGTATCATGGAAGGGGTGTACACCCCCTGAAATATTGGGAGTCATATTATCCTCTCTTCCTTCTAAATATTGAAAACAATATTACAGGAAGGTGTACACCCTCTGCGATATTGAAAGTAATATCATCCTTTTCTGCCGTGGACATTAGAAACCGTATCACAGGGGGGTTATACACCCCCTCCTATATGGGGAGTAATATCATTCTCTCATCCCTGAATATTAGGAACGATATCATGGAGGGGGTGTACCTCCTTGTAATATTGGGAGTAATATCATTCTCTCCCCCTCTGGATATTTGGAACAATATCACGGAGGCGTGTACACCTCCTGCAATATTGAGAGTAATATCATCCTCTTTCTCCCTGAATATTAGGAAAAATATCGCACGGGGGCGTCCACATCTCCTCGACATTGGGAGTAATATCATCCTCTTGCATTCTGGATATTAGGAACCATATAACAGATGGGGTGTACACCCTTAGGGATATTGGGAATAACATTTTTCTAGGATACTACGAATAACACCACAGGGTGTACACACATGTTGTACACACACTGTGACATTAGGAGTAACTTCTCCCTAGGATATTATGAATAATATCATATTAATAATTATATCATATTAATTCATATACCATTCACATTATCATATTCATATATCATATAACAATATATTAATTATATCATATTAATGATATAATATATCATTATTCATATTAATGAATTATATCATATACTTAATATGATATAATTCGTAGTATCCTAGGGAGATGTTACTTCTAATATCACAGAGGGTGTATTCCCATTTATATTATTGGTAATATTCTACTGAGGTGTTACACCTAATGTCACAGTGGGGGTACACCATGTGAAATTATTCAAAATATTATAGGTAAAATGTTACTCCTAATTCCAAAGTAGATATTACAAAGGATTGTACAATCCCCGCGATATGGGGAATAATATCACCCTCTCACCCGCGGATATTACGAACCATATCCAGACGGTTGTACACCCCCCGAGATACGGGGAGTAATATCACCTCTCACCTCCTGGATATTATGAACCATGTCACAGGGGGGTGTACACCCCCCGCGATATGGGGGGTAATATCACCCTCTCCCCCCTGGATATTATGAACCATATCAGAAGGGGGCGTACACCCCCTACGATATGAGGAGTAATATCACCCTCTCCCTCTCTGGATATTAAGAACCATATCACACATCACTGGTTTCAGGACTATTTCAAATGACTGACCATTAGTGTCTTATCGCCAGTCTGGGAATCTCACGGTGCAATATTCTAGGGAGACTTGTTACCTTAGAAACAGGTGCTAATATTGCAATAATGATTCGCTAGAAAATTACAAAGCATATCTAAGAAGTTAGTGAATAATATTAAATTGGGAAGTGGAGCCTAGCATCTTTTGGGCAGGAGAATTATTTAAGATGCCCTTGAAAATGAGGGTAAGAAACCACAGAAAGAATAAGAAAAAACATCAGTGAAGGCAATTTATGTGATAAGAGGGAGTTAAATTAGTGGGGAAAAAAAGGGAAAATTTCCAGTACCTTCCAGGTGCTTTCACAAGTACCTGGAAGGCTTCTTGTGCTCACTTCCATTTAAATTACCTCGCTCCACAAACACAGCCACCACTCTGATTTCTATTACCATAGATTAATTTTCCATGTTCCTGAAGTTTTTATAAATGGAATCACACAGTCTCTTTCATGTCTAGCCTCTTTCCTCAACATTCTGTTTAAGAGAATGTCCATATTGTTGTGGAGATCAGCAGTACTTAACATGTTGAACATCTAATTGCTCATGTAGATTGGCCAAATCCAAGGAGTTTCTACTCATCTTAAAGCTGAGACTATGCTTGAAAATAAAACATGGTTCTGAGTCCAGCCTTAGTAAACGGGGTATTTAGTCCACAACTCTAAAACCAGCTCTCAGGTTTGTGAATCTCAGTCTGTTTCTGCCACAAATATTTTACTTGTCCAATATTTATTGGTCAATTTCTGTCAGGTATTGTGACAGATCATACAATTTTGTAAAATCATCAATTGAGAAATTTATTAATTATGAGAACAGAAGAGAGGTTGAAAACAGTCTAGGAGTATTAGGGGAGCTTTTGTAATCATTTATTTATCCATATATTAAATATTTATTGAGCGCCTACCTCATGCCAATCATGCTAGATGCTGAAGATACTGCTTTGAACAAGACAGATATGCCTTTGCCTTAATGGAGCTGCAATTCCAGTGAGAAAGAGAGGAGATGACATTAAAGGAGGTCTTGAAGGATCCATTAAGTCCTTATGCGAAAAAGCAAGAAGTGTCATTGCTAGCAGAGATTCCTATAGGTAGAATTATAGAGTATAGAAAGAGGTTGATACATTTGGAAAACTACAAATAGTGACATACGGCTGGAATTCTGATAAAGAGCAAGTAGAGTAGATTCTTCCAAAAATGTTGCACCTAAAATCTACCACTGGCTAGGCTAGCTAAGCTAACTGTCCATCTGTCTATCTGTCTGTCTATCTGTCTGTCTATCTGTCTGTCTATCTATCTATCTATCTATCTATCTATCTATCTATCTATCTATCTATCTATCTGTCTATCTACCATCTATCTCACCTATTCTGTGTATGATGTGATAAACACTGGGGGAATTCATAGAGAGAGGAATGTGACAGGGCCTCCATCCTTAAAGGTGCATATAATAGAATGTAGAAACCTCATATCCAAATGGTATTATTAGGGTGAAAGAAGCTGGTAGATGGATTAAAATGGAAGGAGCTAGGTTCAGGGTTCAATTTGGCTGTATGACATTATGAAAATAGGATTTTGAACTTTTAATAGAGGTTTTCCTTCCCTTACCCTCAGTTGTTCAATAAAAGTTTTGGGCTGTTCAGCTCTACCAAAAAGTGTCAGAGCAGAAAAAAGACAAGCCTGTTAATGTGTCAAGAACAAAATGGCTCTTTGGGTTTCCAATGGACTGTTTTCTTCTCAAATAACCTTTATGCGTTAGGTTCAAAAGGGCCAATATAGGGTTACATTTATTATACCCTCTTAAATGCCTTTCAGAAGCATTGGGTATACATTAGCTCTTTCTGTAGTAACAAACAACCTTTAAATTTCAATGGCTGACAATGAGAGACATTCTTTCTCACTTATTTGTTTACAAGTTGGTTATAGTTTTGCTCAGCTCTGCTTGGCTCTCCTGAACTGGGCTCTGGGATGTGAAGTGGGGTCAGGTCTGTTCCGTGTATCCTTTAATTCTGGGACCTAGGTGGAAGAACAGACATTATCTAGAAAGATTTTCTTCATGGCAGGGGGCTGAAGCTTAAGCAAATGGCAGAAACTTGCAAAGCCTCTAAGAGTTTCTGCTTGGACATGATATAAATCATGTTCACTCATATTCCATTTCCAAAGCAAGTCTTACAACCAAATCATAACTGAGCTGAAAGGTATACCTCTTTTTATGGGGCAAGGGCAAGAGAAAGTAGCATAAATCTTTGCCAATCAGTACAATCTACCATGAAGTATATATTTATGCACTTGTTTGTAAAATAACTTCTTCAAATAAACTAGAATATCTCTCAGAAGTGTTGTCATCAAAAGCTATTAGAGAACACTACATTTCAAAGGAAATGTTCTTTCTAAGATTTTCTTTCATGTTACATTAGGAGAGTTGATAGCAGAATTTGATACTTAATAATGATCTGAAATACTTGACTTGGGGTAAGACTGCTACAGGATGAAAGTCAAATTCAGGCTCTGAAAATTTGGGAATATCTATTTGTGAGAACTATTTTTGCAGTTATTCATTAATTTAGAATTGATGTGACAATATTAGTCACTCAGGTATTATAGTGACCCATGCAACTTTACACATGGAAATACATGTTTTTGGTGGGGAGCTGGGATAGGGTGGGGGAGATAGTGAATGTTTTATAATGTAGATACATCTAATTGCTATGTTACTGACACAATCTTTATGTTTTGTTTGACTGAACAGGGTGTGTTTCTTACAAGTGCTTTCCCCCTACAAATTCAGGTGACATATTGCTGTGATTTGTACTCCAACAAATGACAGAAGTAGTCATTTTCCCTGTGTGTGTGAAAAGCATAAATCAGTCCTTGCAATGGGACTGTGATATGTGAACATCTAAGTTAAACTTGGTTATAGAATTATGAGTTAAATTTAGAACATTTAAAGGCAGTGTATTTTGCGTGGACATTTGAGTGGCTGTAGGACATTACATGGCATGATGAAAACATCACATTTTCTCTTCTTTCTTGTACTTTTATGCTTTATGTCGAATTAGGTGTTGCTCTTAGTGTGCAATGATGATTATTTCATATTATTATTCACACTTCTGCAGCTCCAGTGAACACTACTTAAAACCAAGCCATTGAGTAATTTCAATAGACTTCGAGATCACAATGTACTTCTCTAATTAAGAAGTATTACTGTGTACCATGCTGAGACAGACCTGCAATTCAGCACACGGCACTTCATCCTGTTACGGGGTTAGATTAATACTGTTTTTAAATACAGATGATATAAAACATTCCTGGAGAAAAGTGCTTTTCAGTATTCTTGGAGCAACTATGAAGTTGGTGAGGGGATAGAATAAAAAAGAGAAAATAAGTTTGATCTTCTATCTAATGAGTGAAATTAAAGCCCTCATTAAGAAATTATTACAAGGTCTTTGGGGCCCAGCTGCATCTCTTTTTCCATCCTCCTTTTTTGGGTTTTGGCTTTTGTAGTAGTTAGGGTCCTTTCAGCTGCAATTAATGAGAAACCAAATTCAGCCAGTAAGAAAATTTATTATCTTCCATAACAGCTGGTCAAGAGGTGGGATGGAGGGCCCTGTCATGAGGATAGGAAGGGTAGAGCTCTATTTCTCTGCTATTCTCTAGGTTCTTTGCTTATCTCTGTTTTGTGTTTATTCTTAGGCTGACTTCTCTCATTGTATTAAGATGGCTGCTAGCAACGGCCAAGGAAATATGCTTCCTTGATCCTATCCAGAAGAAGATAATTCTCCCCCAGTGTTTCAGAAATGTAAGTTGTTACCCAATATTCATTCTTCCTTGTTATGTACTGATAGAAGATTTTGCTGGAAGCAAGGCTTTCCCACTGGAGATGACATTTTTCCAGCCTCTGTTCTATTTGGATATAGTCAGGAGATTCGAATTCTTGCTAATGGAAGGTGATGAAAGCAATGGGGTCAACTTTTGGTTACATTCTGAATGGAAGGAGAATCCCTTCCACACATATAGTGTAAGGAAGGGGTCCAGTTTCAGACTTCTGCATATGGCTAGCCCATTATTCCAGCACCATTTATTAAATAGGGGATTCTTTCCCGATTGTTTTTGTCAGGTTTGTCAAAGATAAGATAGCTGTAGGTGGTTTTATTTCTGGGTTCTCTATTCTGTTCCATTGATCTATGTATCTGTTCTTGTACTAGTACTATGCTGTTTTGGTTACTGCAGTCCTGTAGTGTAGTTTGAAGTCAGGTAGTGTGATGCCTCCAGATTTGTTCTTTTTGCTTAAGACTGTCTTGGCTATTTGTGTTCTTTTTTTGTTCTATATGATTTTTTAAAAAATTTTCTCTAGCTGTGTGAAGAACATCACTGGTAGTTTAATGGGAATAGCACTGAATCTGTAAATTGCTTTGGGAATTATGGCCATTTTCATGATATCGATTCTTCCTATCCTTGAGCATGGAAGTTTTTCCATTTGTTTGTGTCAAATCTGATTTCTTTGAGCAGTGGTTTGTAGTACTCCTTGTAGAGATCCTTCACTTCCCTTGTTAGCTGTATTCCTAGGTATTTTATTCTTTTTGTGGCAATTATGAATGGGAGTTCGTTCATGATTTGGCTCTTGGCTTGACTACTGTTGATGTGTAGGAATGTTAGTAGTTTTTGCACATTGATATTGTATCGTGAGACTTTGCTGAAGTTGCTTATCAGCTTAAGAAGGTTTGGGGCTGAGATAATGGGGTTTTCTAGATATAGGATCATGTCATCATCAGATAACAGGGATAGACTGACTTACTCTCTTCCTATTTGAATACTTTTTATTTCTTTCTCTTGCTGGATTGCCCTGGCCAGAACTTCCAATGCTATGTTGAATGGGCGTGGCGAGAGAGGGTATCCTTGTCTTGTGCCGGTTTTCAAGGGCAATGCTTCCAGCTTTTGTCCATTCAGTATGATATTGGCTATGGGTTTTTCATCATAAATGGCTCTTATTATTTTGAGATACGTTCCTTTAATACTTAGTTTATTGAGAATTTTTTTAACATGAAGTGATGTTGAATTTTATTGAAAGTCTTTTCTGCATTGATTGACATAATCATGTGGTTTTCATCTTTAGTTTTATTTATGTGATGAATCACATTTATTTATTTGCATATATTGAACCAACCTTGCATCTTGGGCCTAAAGCCTACTCCATCGTGGTGGATAAACTTTTTGATGTGCTGCTGGATTCGGCTTACCAGTATTTTGTTGAGGATTTTTGTTCATCAAGGATATTGGCCTGAAGTAAGACTGCTCAACTGGGGTCTCCAGCTTTCAGGCTTTCTGTATCACTTTAGGTCATGTGCTCATTCTTAGGTCAGAAATAGACTCTAAGGATGAGCTCTCCAGAGTGTTGATTGGCTCAAGCCTAGATTCTTGGACCAATCACTGGCAAGAGAGTTTCTGAATCAATCACTGACAATACAATGATTGGTTAAGATTAACCAGGACCCACTCCTAGAACAGGGACCCACTGGAGTCAGCAAGGGTTGGGTCATGTTGAAGGTTCTATTTGGAGGAAATGATAAGTGGTTAATCCAAAAAGTTCGTTAGAAGCATGTCTCTCTTCAGAGTATCTGACAAACTGAGGGCTGAGAAAATAAAAATTAATGAATTCAGTCAACTTTGCTTCTCAGATTGCTGGAGGGTATAGACTAAATGGTGCGTGTTATTTCAGATTTAGGATGTTTTGTTTTCATTTGTTAATATGTATGAGTGAACATATATTTGCATATGGGTGTTGAGGGATTGATCCATATTGCTGTGTGTAGGGTAGGCAAGGTTTTATTTTCTCTATGTCTTGCCACTTCAGAAAGCCTTGCTTGGCTATTAGCTAAAGATTGGTATAACTGTTTTCAACAGGATTCAGGAACATAAAACAAGTCACCTCTATTAGATTATTAGTCTAATGACAGTCTAAATAGTTCAAGAGCCCAAGAACTGCTTGACTATCCACTAGCACTGTTTTTTTTTAGAAGGAGTTTCACTCTTGTTGCCCAGGCTGGCATGCAGTGGCACGATCTTGGCTCACTTCAACCTCCACTGCCCAGGTTCAAGTTTCTCCTGCCTTAGCCTCCTGAGTAGCTGGGATTACAGGTGCCCGCCACCACCCCTGGCTAATTTTTGTACTTTTAGTAGAGATGAGGTTTTGCCATGTTAGCTAGGGTGGTCTCAAACTCCTGATCTCAGGCGATCTGACCACCTCGGCCTCCCAAAGTGCTGAGATTGAGCCATTGCACCCAGCCTAGCACCCTTAACTAATGCTTCTGCTTGAGGATAAGATGGAGAAGGGTATTATCTAGATGGAGAGAAGGAGGGATGTATTTTGCAATTTTACCTGGTGTCTGCACCGTCTATACTATTGAAAGCCATCTTGATCAACTGTCCTGAGTGTCATATTTACCTGACCAAGACCTTAACATTTTCATAGCTCATGAAAGACAAGGCTCAACAACTTAAGTAGACTGTTGACTGCATAGGAAATTTCTGGAGAAGAAGAAAACACAAAAAAAGACTAGGAACTTTGCATTAAATTGTTTCAAGCCACTACTTTCACAGAGGTAAAGATAGTGAACTCTAGGATCCAACTGATGGTGTCATAATTCTGCTTACTCTCCTTACTGATTGTTTGAATTTGAATGATTATTTTATTTTCCTATGCCTCAGTTTTCTTCTTGTTAAAAAAGCTATGGTGATACCTACCTTGTGGGTGAGGGGGCTTTGAATGAGAATACACGTAAGGCATTTAGCACTTGTTACATAGGAAAGCTATTGTCACAAAAGTCCATATGGGTCACATGGACTTTTTTACTATCATACTAAGGTTCTTTACAACGACTTCTTCAACAGCTTCTTTTCCAGCAGTTTCTTCAATTTGAAGACCATTCAGGTGACATAGAAAAAGATAGAATTTGTTGGGGATCCCATTTTTCCTAGATACCAGCCCTCAGTGACATTGACTGGAAACTTTCCTTGTCCCAGATTCCATGTATAAAGAAGTTAAACACACATATATGTGAGCGTGTGGACGCAAGCGTGCACACACACACACACATACCCTCCTTTAGAAGGGATCAATTCTCAGGTGATTATGGTTTAACTGCAGCATGCCACCAGCTGGGCAGCATGCATCTAAATGACATTTTAGCCAAGGTTTCTGAGAAGATGAAATAGCAATGACTTTCTCTACAGGCATTAGATGGCGGTGACTGGAGGGAGATTTGTTAATGAGCCAGTTGATTTCAGTTCAATATAAGGAAACACTCTCTAAAAATTACACCTGTCTGAAAATTTAATTAGATGCTCATAGTCGTGTTGAGTTCTATTTCATTGGAGGTTTACAAGTAGAAGATGCACAATCATTTATCAAGGATATGATTGAGAGACTCACACATGGAATGCATGGTTGGACTAAGTAACTGCTTGTCTTACATCTACTTCTGAGATGCTCTGACTATGTCTTTAACTCCTATTCTTGTCAACATAAACAGGACCTTCATTTGGTATTTGATCTATTAATAAACCGTAATAATCATTGTAACTCTTCACTTGGTGAATTTTCAATGCTGGTCAGAATGTGTCATTCCTGGCCGGGCGCGGTGGCTCACGCCTGTAATCCCAGCACTTTGGGAGGCCGAGGCGGGCGGATCACGAGGTCAGGAGATCGAGACCATCCCGGCTAAAACGGTGAAACCCCGTCTCTACTAAAAATACAAAAAATTAGCCGGGCGTAGTGGCGGGCGCCTGTAGTCCCAGCTACTTGGGAGGCTGAGGCAGGAGAATGGCGTGAACCCGGGAGGCGGAGCTTGCAGTGAGCCGAGATCCCGCCACTGCACTCCAGCCTGGGCGACAGAGCGAGACTCCGTCTCAAAAAAAAAAAAAAAAAAAAAAAAAAAAAAAAAAAAAAAGAATGTGTCATTCCTTGGAAAGGCCAGTCATTAGAACTACTCATTCAAGGACAAAGCTTAATTGCTCTCAAACTACAGTTATTGAAGAAGTCGTTGAAAAGAACCTTAGTATCACAGTAAAAAAATAATAATAAAAATGAAAATTGATGAGGTTAAGTGAAAAGTAAACACAGTCCTTTGGAAATAATTTTAAAAATCCATGCATTTACTTTTACTCAATGCAAAAACAAGGCAATTGCAAGATTTCTGACTTTCTAATTATACTGTTGCCACATATTTTAACTTTAATGTTTTGAAGAGTCTTGGATGAAATTGTTTTAATTGAGGCCAATTCACTTTTTGGTTATTATTTATAATTAGGTAGAATTTTCCCTTAATGTAATTTTGCTAGAGCCTTCAAAACACCCAAAAGAAAAGCTAGCAGTATATGCAATTAACAGTTATTTATACAGCTCTATTTTCTCATCTAATGAGCTTAGCAATAAAAAATAAACGGGACACTTTGGAAGGCTGAAGCGGGCAGATCACCTGAAGTCAGGAGTTCAAGACCAGCTTGGCCAATATGATGAAACCCGTCTCTACTAAAAATACAAAAATTAGCCAGGTGTGTGGTGGGTGCCTATAATCCCAGCTAGTTGGGAGGCTGAGACAGGAGAATCACTTGAACCCGGGAGGCAGAGGTTGCAATGAGCCAAGGTTGTGCCACTGCACTCCAGCCTGGGCAACAAAGAGCAAAACTGAGCAAAACAGTCAAAAAAAAATCAGATAAAAAAATAAATAAAGGGGAGGACCATCACTCTGTGGTAGGTGTCTTGCACACAGAATCTTATTTAACTTCTAACTAACCTGGTGAGATAGACATTTAATATAATTTAGAGATAATACCTTTCTGAGGTTCAGAAATATCATGTGTCTTGTCCATGGGCATTAAACAGGTATATGTGGGAGCCAGAATTTTGTCTTAGAGTTTCTTGAATACAATAGAATCCATTTCTGTTACTGTGAGGTGGAGGCCTTCCCCCCTCAACCTCAAATACCTTCACAACTAGGCAGGAATGTCAATGCATGACTTTGTGAGTTAGGTGGCAGATAATATAAGTCATGTAGAGGTTGAACTAGAGGGTGAGTATTTTGCCTAAAAGTACTCAAATTAAATAAACAAAAACTATTTGGCAGCTAAATAAACTCATCTCCTAGCCCTATCAGACATGCATGCCAAGAGTTTGCAATCTCTAAAATGTTGAGGATACAGCCATGCATGAGCGTGAAAGCAAGTCTAGTTATGCTTTGCCTTGAAAAAGTCAAGGAAACTGTGGATGTCAATAAATTTGGATCTTATTCCATTGTTTTCCTCAAAACTTAAGACTTAATTCTCTGATTGTCAAAGTTAAACTAGTTCTTAAATCATTTATATATGCCTCATTCTCAGTACACTTAAAAAAAATCATTGTGTAGTTCCACAAACAAGATGGCAGTGGCACGGTAGGGAAGTTAAATCATATTTTTGACCCAAAACGCCATGATCTCTTCTATATATGTTACTGATTAGCTCTCTTCTTTTGGTTATTTTGTTCCCAAAGTGCTACTAAAGAATTTACAACTATAGAATCTTTTAAATGCAGTTTAGAGCAGAAACTATTAAGGCGGCAAAAATAGAATTAGGAAAAAAAAAACCCACATCAAGTAATGGAGCAGTTAAGATGTTCTAATTAAAGTTATAATTGTAAATTGAGTGCATAAAGATAACTTAAAATTTTTCTCATCTGGGCATTTTTTCATCTGTATCTTATTTCTTTATACCTGATACTTAAATTTCCATGTCTTGATGAATCTATGCCAAACCCTAAATAAATTAACAGGAGTTTTAAAATGAAGCTTTTTAGAAATGCCATAATCAAGATAATAATAAAGGCATAACTTTTATATAGGTTTTTCTGTGCTGGCTGTTACTTCAAAGTGCTATTCAAAATTCTTCTAAAACATAACTTCTCCTTTGATAAAGTAAATTTCAACACAACTCAGTAATTTTTTGGGTTATCCACAGTTTTCTGTCAGGGCCCTTTATTCTTTCTTTCAAACTCTTTTGTCCCCTCCTCACTTTGTTTTCTTCACTCTTAGTAGATAATTTTGCTGCACTGGGACTTAAGAAAATAGAAACCTTTAGGCAGCCACTTTATTACCTTTCTTTCCTTCTATAGTTAAAAACACATAAACTATCCCCATCGTTTCTCCCTGTTTTAGAGGGAGAGGTGGCCTCTTTGCCTTCCAGCTGACTTGTTCTTGGCATTCTGTCTCCTCCTGCTTCTCCTTGCTGACTTCACACCTCACTTTTCCCGTCTCTCAAATTTTTGAATGCTCCATGTTTTCCACTGTTTTTGCTGGAGCCTAAAAAGATGGCCTTGTATTCTTCACACAAAAAAGGAGTCATTGTCACATCTCCCTACCCACTTTGACACCAGTCTTGTCACTCAGTCCCTTCACTCCAGTTCATATTTACCTTTCCTTTTTTTTTTTTTTTGCATACCGCCAACCTACAAACATGCATTTGAGAGGTCATTTTAAAGGAAAGCAAAAACCAAACAAATAAGAATAACCAATGGCCTTTGCACCCTTCCAAGCCTTTCCCTATATACATGTGTATTGTTTACAACTTGTACTCATAGAATAAAATGATTCTGTATCCTGCTTTTTTTCACTGACTGTAATGCCTGGTACATTGTGAGTACTCAGTGAATATTAAATAGATGAATGCATATGTTAAAAAATTTATTTATTTTTTTACATTGTATCAGCTATCTATAGCCACAAAGGACTGTGCAGCAAAAAACCACAAAACCTCTGTGACATGCAACAGTAAACCTTACAAGTCCATAGAGTTAGCTACTCTCAAGTGGGCTCAACTGGTCTCCTCTGGGCTTTCTCTGGTGTTAGCCTTGGGCCATCTAGGCAGGTCTGTTGATCTTGCCTGGGCTGCTTCATGCATCTGGGGATTGCCTGGTAGTCGAGTGTTTAGAATGGCCTCAGCTCAGACAACTGGGAAGACTTGACTCCACTCCACTCCCCATGTCTCAGCTCCAGCAGGCTAGCCTTGAATTATTCTCGTGGAGTGGCCAAAATGTCAATGTGAGGAAAAGTACTATTGGAAAATACTTTTCAGGACTTCTTGTGTGATGCTAACTGACATCTCATTGTCCAAGATGAGGCGGATGTCTGAACGCAGAATCAAGGGGCAGGGAAATAGATTTGCCTCTTTGTTGAGAGTAACTGCAAAGTCTTATGGCAAAGAAAGTGAATACAGTAAAGGATTAAAAAAATGGGGGTCATGAATACAATCAAGTTACTATACATATGATCTTCAGATTGATCATTTAAATCTGATTTGTGTCCATTATTATTTCCTTTTTTAAATATATTTTTTAGACAGTCTTACTCTGTCACCCAGCCTGGAGTACAATGGTGTGATCTCTGCTCACTGCAACTTCTGCCTCCTGGGTTCAAGCGATTCTCCCTGCCTCAGCCTCCCGAGTAGCTGGGATTACAGGCTCCCGCCACCACGCCTGGCTAATTTTTGTATTTTTATTAGAGATGAGGTTTCACATGTTAGCCAGGCTAGTCTCAAACTCCTGACCTCAGGTGATCTGCCCACCTCGGCTTCCCAAAGTGCTTGGATTACAGGCGTGAGCCACTGTGCCCGGCCATTTTTTTTTTTTGAGACAGAGTCCTGCTCTGTCACCGAGGATGGAGTGCGGTGGCGCAACCTCAGCTCACTGCAACCTCTGCCTCCTGCCTTCTGGGTTCGAGTGTTTCTCATGCCTCAGCCTCTTGAGTAGCTGGGATTATAGGCACATGCCACCACCTGTGGCTAATTTTTAATAGAGACGGGGTTTTGCCATGTTGGCCAGGCTGGTCTTAAACTCCTGGCCTCAAACTATCCACCCACCTTGGCTTCCCAAAGTGCTGGGATTACAGACGTGAGCCTACACACTCCGCTAGATTTGTGTCTATTATTATTTCCTAAACATTTCCCAATTAGTAGGGTTGCTTTACTTTTTTCATTTTGATAAAACATTTCTACTATAAATAGTCCTAAGTACATCACTTTTTTTCTCTTATTCTTTCTTGTTTCAGTAAGTGGCTGAAACCTGCCAGAGATTGTTTTTCACACATAGCAAGTTTGGAGGTTATGTGGTGGCCATTGGCATTGATTTAGTGATTTGCTGATTTCAAGGCCAATATCTCTACAATATTTTTGGGCTTTCTCTTATGTTCAGGAGATGAATGCTATAGCTACAACTACCATTTTTTTCCATTCAAAGCAGGGAAAAGGAAGCATAAAAAGTAAACCTAGCAGACTTACCCTTTCATTTCTTGACTGGAACTATGACATATGACCACACCTCACCAGAAGATAGCACTGGAGGAAGGATTGGGCTGGGGGATGAGCCAGTGACCTCACATGTCTGCCACATGTAAGATGTAGTCCCAAGAGTGAGCTGATCAGGTCCAGGTACATGTTGTTTTTCAAAAGGATTTTTTCCAGTTCATAATGCCATTAGCAATAGCCCTTTATCACACTTTACCATACCTTCAACAACATTCTTTGAATACTAATGAGGCTGAACATTAACCATATGCTCCTTAATAATTTTTCCTGAAATATTTCCATTTATATTCTTCTTTTTCTTTTTAAGTTATGTTCTTCTACACTTAGAAAAAAAAAGCTCTTTAAAAAAATATTAACTCTCTTTGTCACATCTATTGCCTGTTTCAATTTTTCCTTTTAGTTTTGGAAGTTCTCATTTTAGAGATATTTAAAATTTTGTATACAATCATTCCACAGAGAGTTGGTTTCTAGAGGACTGCTGCTAGTCCATAAGACATCTTAGTATGAAACAGAAAAAGCCATCTCTTCCACGAGACATTTTATTTCCATATGTTAGAAAATTGTCAAATCATTATGATTTTGTTAGAGCAAGCCACTTGACTACCATCTTTTAGAAATATTTCTTAATAAATATACAACTCTACAATTCCTGTATATGGATGGTACCTCTGTAGATGTGTCCTCTGAGGTTATGTGTGTAAACTTCCTTCGCAGAGCATACACACCTAGTTTCTAAAAAGTCAGAGAAGATTCATGCGAATGACTAAGTTGCACAAAAAGATTATTAAGAATTGGACTCTGTGGGAGACTAAAAATAAGACATAATTGGCTTTGGAATCAATTAAAGTCATTAAAAAGGTGTCTGTTCAAAGATTTCCTACTTTGAATTAACTAAAGATAAATTTAAGAGTATATTGCAGTTACTGACAGTAATAATAGCATATGAGGTTATCAAACTGAGTTTAAAAGGGAAAAAGTAATGTATGCCATTGATTTCTATGTTTTAATATAAAAGCTTTCTTCAGGTTAAGGTAAACTTTAACATTGCATTTATAAACTGTATATTTCAGTATGCACTCTGAAGGTGTAAAAAACTGTATACTAAGCTTTTATTGTGATTGTTCATTAATAAGTTACATAATTTTGGGAAATCGCTTAATTTCTATGAGCCTCTGTTTCTTCATCTGTAAAACAGAGATAATAATGTTGGGATTGTGTAGCTTATAAGGGTGTTATAACAATTATTTTTAAGGCATTTAATGAAGTCAAAAGGGCCTAAGTCATTTAAATAGGCTCCAAATGGAAAGTATAATTCTTACAATACATTTAACTTTATAAGGTGTTACATTTGCTTACTTGATTTTAAATGATTGAAGAAGAAAGAAGAAATATTTTGGCTGAAGTTAAAAAGCAAGAATGTAAAGTGAATTATAGATCCTCTGTAGCTGATACATTGAAAGATCAGTCTGGCATGATGACATGATTTGGTGAAGCAAGCTTGATATAAAAGAGAAAAGCTTCTTCTCTAATAGTAACTGTAAACCGAGTCTTTCAAAAATTATTTAATTTGGCACTAAAGTAAAGGACACAATATCTACAGCCTATTTTTCCTCTTGTTTAGACCTCGAGTTTTTCTCTGTCTGTCTTTAGCTATCTCAGACATCGCTCATTGATTGATAGATATGAATATTTAAAAAAAGATATGATTGAGGCAGTTTGAATCTTCAGTGTAAATAGTTTTGTCTGGGTCTATATAGAAAATATCCTTTAAAAACACTTAGTAGCTAAATCAAAAAATATGTATATATATAGAAATTTATTTACCTAAACTTGTTGGCTAGTGAAGGATTTTAATTCCACTGTAATTTTCTCAGGGGCAACTTCTATGTTTGTCAGTTACTTAAAAGGACAAAAAATACATTTTAGAAACATTTTAAAATTTGATTTTAGCAGAAATCATTTTAATAACTCTCTATTCTGTGATGAGCTGGAATTACAGTACAGCTTGAGGTATTTTTCTTTTCCATGCTTTCTCAGCCGTAAAAATGGGTCCAG
This sequence comes from Homo sapiens, assembly GCF_000001405.40. Classification (NCBI taxonomy): domain Eukaryota; kingdom Metazoa; phylum Chordata; class Mammalia; order Primates; family Hominidae; genus Homo; species Homo sapiens. The sequence continues at coordinate 161,535,700 of NC_000003.12, forward strand.
GTTCTCCCAGCGTTCCGTGCTTCACAGAGGGAGGAGACTAACATAATCAGGAATGGTGAAAAGTTGGTGGATGCCGTCACTGGAAGAAAAAAGATTAGGCTACAACTGGAGATCCATAAGTAGCTTACAGAATCTTGCTTTTAAAGGCTATTATCATTATAAATGTATCAGTTACTTTCAGTTGATATACACTTAGAAGTTTTACTATAATTTTTGTTGGAGCAATAATAGTCACCACTGTAGAGATAAACTCTAAGCTGACAAATGATCTGCTTAAAACAAGAGGATCTGATTTATATCTAGTTCCAAACCACAGTGTGATAATATTTTAGCTTTAGGAGTAGTATCGTTACAGTTTTATTGGTATGGTGTATTGTTTATAATCTTAGCTACCATTTCCCCTTTCTCTCTATGCCTAACTATTCATCAACTTTTATATGTATAGTTAAAGAGAGTAGAAGTCAACTTTCATGAAATTAAACTTAAATCCCTTAAATTTGTTACCTATACCCTTGCCCATGGCAAGACTTCAATATAGTCAACTCAATATTAGGTAAACAGGACACTACATTAGAAAATTGAATTTTGTTATGAATGAGCCAGGGATACTAAAAAATCCCCTGGTTTTTATTTTAGATGGGTTGGGATTTAAAAGAAAATTACTAAGTTTTACTGCGTCTTTGGAGTACTATTCTGACATTTCTAGTGATCTCCATAAACTTTCATTGCCCTGTAACAGTTTATTAAGCTACAGTCTTCATAAATATGCAAACTAGCTTAATAAGATTGTCTGCCATGATTGCTCATCAATTTGGTATTGAAAGGGCACCAACATAGTCGATAAAAATGTCTGGTGGTGGAATGGTCTGTGACATGCCTAATCTCATTGCATAGTTCCTTTAAGGGGGCTATAAACAGTTAATATAATAGAATCTCATTATTTGTATGAGTGGAATGACTATTATGTTCATTAGGCTTGATAACTTTTGTGTAGCTACATTTCGGAAACCTATAAACAGTCGTTATGAATGTAAATTTTCCTCCTGATAATTTTATTTCACTACACATGTATTTATTGTTTGGAAAATGAATTGTTGGCAAATTAAATGGACAAAAAATTGGTTTTAAGATGGATCAAGAAAAATACATGTTTATTGAGGAGACTGTAGAATGAAGAATTTATTCTGAGTAGTCTACTTTCCCATAGGGAGCAAGTTTATATTAACAATTTAGAAACAAAGGTGTTTCATTAGTTTTTAAAAACTTTAATTTGAAATAATTATGGATTCAAAGAAATGTACAAAGAAGTACTGTCAACATTCCACAAAACCACAGGGCAATATCAACATTAAGAACAGAACATTGGCACAATCCAGAGTTTATTCAGAATTCACCAGTTATACATGCATCATTGCTGGGTATGTGTGTGTAGCTCTATGCAATTTTGTCACACGTGTAGCTTTGTGTAACCATCACCACAATCAAGATACTCAACTGAGCCATCACTACACGACTCCCTTGTGTCCCCTCTTTATGGCCATACCCATCTCCCTTCCTATTCCTAACTACTGGCAACCACTAATCCATTATCTATTTCTATAATTATGTTATTTCATGATTGTTATAGAGATGGAATCTTGCAATAAGAGTCATTTCAGATTTGCTTTCTTCATGCAGAATAATTTTTTTATTTTACTTTAAGTTCTGGGATTCATGTGCAGGACATGCAGGTTTGTTGCATAGTTATACATGTGCCATGGTGGTTTGCTGCATTTACCAACACCTCATCTAGGTTTTAAGACCCACATGCGTTAGGTATTTGTCCTAATGCTATCCCTTCCCTTGCCCCCTACCCTCCAACAGGCCTCAGTGTGTGATGTTCCCCTCCCTGTGTCCACGTGTAATGCAGAATAATTTGTTAAGGTTAGTTCAAGTTGTCTTATGTATTAACAGTTCTTTGCCCTTTATGGCTGAATAGTATTCCATGGTATAAGTGTACCTTTGTTGACTCATTCACCCTTTGAAGGACATTTGTGTGCTTTCCAGTTTGGGGCTAATATGAATGAATCTGCTATGAACATTTGTGTATAAGCATCTCTGTGAAAATAAGTATTTCTCTGGGATAAATGCTCAAGAGTGTAATTGCTGGGTCATCTAATTAATCCATTTGTAGTTTTGAAAGCAACTGTGAAACCATGCAGAGTGGTTGTAAAATCTTACTTCCTACCAGCAATGCATAAGTGATCCAGTTTCAATGCATTTTTGCCAGCATTTGGTGTTATTACCATTTTTAATTTCAGTTATTCTAATAGATGTGCAATAGTATCTTACTGTGGTTTTAATTTGTATTTCTCTACTGGTTAATATTGTAGAATGCATTAGGATTTTTTTTTTTAGACCTCACTTTTCTTTAAAAATTTTAATTTTTTTTCTTTTTTTTTTTTTTTTTTACGCTGAGTCTCGCTCTGTCGCCCAGCTGGAGTGCAGTGGCACGATCTCGGCTCACTGCAACCACCACCTCCCTAGTTCAAGCAATTCCCCTGCCTCAGCCTCCTGAGTAGTTGGGATTACAGGCACAGGCCACCACGCCTGGCTATTTTTTTTTTTTTTTGTATTTTTAGTAGAGACTGGGTTTCATCATGTTGGCCAGACTGGTCTCGAACTCTTGACCTCAAGCAATCCACCCACCTCAGCCTCCCAAAGTACTGAGATTACAGGCATAAGCCACCACACCTTGCCAAAAATTTTAAGTATTATATTCAAGGGATTTCCAGAGAAATAGAACCAATAGAATGTCATATTACATATACGCTCTCTGTCTCTCTCTGGCTGTCTCTCTCTCTCTCTCTCTCTCTCTCTCTCTCTCTCTCTCACACACACACACACACACACACACACACACACACACAGAGAGAGAGAGAGAGAGAGAGAGAGAAAGAGAGATCCTTATTTTAAGGATCTGGCTTATGCAAATGTGGGAGAGGGCAAACTGTGGGCTGGAGAGTGAGGTAAGAGTTGATGTTGCAGTCTTAACTCTAAGCCCTGAAAACTTAGGCAAAATCTCTTTGTGCAGTCTGAACACAGAATTTCTTCTTCAGGAACTCTGTGTTTGCTTTTATGGCCTTCAACTGATTTGATGAGGCCCACTCACATTATGAAGGGTGATCTGCTTTACTTAAAGTCAACTGATTTTAACTGTTTATTAAATCTAAACAAATATCTTTACAATAATATCAAGACTAATTTTTGACCAAACACTGATCACTGTTGTTTAGCCATCTTGACAGATAAAATTAACCATCACAGATACTTCTCATCAAATATGTGTGTTATTTCTTTTAAAATTATTTAATTTAATTTATTTCAAAAACTGGTGATAAAATACACATAACAAAATTTATGATTTTAATCTTTTTTAAGTGTACAGTTCAGTAGCATTAAGTACATTCACATTATTGTGCAACCATAGCCATCATCCATCTTTAGACTTTTACATCTTGTGAAACTGAAACTCTGTATCCACTAAATAATAATTTCTCATTTCCCCCTCCCAACAGACTCTGGCAACCACCATTCTACTCTGTCTCCATGAATATCACTTCTCTAGGTACTTATCATTTTATGACTAGCTTATTTCACTTAGGATAATGTCTAGGTTGGCCCACACTATAGCGTGTCTCAGAATTTCCTTCTGTTTTAAGGCTAAATGATATTCCATTATGTGTATATACCACATTTTGCCTATCCATTCATCTGCCGATGGACACTGGGTTGCTTTTACCTTGTGACTATTGTGAATGATGTTGTTGTGAACATGTGTGTATGAATATCTGTTTGAGTCCGTGCTTTTAATTCTCCATGTATATACCCAGAAGTGGCATCACTAGATTATACAGTAGTTCTATATGTAATTTCTGAGGAACCATCATACTGTTTTCTACAATGGCTGTGCCATTTTACATTCCCACCACTGGTTCACAAGGGTTCCAATTTCTCCACATCCTTACCTACTCTTGTTATTTTTTCTTAAGAAATTTTACTTGAATTTGGTCATATAATAGAAGCATCTGGATTCATTAGCTAATTTGTTTGATAAATAGCACTTCTTGAAAAGTATATATAAAGATTGAATTTCAGTTTTGGCTCTGCAGTATACAGCTGGGCTACTCTGGCCAAGTCACTTCATGGTTTTCTTAGTTATAAAACAGGAACAGTAATGTCTACATTGGGAAGGTTAAATGAGTTTTAAGTTGTAAGTTAGCATATAGATGCAAGGCACACTATTATTATTATTGTTATTATCATGTTCCCTGAAACACTCTTAGTTTAGTGCTTTGTCTTAATTTTTAGAAAGGATAATACACAGCCTCTAACTATAATCTTTAATCTTTTATTTAATTTTCCCATCCAATGTTTAATTACCTGCATAATTTAGGAATTTTTCCTTTGATAATTTTATTAAATAATATGTAGTGATTCATAAATTTGTAAACACCTTTTACCAAACTTCATTTTATTTTTGCCTTACAACAATTGCAGGAGTTATATCCATTACTCTCTCAGCATATAAATGAAGAAACCAACATTCAGATAAGAGAGCGTCTTGCGTGTATATGGGGATGGAGCCAGGCAGGGGCAGCCCTGGGCTGAGACAGCTCCTCTAACCCCTCAGCCTCAGCACATGCGGTTCCATATGTGCCATTTTCCAAAGATGTAACTTTATCTCCTTGATCTTATTAAGTTTAGATTTTGGTTTTACTTATACGAATTGTCAGAAAAATTCCTAATGGAGGCTACCCTTATAGGACACCCTATTTTACTTAACTAACTACTTTTCATAGAATTTTTGCCATACCATAAAATAGCTAATGTTAAATTATTTATTGTTGTCAGTACACATCTCAGGAATCCACAAATTTTACTTTTAATGGCCACTGAATGTATAATTTTATAACATATACACTTACATATCTTGTTCATAAAAATGTAGGGGGCAAAATCAATGTGTTTTAAAGGTCTGGCTTTTGATATAAAATGAAAGCAAAAGCAGAACCAACCACCTCCACTGAAACAACCACTAGGATCACCACCACCACCCACAGCAGCTGCCAACTTTTTAGAATGTATGTGTGTGTCTGGGGGTGGTACAAGGGGAGTTGTTAAGTAGGCAAGAAAGTGCAATTTTACAGCCATTTTGAAAAGTCTAAGTTTGGTAGAAGTTCTTTCTATGACATTTTCTTGGGGCTAAAATCTGACACTTCATCGTTCTTGATTTGCAGGAGCCCTCAGGCCTCTTGCTTTCACATGTCTTTTACTTCACAGGATTAGCACCAACTCCCTTAACCTAACTTCCCATAAAGAAAAGTTTTCTTTTTCTTGGTGAGAGTGTGGTGCTGTAGGTAACTCCTGGGAATGTGATCTAGCTGTCAAAAGCACAAAAAGTCAGCTAGATACATTGGGAAACCAAAAGTCTATTTGGTTTTAGTAGAAGATTATAAGAGAAATCCTGGGTACTGTTTGTTGACTATGCCGTAAAATTGCGTTCAATGGCTCTCTTCTTACCTTTAACCCACTTGCTTCTCCATCTCTGTTCTCCTTAGTTTGTGGGGCACAGGTGCATGTGGTAGTAATGCAGTCAGTTGGTAGTGACAGATTTATCACTGAAGGAAGAAGCTTCTTCATTCTTTACATGGCCATGACAGTGACTATGACAAGTTATTTGTCTTAACAACGCAGGCTGCTCTTCCCCAGTAGAAAATGAGAATATAAAGAATTAGCACAAGTCAAGCACATCTAAAGGGAAAAGTAACAAAAATGACTATGTTAGGTGGATCAGTTTCTTACTAAAAACAACACAACATTATGAGTACAACTTTTCTAATCACACGTTCTCATTCCTTTTGTGTTTTCTTTTTCTTTTATTTCTAACCTTTCATGGTGACCTTTTCTCTCTGTAAGTTTCTTCTGAAAAGAATAGGAAAATTTTGTGATTATATTTATTCATTGAAAGAGAAAAATAAATGAAAAAGCAATTGGGCATCTTTGACATATATTGGTGAAAACTTTTACTTAATACCATAAGAATAATTTTGGTCCACTTATTGATAACATGTATTGTGTTGTCAACTTAGTTTTCCATCAACTTTCGTTCTACTGGTGGTTATGAATTATAAGCAGTGATGTAGATTATTTTAAAATAACTTGATTGTCTTAGTTCATGCTACTGTAACAAAAATTCCACAGAGTTGCTTAAGCAATAAATATTTAATTTTTACTCTTCTGGAATTTGGGGAGTCCCATCAAGGTGCCAACATTTTCAGTGGTGGGGACCCCCTTCCTGGTTCATAGACTGCTGTATTTTGAATATAACCTAACATAATGAAAGGGGCGAAAATGCTTTCTTGGGCCTTTTTTTTAAGAAGGGCACTAATCTCATTCATGAAGCCTCCACTCTCATCACCTCATTATCTCCCGAAGGTCCCCATCTCCTAATTCCATCATATTGGGGGTTAGGATTTCAACAAACACATTTTGGAGGAACATAGTCTGTAACACTGATATTTAGTACCATCAATGACTGTTGGGAGGTGACTATAATCTGGTGGTTTATAAAGTCCAATTTTTCTTCTAACACAGAGGAAAAGCAGTTGATGAATGATCTCTTCAGCTGAAGACAGGAGGGTCTTAATAAAATATTTCATTAGTACTTTTTAAAGCTGCTGTAAGAATGTGACTGCTAGATTTTTACAGACAAAAATGGAAGAACTGAAGTAGAAGTCAGGGTAGCTAGGCACAGTTCCTATTTAACTACATGAGTGTCCTTGGGTAATCATTCAGACTTTGTCTCTCGTTTTCATCTATAAAATGAGGCTAAAAATTCTTGCTCCACCAGTGTCTTAAGATTTTGTTTTACAAAAGAATCATAAGAAAAAGCTGCACTCAAGAATCACCGCTAAAGAACTTATTCAGGTAGCCAAACACTACCTGTTCCCCCAAAACTTATTGAAATAAAAAAATTAAAAGCTACAGAAATCAATTTGAATATTAATTATAAAGTATCTTACTTGTATAAAATATAGTATAATAATATTATTGAGAGGAAACTCAGTGAATCTACCTTTACTGTTACCAATGCTTAATAAGCTCAAGTGGCAGATTTATATTGCACATTAGAAGTTTATTTTGGGAAATATTCATTTCTTTAATAATGCTCAGAAAAAACAATAAGATATATTCTGGAAATGAGTATGTTTGTAGTGGAAAAAGATTTATTAAACAGAAAGTCTGTTTTACTTCAAAAATTAATGAAAATACTCCTTTTAGAAGTTATTTGTGAAAATATGAAAGGCAAGATTTCTCTATTTTCTTTCTTTTATAAATGTTACTTTATTACAAATCCCATTAAAACAATAAGAATTCTGAGGCAAAACTTGCCCGCAGAACCCTAATTAATATTTTTATGTTCAAGTTGTTTTACTAATCATTAGTGATATCCATTTAAAACCTTTACATAGCATAGTAATAATACATATGTACACATATATTTACATACATCTTTGTAGTGCATATTTTTACTTAATATTACACTGTCTTTTCTATTTTATTATTTTTACAACTTTTTCTTCTCTTCTTCAAGGTAACTAGTATAAACAGCCTGGTACATATCACTTTATCTCTTCTCCATCATGAACCTCTGGAAATCACCAGATACTGATTTTATTCATGCTTTTAAAATACCTTCATGATATTCTGTAATAGGGAATGTATTCTATCACTTCCCTAGTGTTCATATTCAGTGTTTCTCTCCTGTATGCTTTATATGTTTAGTGACCTACTATGTGTCAGGTACTATTTTAGGTTTTAGGAAACTTCTGGGGATGAAACAAAATCCTAGCCCTCACGGGGTTTATGCTGTAGCCAGAGGAGACAGCCAGCAAACAGTAAACACAACCAAAAAATGGGATTATAGAATGTGTTTGAAAGTAAGCACTACGAAAAAAAAAAAAATGAAATGGGGAACGGAATTTGGGACTCTCAGAAGTTGGAGTGAAGTTGAGTTGCAATTTTAATTTGAGTGGTTACGACAGGCCTCATTGATTAGGAGGAATTTGAGTAAAGATTTGAGGAAGATGAAGGAAATAGCTGGGAAGAGCATTTCAGGCAGAGGGAACAGCCAAAGCAAAAGCTGTAAGGTGGAAGTGTGCATGGGGTATTTAGGGGCATCCAGGAGGCCAGTGTGGCTGGTGCACACTGCATAATGAGTAAAGTCAGAGAAGTAATAATACCAGTTCACACAGGGATGCTAGGCCATTCAGGGTCTTTAGCCATTTAGAGTGAAACACGATTTTCTGGGTTTTGAACAGAAGAATAAAATTATTTTTTCATTCAAAACTGTTTTGGAGAATTAGTTATAAAGAGTTTTTTTCTATTTAATTGCTGCAGAATATTTCATAATACAATATATCACATTTGATTCATAGCCCTAATGAATATTTACACTTTTTAATTTTTGGCCACCACAGATCTTGCTAATAAAATAATGGTACATATCTCCTTATATATGTGTCAAAGTTCCTCTAGGATGTAGTCTCAAAAGTACAAATGCTGGGTCATTTTGTGTCTGTTTTAAGGATCACTTTTCTAAACTTTTAAAATATATATATATATGTATATATATTTTTAAGAGACAGCATCCCACTATGTTGCCTAGGCTGTCCTTGAACTCTTGGGCTCAAGCAATTCTCTCACCTCAAGTAGCTGGAATTGTAGGCATGTGTCAATGCACTCGGGTTAAAGTTCTTTTTATTATTATTATTATTATTATACTTTAAGTTTTAGGGTACATGTGCACAACGTGCAGGTTCGTTACATATGTATACATGTGCCATCTTGGTGTGCTGCACCCATTATCTCGTCATTTACATTAGATATATCTCCTAATGCTATCCCTCCCCCCTCCCCCCACCCCACAACAGCTCCCCGTGTGTGATGTTCCCCTTCCTGTGTCCATGTGTTCTCATTGTTCAATTCCCACCTATGAGTGAGAACATGCAGTGTTTAGTTTTTTGTACTTGTGATAGTTTGCTGAGAATGATGGTTTCCAGCTTCATCCATGTCCCTAACAAAGGACATGAACTCATCATTTTTATGGCTGCATAGTATTCCATGGTGTATATGTGCCACATTTTCTTAATCCAGTCTATCATTGTTGGACATTTGGGTTGGTTCCAAGTCTTTGCTATTGTAAATAGTGCCACAGTAAACATACGTGTGCATGTGTCTTTATAGCAGCGTGATTTATAATCCTTTGGGTATATACCCAGTAATGGGATGACTGGGTCAAATGGTATTTCTAGTTCTAGATCTCTGAGGAATCACCACACTGACTTCCACAATGGTTGAACTAGTTTACAGTCCCACCAACAGTGTAAAATTGTTCCTATTTCTCCACATCCTGTCCAGCACCTGTTGTTTCCTGACTTTTTAATGATTGCCATTCTAACTGGAGTGAGATGGTATCTCATTGTGGTTTTGATTTGCATTTCTCTGATGGCCAGTGATGGTGAGCATTTTTTCATGTGTATTTTGGCTGCATAAATGTGTTCTTTTGAGAAGTGTCTGTTCATATCTTTCGCCCACTTTTTGATGGGGTTGTTTGTTTTTTTCTTGTAAATTTGTTTGAGTTCATTGTAGATTCTGGATATTAGCCCTTTGTCAGATGAGTAGGTTGCAAAAAAATTTTCTCCCATTCTGTAGGTTGCCTGTTCACTCTGATGGTGGTTTCTTTTGCTTATTAAGATATTTCTCCTTTTTTCCCTAACACATTTAGAGTTTTGTTTTCTCATTCCAGTATTCAATATCTTCAGAATTTAAGTGATGGTATATGGTGGGGATCTAACTTTAATATCTTTGTAATGGAAAGCTGAATGCCCCAATACACTTTTTGAATAGTAAATGTGTGTGTGTGTATGTGGGCGTGGGTATATAAATATAGTAGGGAGAATAAAGGCCTCACAAAGATATTCATATCCTAATCCTTGGAACCTTTAAACCTTATTTTATTTTATATGGCAAAATGAACTTTGCAGACATGACTAAGTTAAGGCCTTGAGATGGAGAGACTATTCAGTAGGCTCAGGGTAATCACAGGGGTTCTCATAAGAGGAATGTAGGAGGTAGCTGTCAAGACAGAAGCAGAGGTCATATTGACAGAAGGAACTGGTCATGAGCCAGGGAATGCAGGTAGTCTCCAGAACTGGAAAAGGTAAAGAAACACACTCTGGAAATTGGAAGGGAACCTCCAGAAGGAATGCAGTTTTTGCTGACATCTTGATTTTAGGACTTCTGACCTCCAGAATTGTATTTGTCTTGTTCTAATAAATTTGTATTGTTCTAAGCAACTAAATTTTTGGTAATTTGTGACAGCAATACAAAACTAATCCTCTATCTCTTTATCTATCGATCTACCTACTCATTGGTGCTATTATTTTTATAGAGGTGAATTTTCCAGAGCAAAGGAAGTGTATGTTTATAATGTTAATTAACATTTCCAAATCACTTTCCAAAATTGATATCGCAATTCATACTTCCACTAAAATGTCATACACAGGCATTAGATATTAATATTTTCTTAATTTTTTCTGGTGTGACAGACGAAAAATAGTACCTCAACTTAGTTTTAATTTGCATGTCCTTGATGGCTAGTGAAATTGCACATCTTTTCCAGTGTTTAAAGGTCATGTGAATTTCCTCTATTTAACTATGCCTAATGTTCGCCCAATTGTATTTTTTTTACTAAGTTATCCTTTTCTTATAAATTGGTAGAAATTCCTTGAACCTCATAGATAACCCTCAATGTATTATATGGGTTGCAAGTATTTTTTCTGAATATTTCTCCTAATACTATTTCTAATGTTTTTTTCTAGAAATTATTTTAATTTTTATATAATCAAAAACATTTTTTTCTTTATGATTTTTGGTCTTCTGTTCTGTTTCTACTTTGACATAGAAGAAACCCATTTATCTTTTTCTTTTTTTCCCAGAGAGGATCTCACTCTATTGCCCAGGTTAGTGCAGTGGCATGATCCTAACTCACTGGAACCTCTAACTCTTGGGCTGAAGTGATGCTCCTGTCTCCGTCTCTGAAATAGCTAGGATTATAGGCTCTCACCACAATGCTTGGCAAAGTTTTAATTTTTTTGTAGAAATGGGGTCTCACTACGATGTCCAAGCTGGTTGCAAACTCCTGGTCTCAAGTGATCCTCCTGCCTCAGCCTTCCAAAGCACTGGAATTATAGGCATGAGCCACCACATATGACCTTATTTATAATAAGAATCATTTTTAGTTATAAAAAAGTAGGGGCAACATTGCTAATAGAGAAGTCTTTTGTTAATATAAACAGTAAAGCTTCTTTCATTCTTTTCAGTCTCTCTCAATGTTCTATTCAGGTTTTATAGTTGTGGGAGAGCATATCTGATTTTACATGATTGTTCCCCCAAGTGTCTGAGATCAATGTTAAAGTATTCTGAGAAACTTAAGACTATTGCTATTTTTCTTCACATACAAATAGAATCATCCATTTTTAGTGGCTTTATTCATCAAACTAGTCAGATGATAGCCAGATTAGCTAGGAACACACAACATAAGTTGATCAGTTTGGTCTGACTATTGGTATAACTTTTTCACTAAACTAACTTGGTTTCCTTGCTTTGACACAACTAGTCAAATCATTTGGAGCAATGAAATTGACCTGCTTTGAGTAAACTTTGGTTTTACTGGATCTGTTGGGATACTTGGCTATGAAGCGTGGAAGAATCTGAATAACTCTTTAATGCAAACTTTGGTTGGTGTCTTTCTAAAGATAGTATTATATCTAGGATTGGATAAAGCCTATGTTAAGAAAAAAAATGTCTCTTGAACAAACAGTGGTCTAGAAACAAACTTAAACCATGCTAAGTTGTGTGTTAACCACCAAATCTTTATGACATAAATTTTCCAATTCACGGTGCTTTGATTTGGATTTAGATTCTGATTCAAATTACAGATAATACTGGATTACATCTGTTCCTTGTAGTTGTGGGAAATTCACTTAACCGTTTTTTTTTTTTACCTCGGTTTCTTCAGCTTAAAAAAAACGCTATTACTTGATCTGCCTACCCCGTCTTACAGGGTTGGTATAAAGATACAATGGAAAATGAATACAAGATTTCTTTATAAAAAGTATTTACAAGAATCTTATGTGAGTTTTCTGAATTAATTATTTAACTGCTTTTTCTGCATAAAAATTTAAAATATGTTGGTTTTAGTTTCTCCTGCATTCCTCCCAAATTAGAATTCATTTTTAATATTTGTATGGAAAATAATTATTTTGGGTTAGCAGGATTTAGCATTTTCAAAAGACTAAGAAAAATACATCAGAAGGTAGAGTGGTAGTTTATGTGCTGTCCCTAGAGAAATAGCTTTAGGATTCTGTTTTGGGATCAACAGCTCTACTGTATACAAAAGTGATAAATAATAAAAATTTAAATAATAGCTGGCACTCACTGATCATTTACCATGAGCTAATTACTATCTAAATCACTTGCTATAAAACAACCCATTAAATCTTGCAAAAGCTCTATGGAGTAGACACTGTTATTATCCTCATTTTACAGTTGGGAAGCCTGAAGCACAGAGAGGTTAAGTAATGTCCCGAAGATCACACAACTCTACAGTGGTAGAGCTAAGATTTGTAGGCAGGAAGTCTGGCTCTAGGCTTTGTGCTCTTAACCACTGTACTATACTTTGTTTTGTTAATTTATTTTCCCGTCTCCTTGACAACGTTACTGGATCTGTTTCAATTTCTTTACCATTAGCAAAGAAACTTTTTGGTCAGCATTTTCAGGCAGTTTTCCTATTCAGCCATGGAAAGTCATTTGAAGTTCTTTCTGTGGCAATAGATGTGAAGATTCAGCTGGATTTTGCCTTGCATAAGCTACGTGTGTAATTAAGGAATTTTTCAGATATAAGGGTTCTATAAGTAAGTAGAAGTCAGATTGCCATGGCCAGTACTTCAATGAAAAGACAATTAACTCCATTATAACTAGTTTTGCTGCTTTTATTTGGCTAAAAGAACGAGAGATATTAAAATAACTTTAACTGATTTTGTTTCTGGTCAAGAACTAACAGTGGTAACGCTTTGAGCCATTATTAGAGCACACTTTAATATTCTATTAAATATACTCTTTTTGTTGTTTGTTTTTTAAACAGAATCTCATTCTGTTGCCCAGGCTGGAGTGCAATGGCGTGATCTTGGCTCACTGCAACCTCTGCTTCCTAGGTTCAAGTGATTCTCTTGCCTCAGCCTCCCAAGTAGCTGGCATTACGGGTGTGTACCACCATGCCCAGTTAATTATTTTTATTTTTATTTTTGTATTTTTAGTAGAGACAGGGTTTCACCATGTTGGCCAGGCTGGTCTCAAACTCCTGACCTCCAGTGATCCACCCGTCTTGGCCTCCCAAAGTGCTGGAATTACAGGCAGGAGCCACCACACCTGGACTAAAGATACTTTTCCATGCTTTTGGTTTCTATTACACAATGCTGGTCAAGTCCATTAGAACCATTTAAAATAATACAATGGTGCATCCTATAAGCACTATGAACAACTATTTTTTGGTCCTCTGTTCCTCAGATCTCTTTTTCTTTAAAATGTGTGTTTGGGTAAGGCAATATTCTCAAGAGGTTCTTTCATCCTGACAGGGCAATGAGACAGATGACTCATCACATACATGTGTTTGGCCATACATGCTGCATTCCTACATGCTTCAGCAAGCTGTAGTTTCTTCCAATCCTTTTTCTATGCAAAGGGAATTTCTCTAAGCTACATATATTGTATTTTCGCCTTTCTCTTCTCTTTTACTTTAAAAATCTTTTAAAACAATTTTAAGCTTATAATAAAATCTGCACCAATCAAAGAACTTTTTTTTTCCCTGAACCTTTTTAGAGTAAGTTGCTGACACAATGCTTCACCATTCTAATACACTTTAGTTTGTATTCCCTACAAAAAGGATATTCTACTACACAACCATGATACAATCATCAAAGTCAGGAAATTGACATTGGTATATTACTCCCATCTGATCCTCTGACCCCATTCACGGTTTTGCCAATTGTCCTAATAATGTCCTTTATGACAGAGGATCTAGTTTAGAACCCTGTATTACATTTAGTTGTCATGATTTTTTGCCTCCTTTCATCTGGAATCCTCAGTTTGTCCCTGACCTTGATACTTTGCAAGATTACATGCAGGCTGTTTTTAAGACTATCCCTCATTTGGACTTTTCTGATATTTATGAAAAAATTCAGTTTATGTATTTTTGGTAGAAATATTGCAGAAGTACCTCTGTGTTATTTTCATTGGATCCTGTCAAGTGTGACAAAACTTCTGTTTGCTCCTATATTAATGATGTTAAATTTAATCATTCCCAAAACACCACTGAAGTGATGTTTGTCCAGTTTATCCACTGAAGAGTTGCTCTTTTTTTCTTTATAATTACTATGTATTTTGTGGTACTGTGAGACTTTGTAAATATCCCATTCCTTATTAAATTTCACCAAGTAGTTTAGCATTCATTGATGTTTAACAGTTGTTAAATAATGATTTTTCTAATTCTATTATTTCTTCTATGTTTATTAGTTGATATTCTATTGTAATAAAAAGCTTCCTCTTATTAATTAATTATTTATTTACTTACATTAGTAGAGTCTCCTGGATTCCTGTTATTTAATGGGTTATAATCTATTTCTATCATTATCTATTTTGATGTCAAACTCAAACTGACCCAGATTTGGCCAGTGAAACTCCTTCAAGTTGGCTTCTTTGTTCTTTTAACATCTCTGTCAGTTTTAGCACTTTTGTATTTTTTGACATAGGATTTCAGAATTATCTCATACTTTCACTGCTTCAGCTATTTCTCCAAGGGTTACTGTTTCCTTTTAGTGGAGAATGATATTTAGAAACCAAGACCCGGTGCCAGGTATACTCATTGCTTTTGAAGTGTCCCTGCTCACAGACCTTCTCAATGTGTGGAGCCATGAAATGTGTATTTGTGTGTGAGAGAGAATATATATACACGTATTTACAGGTATATTTACTTTTGTATCTATCAATATAATTGGAAACTGAATTATACTAACACTTCCAATTCTAATCTAACTTTACAACATATATTCTAGCTTTGCCTCTTTCTACATTCGTAACTCTTTTCTCCAACAGTGAAAAACTTGGCTTTCATTATTCTCAACGTGTGTTTTTTATTTGGTCAATCCTCCTATATATATAATTGCTCCCCCGACTCACTGCAGCTGTATAAATATATTTCTTACTCCACTTAGGCTCCAAACCTCTTAGTGGGCCTCTGCATTCACCTACTGGAGCATTCATCCACCCTCTGCCAGGCCACATGATTGCCTACATAACCACTTAGTCTCTGACCCTCTGAGTAGACGAATAGAGCTGTGCCTATCCCTCCCTGTTCCACCCCTCTTGTCTCCCACTGCACCCCTGTTGTGGCCCACCTGTTGTTTTTTAATTGAAATATTCAGGAAGAAAAGAAGGAAGGAAGGCAGTTAGGAAGGAAGGCAGGTAGGCAGCTATTACATCCTTTTGATATTTATACATTTGATTCCTAAGATACAGGAGTTATTACCACCCCTTACAGAGATTAGGACACAAGGAGATTAAGCTTTTGCTCAAATCTGTAGAACCAGTAGCCAGTGGGAGCTCAAGATAAACTTAGGTTGTTCTACATATCACCTCCAGTGTCTTTTAAATTAGGATTCAACACAATATCTAAATGGGATTCTCGAGTTTTATCATTAGTGGTTCCTTTCTGGAAGCTCAGCCGTAGCTCATGGGCCCAGGCAACCCTTTCTGAAGGATGGGTATGCACTTTCAAGTGCTGGGAGTATCTCAGGAGCTCTCACCTAGATTTTTCTCCCTCTAAGTCTCAAGAACATAGCCAGGAGTGACATTCAGAATGTTCAACAACTGGTAAGGCACAGGGACAGGCCAATAAGAGTGGATGCTGGATATAGTGTGGGGGAAGAATCCTGTAGCCCTGCAATGTGCCAGGTTTTAGTCATTAGGAGGTTCAGGGGCTGACAGAATAGCAGTGGTAATACTTGTGGTCTTGAACAACTGCTATTTACTAAGCAGTATGGAACAATGTCAATATTTACATAATTAGTGTGCCTTTCCAGTGGTTGGATGGATGGAAGTCAGGCAGACATCAACATGAATCTTTTCACTTGGCGGGATTGAGAAAGGAAAGAAATAAACAAACTCTCCAAGAATACACTCAGGGTAAAACCAATAAACTTGACATTGAAATGAGAGTGTTTGAAATATTAACTCATATGGTTTCTGTTGTTCCTTGTTTCTTCTTATCTGAACTAGGAACCACCCATTACCTCTGTTAGAAACGTTATAGCAGAAACAGAGAGTCCTCAGGCTCTGAAAGTGCTCTGAGTGTAAAAAGAAATCCAGTTGAAAGTTTTCTTCCTCCTAAGCCCGGATGAAGTTTTCCTGAATTAAAGAGAGAGTCAGAGAATTGGAGAGTAAGTAAAAAGAGATTAGATTCAGTGTGTTTATGGAAGATGAGCTCTGTGCCCTTTGCCATCCCTCCTTAAACCCAGGGTAGAGTAGAGAACAGAAGTTCAGATGGGACTGGGGAGCCCTGAGAAGAGTTTTCCCTCGTGCCTCAGGATGATGAGGCATAGAATAATTTTCTTGTTCCCAACAGAAGCCCGGGAGAGGTGAATAGCCTCAGACAGCCCCATTGAAATGCCTATAATAGTAACATTATTATCTTACTTCAGAGAGGGAATGGCAATAACTGATGCACAGAACAATGCATAAGGGAACAAGGGACAACTCAACAGTGACCATCATGATACATGATAGGGAGGACAATGTCTTAGGGGATGCCAAAGAGTACAGATGATGACTCAGACACAATGACTATTCCACTGCCTTGTTGCAAACAATATATATAGTCTGCTAATTAAATGCAATCACAAGGAAAATGGGGATGATCTCTGAACTCTATTCTCTCTTCTTTGGGGAATCAGGAATTTTAACAGCAATTGAGCTCAGTTATAGAAAAATAAAATTACATTTCTTGCACACCTAGGTTGGTGGACTGCTATTCTTTCTCACTACACCTGGTACTAATCAGTATAGATACATCAGGATTTTATACTCTTCTTTCCAAGATGGCCCAGAGTAAACTGCCCATGTGTGAAAGAGACAATTCTGACTCAGCAGTGCTAACAGCTCAAAGATACTCAATGCAGGAAGAAACTTTTGAACTCTACTATTTTGCGAGTGACAGTGACTTGGGGAAATATAATTATCGCAGACAGTTTTACCCACAGATAGCATCTGTTTTGCAGTCAGTTCCTGCTGTTTGAATACACGTTGGCAGCAGGCTTGACTGAGGCACAAAGGAGTCAAATAGTTTGACCGGGCCACACAGAGAGGTGGCTGCTTAGTCCACCTTGGGATCTGGGACCTCTATGGCATTCAATTATCTGCTATAAACACTGGGTCTTCCTGCCTTATGAATGCAGCTGCAGTCTCTTGCTGAAAAATTCGCCTCCTTTCACATAGAAGGCGTAATTAAGAACACAGCTGCAAATTGGCTCTTCTCAACAATTTTCCCTGCTGTCCCATAAAATGTGAAAAATGCAGGCCAGTACATTGATTAGACAGACTCTTAGGGTTGAATTGTGTGCAATCTACCCACTTCTAGCACTTTGCAATAAGTTTTTGCTCTTCCACTGGAATTTAAGGAAAGGAATGGAAAATAACAGTGCCTGGATGGTTCTTGGTTGGGCACCTCAGGGACACAGAGAGGAAGAATATAATCAGTGCATATCATCATGTGACTATGTAATACACACACACACTTTTTCTTGATGGCAGAGAGTATATTCTTTTTTGGGAAATATTGATCTATTTATCTTTTCTCTGAATTTTTTGAGTGAAGAATATTTGAGACAGCTAGTCATTTATTTTCAGTCTGCCCATCTGTGTGAGATGAATAGGAAAAGAAAATCTAGGTGGGTGTACATTAGGAAAAAACTTCCTAAGGGTTCTTGTTCCTATTTCAGCAATATTTTATTGTGTGGTAGATGTACTACATACATTGAGATAAGATGTCCTGGGTTTAATTTCCAGAACCACCACTTAAGCTCAATTTCCAGAACCACCACTTAAGCTCTGAGACCTTAAACAATTAATTAAAATTCTAGGAGCTTCTATTTTTTTCATCTATGGAGTTGGAGTGATTATTCTTGTCTTATGTAGTTACGAACATCAATATGGCAAATTTTTGTTGTCTACTATCATGCTTGGCTCATAGTATGGGATCAATAATTGTGTGGTTACCCAAATCTTCATTGAGACATAAACAAGTCTGTCAAAGGGAAAGAGAGAAATCTAGCTTTATTTTCATTTAATTATCATTAGTAGCGTGAGAAGAGACTAATACGGTTCCATAACACTGATTGGGAAAATTATCTTTGCTAAGAAATGGGTGAAGAAACAGATTACCATTTGAAAGTGCTGGATTTATGTTTTGTGTTATTAACACAACTATTATTATAATATTTACACGAAATAATTTTTATTAGAACAAGACCAGTAAACTCAAGAAAAGAATGGAGAATATTGCTTTAATGTAAGTTCTCTGAACAACTTCTATTCAGGAGGAAAAAAAACAACTATAAAAACCCTTGTAACCTAATTCTAAAAGAAGAAGAGAGAAATGGTACTGCGGTGTCAATTTTTAAAGCATGCCACCTATGGAGGACAAGGTACAGGCAAGGCACCATAAAGACATAGGCTACGTTTTCCTCGGTCTTTATTCACTTCACTCTGGTTCTTACCCAAATAATGAGCTCAAGAGGGTTCTTGGCATTTCACAGCGAGCTCCCAGCTGAATTTTCCCACTCCGATTCTCTAGTTAGTTGCAGACAATGCACAGCTGCCTCCTCTGCGGATGCATCCAGACAAATGACTGGGCCCCCATAGAATACGTGGCCCCATATTGTGGGATGAAACAACTGACAGTGACAGGATGCTTTGTCTTTACATGGCCCCCAAAAGCAGAGGAAAATGGCAAGGGTATAGCAGCCACTTGCAATGGAGGGGAATTTACACTATTCCTACTGGGCTGCTGCCCTACTTTAGCTCCTCGGGAAGATCCAGCAGGAAGAAAAGCCAAGGTTCAGCGGTTTGCATAGGCACAGTTAATGCACCTGTATCCTCCCTGCAGATGTAAAGTCAGATTTTAAACCCACAAAGGACATCTCAAATCGGAAAGTAATACATTCCATTAAGTACTTCTCAGCTTTTCTGTACCCTTTCAACCACCCACTCCAGTCCTGCCCACCACATTTATTCATAAAGAAACGAGCCGCAGAAATAGAAAGACGTGCACGTAAATAACATTATTTGTAGAATGAAACAGATGTGTAAATCTCTGCTGGTATGTATTCTGATGAAGAAGATTACATTAATCCCAATTATTCACCTACATATCGAAGAGGAGAGCTTTAAAGATGTGAACAAGCACAGATTCCCTGTGGTTAAAAAAAAAAAAAAAAAAAGGCCTCTGGATTTGCTATATCAAGGGCAGTGCTACTCCACAATTTAAGTCCCCACAAATGCCATTCAAAGCCACAGTACTTGTACTGGAGATAGATGAGCACAAGACACTTTGACGGCGGGGGAGGCATTGTTTAACCTTTGTTCTTCACATCCCTCAGGAGAGTAGACAACACCTCTATTTTCAGTGTTTCTTCAGAATGATTTCCCGCCTGGAGGATTGACAGGTACTCTGATTATCTGCCTAAGGAAAATGAAGGGATAAACAGCTGAGAGATGAAGATTGACTTGAAAGGACTACATCAAAGAGTGTGTGTTACACTTGGATAAAGAAGAGTATAAAAAGGGGACAGGCAGAAAAATGTCAGATTAGCACCTAAATATATTTTGAAGAGAAACATAGCATTTTGCCAAAATGATCTTTACTTGAATAGTAACAATTCCAGATTGTCACTGTCACAAGCCTAGAGATTTATTTGAGGAAGATAAATGCCCTTTTCTTTTTACCATCTAGAACAGGGTTCTGTAATGGAGGTCTTGAGCCATCTCATTCAGTGATCTAGGGGAGAAGCCAGGGATCTTTATTTGAAAGTTTTCTCCTTATGAGTGAATCTGATAGAAGCCAGGGTGACGAATACCTTTATTATTGTTTACTTTTGGTAAATAATAAGGTGTTCACTGTTGGTACATCATCCCAAACCCAGACTCTCTGTGTGTTTAAGGAATCAGGACCGACTTTCCCCAATCCCATTGTTTAAAATGCCCTTCTCATACTGCTAATCAATTTAAACCAGAGAGGTTGAAAGATGTCTGCTTGAATACTGCATTTGAATCCCTCCTGCACTAAATCGTCTTGCCCCACATTATCCATCTTCTCACGCTTAACTCAACTTTAGATGATTTTTGGTGGAGATAACATGTAGCCGAATATCATCCCCTAATAATGGTATTTATTCTAGGTGGATACTCAACTGAGTAGGGGCAGACCTAGAGACAAAGGAGATGGTGTTAGAAACAAAAGACTATTTCCCTCCCAATCTTCTAATTCCAGCAGGTACTTTTTAATAGCATAAGACTGACTTGTTTTTTCCTTGAAGAGAATAGTGTTAAGGGTGTTTTCTAATGCAATTTTAGCATTTTTGAAAGGAAAACAGGAAGAGAGCTGAAGAAAGGAATATGATGGCCATAGCAACCAAAAAAAAAAAAAAAAAAAGAGCAGCAAAAGCAGGTGATTGATGGCTATATAAAATCACTGTTTATCTGTTCTGTTTTAATCTCATCGAGTTCAATGATCTGGTGGGCTGCAGGAGAATTTTCTGTCAAAAGTGGTTGTAGAAGTGAGTGATGAAGCCTTTTGAAACATCCCTGTATTATCTCCCTGTCACTGAATTAGAAAGCAGAGCCATGGGCAAAGGCTATTTTTATGACCTTTCAGCAGTGCGATGTCTGTGTTGCCCACTATGTCAAGGCCCAAGCACGGCAGGGAAATTCATTTGTGGTCTGGACAAATGTGGTCATTAGGCCTTTATCTCTTGATCCTTGGCCATGACTTGCACTGCTTTAATCCCCATACTTATATTGCCTCTGAGGCAGGGCATCATTCTTGTCATTAAGAGTGTGTATAATTTTGTGTGTGTTTGTCTCTGTATGCATTCTCCTAACTCACACTCCACCTTTTTATTTCGTTTGTTTTTAAAAAACTGAAACACTGAGTCCTTGATGACAGGATATGAAAAAATGCTGTGGATAGCCTTTGCTTCAGAATCTGTGACACAGCTGTGTTTCTATCTATCCTAGTACTATGGTCATGTCCCTTCCTTTGTGGGGCAAGAAAAGGCAGATCAGCTTGTGGCTGTGAAGAAAGCACAGCTCTGGATGGAACAGGAGTTCCCATCCACTAGATCTCCAACCTTAAGGAATGCATTCATCCTTTCCCTGGCCCTGTGAACCCTAACAGTCTGCTGAGTTCATTTATGTAGTTTTCCTTTGCAATTCTCTGCTCTCCCCATGTCTTCTACAGGGAACAGGATACTCTTGTCATTTTTGCTATGAGGATAATTTAGAATATCTGGGTAACACAAGGGATGAGCATCAAATTTCCAAACAACTTGCTGTCAGATTCCGTGGTTTGTTTTTTTTCAGCTATGCCAAAAAGAAAATGTCAGAAGGAAAGGAGTTTTAAAGGTCTAAATGGTTATCGTTGTCTTTTGTGTCTGAGACAATGCAGATAGACCCAATCACTCTCTGCTGTGTTTGTGTGTCCAAGGAGACTGACGGGCACATTCCACCCAGAGCAGATCCCAGTGTAAGGCAGCTATTATGCATGGAGTCTGATCATGTCTGTGTTCTCCTTGTGTATGCAAATACAATTTGCCAGCTCCTTTTGCTCAGAAAAAGGCTCTCTCTCCCCTACTCCCTTTGATTCTTCCTCACAGGGTTGTTCTACCCAATGTTATTGATGTTGTGCCTCAAGGGTCCTTAATGCACATCTTCTACCCTCCCACCTGCCCCTGCTCCACTCACCTCACCTGACTCCTGGCCAGGTCCCATTAGTCACTCTTGCCAAATCCAGCCCTGCTGGGTTGCGGGAAACATTGTGCTCAGCCTGGCTGTAATCCGGAAAAGTTAAGAGGGATTTCCTGGGGAAAGGGTGAGGGGGACAACACCTTGTTGATCTCCTCTGCATTCTGTATCACCTTACAGATGATGGCTTGATGACATGGAGAAAGTAAATAATATTGACTTCAACATACCCTTTTAAGGCCATCATGCTCAAAGCCATGGGAGCCCTTATGACATTTTCAACAGGTAACTAGAAATGATCTAGACATCTGCATCAGGCTTCCCTCAGAGTATCGAATACTGAGGAATGAGCCCCAGATTTTAATGATGTCACTGTCATGATTGCCCCCTTCCCACACCTCCTGCTCTTACAGAAGGGAACATTGGAGAAAGCTAACTGCCGCAGATTTGACTGCTGGCCAGATCCTTGGCAGAGGCATGTGCTGGAAGGAGCCAAGCATTTGTGGCTTTAGAACCAGCAGAGTGGTTTTGTGGTGCAGCCGTGTGCAGCCCAGGTGTCATGCTGTGGTTCCAATCAGAGGATATGCACACACCATCAGCAAGACCTCTGCAGCGTGCTGCCAGTTCCCAAGCACATTGCTCTCTGGAGTGTGGCCAAGGTCCACTGCGACAGGTCAGGTTGTGCTGGAGTTACTGTAATATCCAAGCCATAACTGATGTGTTAGAAGCACCTTCTATGTATAATGGTAGAAAATCACCTAAATGTCCTTAAGAAAACCAGGCAGCCTGCTGTGTGGGCTGTGCTCCACAAGCGAACACAGAATTGTCAGCAAATTCTTTCCTGAGATGTCCCCTTTGAAAATTTATGCTGCACATTAGGTCCTCCCTTGTTTGTAATGCTGACTATGGATGCAGGCACTTGATTTCTCCTCATTTTGCAGATGAGTTGGTTTGAAGACTGGAATTAAAACATGAGTGGCTTATCAGATAGCAGTAATGAATGTGGCAGGAAGCCTGGAATCTGGACCTCATTTTCTTTCTCTGTCCCTTTCTTTCTCTTCTATTTTGCTTTTCAAATGGTTGTTGTTTGTATGGTTCACCTTGATTAAATTGGTTCCTAAAATATTTTTGGTATAAGCATGTAAATTCAGTTTGGTAAGAAACATAAATTTTAGCTATGTCAGTGCTAATAGAACTTTCTGCTATGATGCAAACATTCTGCATCTGTGCTGTCCAGTTCAGTAGCCACTAGCTACATGGGGCTATTGAGCATTTGAAATTTGGCTAATATAACTGAGGAAGTGAATTTTTAATCTTATTTACTTTTAATTAAACTAAATTTAATTTTAAATAGCAACTTGTGACAACTGGCCACCATATTGAATGGTGCAGATTTATAGACCAACCCATTCATTTTACAGATGGGAAAGTGAGACCCAGGGAGGCTACTGGAATTTGCCCAAGAGCACACATAATTAGTAGTTGACTCAAGCCATCTAAAAGATTAGTCAGCATCTTCTGACTCATAAAATAGTAAGTTCTGATATCTCAGCATAAAGTTTTAAGACTCTTTGCACCTTCAAAACGAAATGAAACAGGTGAAAACAAAAATGCTGCTACATTTTGTGCCAGGTTAACTTTTTGCATAATATTCTGTGAAAAAACAGGGCCCAAGAAGAAAATAGCACTGGCGAACGCTGCCTGTTATTCCACATAAAGCCCTAGAGTGGCGCTGTTGTATAACTTCTGATGCCTGCAAAAGCCAAATCAAAAAACCCAAACCAATGAAAAGCCACCTTGTTCTTCCTATTCCTGCTCTGTCCACCTCCAGCAGTTTATTCTTTTATGTTCAGATCTTTGAATATTTTACTTCCTAAAAGAAAGAGAAATAAAAATCTTTCTGTAGGTCTACAAAAATAGATTTCCTTATATAGGAGGGAGAAATCCTGAAGTTTGGTTCTTGTTTTATAAGGTATTGAAGATACTATGGAGGTTAACTCCTTGAGGACGTTTAAACGTATCTTTTTGAGTTTTTCAATAGATAAGATTAAGGTGGCATAGAGACATAACTCATCAATACTCTGACTTCCTGCTCTCTGAGGACACATTCTTCAATGACATCTCAGATCACTTAAATTATGCGTCTTGGTCAGAATGTCCTTTCTGGGAAAGGTTGGGGCAACACGATTTGTAGACTGCGGTAGGATAAGCACATTTGACAGGTAATGTGTGGTTTCAATCTAAGGCTTCTACACACCTCACTAAAAGGCACGTTAAGAATTTTTTTTGTGTGTGTAAGCAACCTAGCGCTTTAGCATCTTGGGTCCCCCGATTCAGAGCCTCCCATCCTATTAGTGTTGTTCTGTCTCCTGGAGAGAACACTTCATGTAGACATTCAGTGATGCCACGTGCCTTGTAATTCCCTTAAAAGTTAATGAATGTGTTAGAATTAATTTTAATAAACGTTGATTAATTGCAGTTTGATTTGCGTTTTGAAGAACAAAGGCATCGCAAATACAAATCAGTGTTTGGCAGATTTTTCTTAGTTGCTTTGAAGGTTTTCACAGCAGATGGCAGTGTTGCTCTGCAGATGCTACTGAGCCAGCCCGGTGGAGGCAGCCAAAATTCCTATACATGCTCTCCAGGCAGCGCTACAAGATCCGCACCCCCAAAATTAGGGCCTGGACACAGACCAAATGAAGAGTCCAAGCAGAATTCGAAAGAATCACTGAGACTGCTGTGAATTCAAAATATGGGGATTATTTGAACCTTCTTCTGTAATTTAATTCAATGAAGTCAAATTGAGTTCCTGACAAGTTCAGAACCACATACATGAATAAAATGGTCAAAAATTTCAAACAATGGTTGATTGTGTGTGTGAGTCAGGGAGAGGCCGAGAAAAGGATAGAAAAGATGTGTCGATGATACTATAGTATGCAGCATATAGATATATGCATATCTCATCAATTTACACTATCTATGTTACATATAGATACCATAGCAGGTCAATGATTACTGCTACAAAGATAAAAATCTCTTGTTACAGGTGCACAGAGAGGGAGTAAAACTGAATACTTTCCTTGTCTACAGAATGAAGATAGGATTAGTAATATTCCAAGGTCACTTCCGGCTCTGACATTCTGGACGTTTGTGAATATTTTCCTACATTGTGGTACTTCCACACCTTCAGAGTTGACGAAACAGACCATTGTCCTTCAAATCACACTAGCATGAGGGAAGCCATGGAGCTGGATTACTCTCAATGTCATATCTTTTTTGGCCTTTGGATGTTATTTAGCAAGATGTGTCCAAATTGCATGTGATAGTGACCAAAGCAATTAGGGAGATTGATTTGGCATGCACCATTTCATTCTGTGCTCCCTACAGGGAGAGACGGAGGAGCCCATCAGGGTCCAAGATAACTAAATTTGATTTTGCCCCAATTAAGACACTAACTTTGCAAGTTGTTTTGATGTTGTTATATTTAACTTAAACTTTATTATTTTAAAAATAAGTGTCTCAGAAACAAGAATTTCAAAATTATATTAAATGTACTTGTCCTTTCTAAAGGTCTTTCTGTCTCCCTTATGTTAGTTTATGGTTTGAAAAAAAAAAACACTAGTAACTTTCCGAATTTATTTTATGTTACTTTCTGAGTCTGTGTATCATTTATTAAGTCACATCAATCTGTTCATTAATTTTAGGTTGCTTCATTATATTACTATTGTTTTTATGTCGTTTGAAGGTATTAAAATGTCACAGAATAATAAGAACAAAAAAGCATGGCTGTAACAGCTCTGATATTTTCTGGGTATTGATTCCCTAATTGGATTAGAGTCTCTCTTTGACAGAATTCCAAGAAGGTAAAGGGCTAGGCCATGATTCACAACTGGTTGGGTCTGGTCCCAATGACCACCGTGATGCATATTCATTCAACAAACACTTACTAAGGGTCCACAGTGGGCCTGGCTCTGTGTGCTGTCAGTATTGCCCATGCAGCTATAGGGTGAGTAGCAGGAAAGGCAGCCTGAGTTTTGGAGTCTGTTCCAATCTGCTTTCATGTCTGCCTCGGAGAAGGAAGAGCCACTAGGAATTACTGAGGAGAGCCGAAATGGCAGGTGGCATGAAACGGGATGCTGAGGCTTTCCTCTCTGTGTGCTTGGAAGCAATGTGTGGCTTCTAGGTGATAGGTCTGGACTTTATGGGTATCTTTTGGGCAGCCTCAAAGACCCATGAACTCAGAGCTTGAAGGTTGAATCAGTTTTCCAGAGCTATAATGCCAGCAGATAGCTTCTGCAAGGCAGCTGATTGTTTTGTAAAATTTTGAGAGATGCTGGGAGTGTTGTAGCTCTTTCGCTGAAATGTGCACTATGGATTTTTATGCAACACTATGATTATGAAATGTCTATTACAGAAAATATTAATTGCTTGATTTTGCTTTCTTCCAATTAAGTTCTCTACACTTCTGTGGTGAGAGTTCTTGCAGATAGGACAAGCCAAGTTATCCTATAAGGCTCAAGTGTCCTGCTGTGCGCTCCTGTAGACCTACATCATAGCTATCTCCTGGAAGTAAGCTGAGTCTTTTGCACTTTGAAATATATATATATATATATATATATATATATATATATATATATATATATATAATCAAACATCTGCCATGTATTAAGTGCTTGTAGATGCTTTATTTCATTTAATCCTCACAACACTGTAAAGTAGACACACTAGTGACATTTTACTGAGGATGAGAGAAGTTTCATCTCAGAGACAGGATTTAAATTCAATTCTGTGGAATTCTAAAGTGGATTTTCCTATAGCCTCCAAATGCAAGTATCCCCGCAGGGACCTTTGGTACATGGGTGGGAGGTAGGCTGATCTGTTCTCCACATCTACTGAAGCATTGGTATTCATTTTATGAATGTAGCAGCGGAGAGATACCAACCTAGGTAATAAGACTGTTCCTTCACATCTCCATCCACCTTCATTTTATTAACATTTGTAAATCTGCTAATTTTCTGAGACTAGGGCACAGTATTGCAGACACCAGCATGTTTGAGAAGAAGCAGCAGCCCTGGATGTCTCACTTGTTCAAGATTTGGTTATCTTAGCATTCTTGTGATGCATGAACTTCCTTGTTCTTCAACTGTTAAAGAAAGCTGCTGGGCCATTGGCATTTGGTTAATCAGTGAAGACAAAGAGTGATCTTCTGAGTAAGCTCTCCATTGTAGAAAAAGTGAGGTAGCTATATAGATAGCATTTGAGCTTGACTACAATATGTCATATATGCAGTCTTAAAGAGGTTTCCAGGGCATTATTTTTTTTTAATTTAAAAATGAAAGTTTAAAGGTAAATTGCACTTAAAAGAGGAAAAAAAAAAACAATTTTAGACAGAGCCTTGGTAATAGGGAAAATAAGAGTCAACCCAGGGTTTACTTTATAATTAGAAGTAGCAATTAAATAGAACTGGGCCTTGTAAGAATTATAGTGAACTAAAATGAAACTGTGGCTGAATGGGGTCTGCTTACTTCTGCTCTTTATCTGATAACCATGTAAGAACAGAGGAGCAAGAATAGTAAAATTGTATTAACGATGGCTCGCGAATTCATACTTGGCTTCTAATATTCCATATATCCAGTCATGTTCTTTGATGTACAACAAATCTCATGATTGGCAAATAAAGTGCATTTGTTGAGTATCCTAAAAAGAATTTTTAAGTTACTCCACAAAACTTCAGTGATATAAAAAGATCTTAGTTTCTAAAACTCACATTGTAAACCTGTACTTCATTCACTAGAATAATACATTTTTGGGTTCTTGAGTTATATAAAACAGCAACAAGTATCTCTGAGAAGGAAAAAATCATGTGACCAATATCTGCAATGTTAAAAAATATGTAAATATTCCACAGAAAAAATTGTTGCCTGGTTATATCGCTATCAGGAAAATTACTTCCCACCTGCATGACAGTTGAATTTTGGTGGCCTTTTTTAACCTAATACTTTTGACAATGCCTTTTTCACTCAATACCTTTGATAATTTTTATCTGAAATAGGCCCAGAAATTAATATTAAGCTTGGCAAGTAAAATTTATATTGGATCTATTATATAACAGTGAAATCTTGGACTGGCTCCTAAGGCTGGCCTGAGCTTCCTCATACTTTGATCTCAAAGTAGATTGCCAAAATGGTACTCTAGATATTCCTATTTTTGTGTTTAAACAAAATGGTGGCTAACTTAAAAATGAGGCTCTGTGATGACTAGGAATAGATGCTTTATTGCAGCTTTTGATTGTAATATGTAAAAGATAAAAGAAATCTTAGTTTTACTTTTCCCTTCTTTTATAAACCACAAATTTATTAGTTCAAGTAAGTCCAAGGCACTTTACAAAGCCCTAGGTGATGATTTTACAATGTATAAAATGCTTTCATGTACACTATAACTTTTATTTTAATATTCCAGATGTTCATGAAATAATAGTGAACACCAAAGACCCAAAGAAGCGTAAAGCTAATTAAATCATGCTCTGCTTAATTTTCCATTTTTATTTCTAGTTTTATTTACTTCTTAATTGTTTATTTGCATCATGGCTAATTTTCACATCAGAACGACTGCTAGGTTGCATTAGGACATGACAGTGGTTTTAGAGTTGACAATTTAAGGATTGATATAAAAATGAATAGGATTTCCTCAAAAAGAGGATTAGGATTTTGCCTGGGGAGAATTGGTATTTTCTCAGTCTGTGATCACACTGGTGAAGCTTAGAAAGTAATTCTAGGCTCCTGAATATATTTCTAAGGCCCTGGAATATAATTTTGCTCTGCACATGGGAAGAGTTTTGTGGGTCCATGTGGACTGTATAGATGATGCTCTGATGAACACCTTCAAAAAGCTAAAAGAGTAGCTGTGGAAAGTGCCTGGTGGCCTATTGGGTACAGACAGAGAGCACAAAAATAAGGCCAGAGATATGGTGGTGACATACTTCTTGACATTCTGGAATAATGTTCTTAATTTCTCTGAAGGATTTGCATTTTTATATGTAAAATTAAGAACAGGAGAAAATATGATGTCAAACTTTTTTTTCCTGAAAATGTGAAGGGAATATGAAAATCATAATAAGATATTTTATTGCAAAAGATAATAGCCAATGAGGAAAAGATCTCTGATTGCTGGTAGCCCTGATATTTTGGCTTTGCTATGCTAAATATTCAGATAGGGGTATTTATTTCTTTATCATAGATAAATTAATGTATTTGTATATGT
Organism: Homo sapiens; assembly: GCF_000001405.40. Lineage (NCBI taxonomy): Eukaryota > Metazoa > Chordata > Mammalia > Primates > Hominidae > Homo > Homo sapiens. The sequence goes on from NC_000003.12 coordinate 161,565,136, forward strand.
TGTTTCCTTGAATTTATAAACAAAATATATAAAATGTAACTGTTTTAAAGTATATGTTGGATCCTGGAGGGATAGCAAATTTATTTACTAACTTTTCAAAGCAGGCAATGTGTCTATGGTCACATTGAAAGATCAGTGTTATTTCCAATGCCATGCCATGCCATTTCAAATAGCTATTAACTTACGAGACAAAAAACTGATTTGGTGTATTTTTTCAATGAAGGGGAGAAAAAATGAGTGCCCTAGAATTCCTGTAAACTTTACTACCTTGGCATAATGAGAACTCCCCATTGGAGATATGATGATGGTTTGTGCAAGTGGCTAAGAATCACATAGCACTATCGGAATAAACACATTTGAGATTGTCTGCTCTAAGCTAACCATAAGAGCAAATTTAGTTTTTTTTTCCATAAGAAATGTTTACTATGTGTTTTTCTTTTCCTAAAATTCACTATATAGTATACAATAAAAAGGATGTCTGCTAACACATGGCTGAATACAAGGAGACAAAGACAAATGACTACAACGTAAGTGTTAATAGACACAAAATTCTGAGTCATAAAACACGAGAAAAAATATCCCCCTTGAAACACAACTGTCTTGAAAGAATATCTGTCTCATATAAGCAATCATAATTATTGTCAATAATATCGTTTTATTCTAGGAGCAGCTCTCTACCTGAATACAGTTTAGGTTTTTTGGGAAGCATTCAGTTATTCTCTAATAAATATCAGTGATATGGTTTGACTCTGTGTCCCGATCAAAATCTCACCTTGAATTGTAATAATTCCCACATGTTGTGGGAGGGATCCAGTAGGAGGTAATTTAATCATGGGGGCGGGTCTTTCCAGTGCTGTTCTCGTGATAGTGAGTAAGTCTCACGAGATCTGATGGTTTTATAAACGGGATTTCCCCTGCACAAGCTCTCGTGCCTGCTGCTATGTAAGACGTGTCTTTATTTTTCCTTTGTCTTCTGCCATGATTGCAGGGCCTCCCCAGCCATGTGGAACTGTGAGTCCATTAAACCTGTTTCCATTAGAAATTGCCCAGTCAGGTAGTATCTTTGCAGCAACGTGAGGATGAACTAATATAATCAGCCACAGGTATTATTCGTTTGTTTCAGTAAAAGTGGTACTCAATCTGGAATTTTAATTTTGACCTGAGCTGTGTCAAGTTTTCTCAACAGAAGATGCCAGGAAAAGTCTAATTAATAAAAACCAGTAAATAAAAAGATGATGTAGATTAATTAGATCTGGAGAAGCAGTAGGAAATATTCCTCATTAGCCCATACATAATAAGAAAACTAAAAATGGAACTACAATGTCGAAAGAGAAAACAGAGAGAAATTTGTGACCCCATCTATCTTTTAATTTTTAATTTATAACAAAAAAACATAGAGGGTGTGTATATTTTGGCAGATATAGTTGGTGGTAGTATGCAATACAAAGGATGTTTCTGGGTTTGGAGATGGTAAAGATATTTTCATAAAGTGTCGGTGTGAAGAAAAAAATAAATGAAAATATAAAGTTTCTGCTTTCCCTGTGAAAGGGAAACAAGCATTCTCTAGGCCTATTTGTTGCAGACACTCTGAAATTCCAGATCTACATGACTGAAAATTTTAACATACAAGATTTCTGCTTTGATTCATTTCAAAAGGCTGAATGACTTACTGGACCTTTAGAGAAGTAGCAAATTTGCCTTGATTTGATCATCACATTTCACTTCTTATAAATCTTGTGCATCTCATTAGACTTAACTGTGACTAAACTTGATGAAATATATGCTATGTATATGTAACTTCAACAAAGAAAAATATTTCTGAGCTTGTTTTAAGTTAAATGAAGTAATGCAAATCATGAATGGGACATTAATGAGGTCATTAGCATTTTTGGGAAAAATGCATTATCAATTGATGTAGGAATGATTATGGTTGGATTTATCTGTAGGGTAAAAGAAGCCAGGGTAGCTATTTCAATGGAGGTTAAAGCTGGCCACAATTAAAAAGTTTAAAGGAAAAATAAGTTATTGAAATTATCTATGTTGAAGATAAATTGATGGTAGAAATAAAATTATCTGGAGCATATCTGATTTTGTAGGGGTACAGTTCAGCTTTTTCCTCTATATTTTATTCTTATGTTAATCAGGTATAAAAAGCCAGTGTGTTAGTGCTTGCATTTTAGACTTTAGACAATATATTGGACTTAAAAATAGAGACTATTTTTAGGATTTTACTTGGTTCTTCTCTTGCAAAAACAAACTTTAAAATGATAGTATGGTTAGAAGCCTTTCTAAACCCTGTGTTTTCTGGGCTCAATTTCTAGAATTTTGAAGATAGAACTTTGAACCATCAAAGAACTGTTCTATAAATGTTTGTAGAATGAAGGAGAGAATTACTAGATAAATGAGGCACCAAGCATGTTTAGCAAATATACTTTGCTGTTCGAGTGTATTCTGGGAAAAATAAAACTAAAGTTAATGATGTGGGATTTAAATCCTACTAGTAGGGAAATCAGGCTAATAAAATATTTAAAAAAAAACCTTGCTGTAATCATTCCGGGCCAAAGCCCAATGAAGTCCTTTAGAGCTGTCCTATTCAAAGGGTGACCCTCAGTAGCCAGCACTGGTGTGCAGTGAGAATCAGTTTGGAAACATTTGTAGCAGTTTGGTTGAGCAATTTTATGTTTCTTGAATCTAATAATGAAACAAAAATTGGGGCTTGTATTTTATATGTCTCTATTTTAAATAATTTTTTTAGTAATTTGTACCGAATTTACAATGATATCTGTCCTGATGGATTGGAAAAATAACAACAAAACTGTTTCTTCATCACTGGTCATTTGAGAATCACTGCTTTAGAGGACTCAAGCTCTGAAAACATTAATACTATTATTCATAGTATTCACAATTAAAAAAAAACCTTAGAATTTTAAAATGCATTGTTTTGAAATGACACAAAATTATTTCCAGATGGTTTGTTATTTCTCTGCGTCTCTGGTCTTCAAGTACATTCTCTGTCCACCTATTGGCTAATCTTAACCCTGCAATGTGATTCCCCAATAGACAGGAACAGAACAGCAAGCAGCTTACTGTTTCGGACTGACTGTGGTATCTTCTTTAGCTGCTGGGGCAGTTCAGAGTGGGCAATTCAGAAACAATCTAATCTGTGTGTTTATCTGCTCTTTCTGTAATCAAGAAAGTGCTTTCTACTTCTGTAGGGACCTGTATTCAGGATACACTGGGGTTATTTCTTGATAATGAATCCCTATTCCCCAACATGGCTAAGACAAGTGACTCTCATGTAGAAGGTAGTAGACAAGTGCAGGAAAACATAATTTAACATGCAGTTATCAGCTTTTTGTAATTTTCAGCTTAGTGCTGAGTAGTATGGACTGGAGAGATTCTTTGGATTGCTCTGTCGGATAGGATAAATCTTTTTGCTTGCAAAATGAGCAGTGGGCTTAAATGAACATCAGCAGTTTCAGAGCTAGTGCACCCAATTCCACACTTCTGCCTCTGTTACAGCTCCCATTGATTTTAATGATGATGTTCAAAGATTCACTCTGTCACACCTAGATGAGAACTGGCCTCATAAAATGCGCCTGAAGCTGGTGGATTTTATCTGTAGTTATGGTAAGGCAATCACCTTAGGGGGAAGTACTTGTAATTGGCTTAACTCTTGCTGTTTGTGATTAATCATCTCTTCTGAAATAAGATGATTCGGTGTAGTCTGCCCAGTAATTCTGTAATCACATGGAAGGCTTGCTGGCTAGAGAACAAAAGTGAGTTTGAGTTTTTTATTCTTGCTTTCATTTCAAAAAACAGTAAACTGTACAATTGTATTTAAGTATTCAAGGATGGTCTAACAAACACAGCATTTTGAGCTCATTATGTAATTTGCTCATACTAACATCAGAGCTTGCTGTTGGAACATTTCCTTTGCAGTGTTGTGGGTGATTTGTGATGGCTCCATTCTTATGGGGGGTCATGCTATTCTCCTTTGGCATTTCAGTGTTCTAACCTGTAAAATAAGATAATTGAAGTTCAAAATCTGTAAGGTCTCTTTTAGTTTTCAGCTTATGAAAAATTTGTTTTAACTATTATTGAGTAGCCATTAGATAATACATGATGTGCTAAATGCTATAGAGAATATACATGCATGCTTTTTTGTAGTTTAAAAGCATTTATGGATCATATCAGGATTTTTTGCAAATGCCATCCTTTGACTCCTCATGTAATCACCTGAGTTGACAGATGAGGAAAGTGGCTTCCTTGGGAATGGAGGAGCTCAGCTAGAAACCCAGGTCAAGGCTGACATCAAAGCATCTCTTCCTGTAGGTGCTGCTCCAGGCTGCATTCAGTTCTTAAGTTATGGGCAATCCCTTTTAGGTAGGTACTTCCTGGACTCTTGCTTCTTCAGTCTCCTGTCCTACCTTCCAGCTACATTCAGTCCCAAGGGGAGCTATTGTCTCTGGTTGCCCACTCATTTCTCTGAGAAATAGTTTTTTCGTGGACCTTGCCTCTCTGTGATTACTTCCTACTGCTCACCTGCTGCACTTGGGTCCCCCAACACTAAGAATCCTAGTAGCCTAAGAGGACAATCTCCATCCAGCCTCCTGGATATTCTGCGGACACATGACAGTCAGATACATGTTTTTAAAAGTGTCCCTTAGCTGCTGATTGGATTGGAAGTGAACCAGAGGGACTCACTGGGAGACTTAGCGGAAGACCAGATGATAAAGCTGCAATAGCTCTCCTTTTGCTCTTAACCATCACCCTAGATGCATGCATTCTTATGTGTCATTCAAATAGTTATGTCAAGATAAAAATGTAGCATTTTGTGCTTATATTTTTGAGCAGTCATAGATGCCTCAGATATCCCTGATATTTTATCTGTTCTCAAATTTCACAAAATTCCTGAGGGTCTTGGATGAGGTGAGAAATGGGTTAATATACAATTGCTAAAAGTTAATGGCTAAAAATCATGCACTTTCCTATAAAACATATATAGGCAGTCCCCCTCCCCACCTTACACTGATATAAAAGGATGTGCAACATTGTTAGTAATTAAAGTAGTCAGGTGGTAAAACTTCTCACCTTCTAGACAATGCTATCATTGACGATAGGTTAGATTATAATGAGGCAACAAATAATCCCTAAATTTTACAGGCTCAGTACAATTTTTTTTTCTTGGGTTGACGTTCTCTGCAGATCTGGAAAACTCTTTGGGGCAACTGTTCTTTATGTTGAAACGTAATGAATCCTTCATCTTGTAGAAGTATCATCTGGAAGTTGTGGCTTCCTTAGATGGTGTGGCAGGGGAGAGTGGGGTAGAGTTGTGCACCATCTCTGAAATGCTTTGATCTGAAGTGACAAAGTCATATTTGCTTTTAGATATTGGCCAAAGCAGGTCACCTGGCTACAGCTAACTTCAAGAGATTGGAGAAATGTGATTCTCCCTGTATGTAAAAGGAAAAGAGAATTGAAAAATATTGGTGAGCCGTAGTAATATTTACGATTATCAAGTATTAAGAAGGTTGGCAGAGTTGTGAGGAAATAGTCTTTGTATACTGATGGCATGTATGAATTGGTTAAATTTTATAGATGGTAATTTAAAACAATTAATAAAATATAAAATTACTTGGGTTCAACAATTTCAGCTGTATGACTCCAGCTAAACTTTATTGAGCTCTTACTGTATACCAAGTACTTTATGAGACATTTATACACTTTGTCATTTTTAATGCTTACTTTTGGGATTCATTCTAAGAAAATAAGTGGACAAATGTGTAAAAGTCCCATGGAAACATCTTGCTTTTCTAAATAGGAAACAGTCTATCCACCAAGAAGGAGTTCATTAAATAGCATATTTATACAACGAAGTGCCATCACATGAATCTGTGTTCTTGTCCGTGATCTATTATCTAGTGAAAAATAAACAAGCTGCAAATATAATATTGTCACATTAAAAATATATAGGAAAGGAGTTTGAAAAGATAAACAATTTTTTAAAAATGTAGTTCACTCAGTGTGATAAGATTACAGGATATTTTCCTCCTTTAAATTTTGAAAAGTTTCCTAAATCTCTTGTAACTATGTGCCTCCTTTAAAATAAAAAAAAGCAAGTATTTTAAAGTACATTGTAATCATTTATTTTTTAATGCTTCATTTTGCAAAAGGCAGCATCAAAACATACACCTCTAAAAGATACATATAAGAGAAGGTTTGCTTTCAAAAAACTAAAACTCTTATAAGGAGACAAAATTTTCACTTTTCAATTAGAGAAGAGTATAAGACAGTATAATATATTGCTCACTATATGTGGTAAAAATTATTGCTGGAGGAGGTCAGGAGAAGTGAGAATGAATGTTGCCTTGAAAATTTTATAAAGGAAAGCAAACTTAGTTTGATTCTTTTTTTTTCTTTTAACTTTTAGTTTAGGTTCAGGGGTACATGTGCAGGTCTGTTATATAGGTAAACTTGTGTCATGGGGGTTTGGTGTACAGATGATTTGGTCACCTGTGTTTGACTGATAGGTATTTTTTCTGATGCTCACTTTCCTCCTAGCCTCTGCTCCCAAGTAGGCCCCAGTGTCTGCTGTTTCCCTTTGTGTCCATGTGTTCTCATTATTTAGCTCCCACTTATAAGTGAGAACATGCCGCTCTTAATGGTGTCTGTAGATAATAAGGTGAGGTGAAAGAAAAATCATGCAAAAAATGCTATATTAAGGTAAGCATCAATGTGGTGTTTAAGGACAAATAAAGGCATGAGCCTTTTAGAAGTAGAGAGACATTTAGAATTAGTGTCAGCTAGTTTCTGAAGGTATAATGAGGAATCAGAGAGAGAAGGTATTCTTCCATTATCTAAAATGTGCCTGATTCAAATATCTATCATCAGAGATATTTGAAGTTAAACATTTCCTTGAAAAAGCAAACTTTAAAATTGGTTTTGGTTTGCTAAGACAATCTATGTCAGGAAGAAATTTTTGCTCTGGAGGCCTAGCTTGACCGTGCTTCCAAAAAAATTTAGTTGATGACAATACCAGGTTTTTATTTAAGTAAGAAAAAACAATTATTGGCCTGTTCATTTATTTAAAACAGTTTTTCTTTTCTCCCCATCCAATACATGTTCCAAATAATCATATCTAGGATTATTTTCTATATATTACAAACCTACTATATTTTTTGAAGAATAAAAGTCAATTTAGTTATTAAGATATAAATTTCTTTTTATTTCTTGGATGTGGACAAACTTCTGGCACTCAATTTGAAAAGATTTATGTTTCTTATTGATTGCATAGAGAAACCACTTTTTATATTAAGCAGTATTACATGGGGTACTGGATTCAACAACAGACTTTATTATTCATTTATTTACAGACTTTTCCACTGTGAGTTGAAATCCTTTCTAGGTCCTAAGAGGAGGATTTTCTCATATTTTTTAATGTCAATTTGAAGAAGCTCAGAACTTCTTCACCGTGGAATTGAAATTCTTAATAAATTTGTACTGTAACACTTATTGAAATGCAATAGGTCAGGGGCATTTTTTTGTGGAGGATTTCTGTAAGTAGTAAGATAAATTTAAATAGTATTCTGGTTGTAAACAAATGTTCTGTAGTCTTGCTTTATGTTTAAACTAAATCTATTCTAATTAATTCAGTTTCAACCTCAGCTGTTCTTTTACCTGCAGCAGTCATACAGTAAACATATGTATATTTCTTTAATTTTTTTCCCACTTAGGATACATGGTCAAATTGATTAGGAACATACATGCAAGTCCAGCACTTAATAGAAAAAGGCATGCCTCTATATATCAAGAAAGCTTCATAACTTAAATCATTGAACAGAATGATAAACAGCTTTGTTTCAATGATTTCACTTTTAGAGATATTGCTGCAATTATTCAAATATATAACTTTTCTTTTTTCTTCCCTAAAGAAAAATGAAAACAGTCCAAGCAAATGGTAAAATATTAAGTTGAATGTGCTTTTCTTATTCCAGTTTTAAATGTTCTCAAGAAAAATTAAATGATGCTGATTGTAGTTTCAAGTTCCCATTGTGCTGTAGAGCTAAATAATAAAAATGAAATATATTTTTATAACTCAGTAGTGCAACAGAGCTGCAATTGGCTCTATCACATATAAAGAAACCTTGTTTCAGCTACATTTTGTTGGGGACGCTTTTTCTATTTATAGGCTCAACAAGAGAGTCTTCTGGGAAATGACTGCTTGGTTTGGCTATGTTTCTGTCAAAGAATTATTTTCTTTTTTTTTTTTTTTAAAGAAACCTCTGGTATAGAACATGCTGATCAATATGTAATGATATGGCTGGATCAATGACTTCTAATTTTCTTGGTTTGCCAAATGTCAACTGTATGAATGTATTGGCAGATTTTTAAAAAGTCTCTAGAAAAAATGCCCAAAACCAATATAGTTTTTTAATTTATCGTGTTCATGAGTATTACATTTTATTTCAGATAAAGTTTATAGTTAATAGCATTTTTATTTTGTAAATGTTACACTGTCCAAATTTTTCTTTTCCAACAATAGAAGTTCTTATTATTATTTCCCAGAGTGTGGAGTTTTTCATTCATATTGTATAATATCACCCTGAATAAAAGGTAAACATTTCCAAGGTAGTTTCAAGTATCATCACTTGTGACAATGCAACATCTTTCTTTTGGGCATTAAAAAGAACCTTTTTACACTTACAGAGGTCAGTTAGATAGTATTTCTTCTATCTAACTGTATTTTTGTACCCATTTTTACAGAATTAATTCATGCTTATTTTGGAAATTTAAACAAAATGGAAAAGTGTTAGATAAAATTGCTTTCCTCAAAATTACCCATCATTAGCCATTTTATATATTTCCCTTCAATCTTTCCTTTAGCAAATAGTTTTGTTTTACAAAGCCGACATACTAAAATACATTCAATTTTATATCCTTCTCTTTTTTCACTTATGTTAAGTACCTTATTGTCTTATTAAAAACTCTAAAATGGGCCACGTGCTGTGACTCACACCTGTAATCCTGGCACTTTGGGAGGCCGAGGCGGGCAGATCACCAGGTCAGGAGATGGAGACCATCCTGGCTAACACGCTGAAACCCCGTCTTTACTAAAAATACACACACACACAAATAACCGGGTGTGGTTGCAGGCACCTGTAGTCCCAGCTACTCGGGAGGCTGAGGCAGGAGAATAGCTTGAACCCGGGAGGCAGAGGTTGCAGTGAGCCGAGATCGCGCCACTGCACTCCTCCCTGGGCGACAGAGCGAGACTCCGTCACAGACAAACAAACAAACACTCTAAAATGTCATGTAGATTATTTTTCCCCACAAAAATATATAATTTGTCAAAAGCTTAGGAAAGGCTGCTGCCTCATTTTAGTATTTATCCTCTTTTCTCCTTTCTCTTTTATAGCCTTAATCTTTTCCTCTCAATCACTTCAATCTCAATCTCTCATTTTAAACATATTTTCTAAGCATATGTCTCATTCTAATTCTTGCCCTTTCTCCTCCTTCTTGAAAGAGGTCAGTCTTTCACTTTTGAAACCATTCTATTTAGACTTCTGCCTCCAACAATCTGTAGCACAATGAGCTCTGGAAATTGGTGCCACTGACAGCTGGGGCACTCAATCCACTGGCCTCTTTGCAGTTTTACCTTGACCTCTCTGTGTAACCAGTTTTTGGAGGGCTACACTTTCTCTGCCCAATCCTTAGTGTGCTGGTGTCTTCTAGGACTCAGTCCTTGCTCCTCTTTTCAATCTTTGCACTCATCCTCTCCTGTGACTCCTACCACAATTCGTGTGTCCATTACTCACAAGTACACCCTTCAGACCCAGCTCTCCATTGGCTATGATCACTTAGATGCTCCTCAGACAGTTCCAACTCTTTATGTCTGAATGCCACTATTCTTTCTTCTCTCTGCTTTGCTTCTATTGGATTCTGTCTTTCATTCTCCTCTTTCCAAAATCAAAGTTTTGCGAAACCGCTTCACTCCTTCATTCTAACTCCTTCACCTCTGTTAGCATGTCAAAAAGTCCTGAAAGACAACCTCTCTTGTACCACCCATGGCTGCCTCCTCTCCTCTCCAGAGCTGCTACCTCAATTCAGTCCTATGATATTGTTACCTTGAGTACTGGCTCCCACTTCTCTGTTCCTCCTATTCACTGATAGTAGTGATCTTCAATCTGTTTGCCTAACAGTATTCAAATTGTAAGACTTAGATGAAAAGTTAACCTTATAAAAACTTTCCTGACTTTCATCTCCCCATTGTAAAGTTGAACACTCTTTCCCTTGTGACTCTCTACTGTACCATGCACATCCCTTCTCAGGGTACTTAAACTCATATATATTTACATGTATTTTTTTTCTGCATTAGACTGCAACCCACTATAAAGCAGGAATCATGTTTAGAAAAATATGACTTATTTGTCTTTGTATTTTTTGTGCCTGGAACATAGTTGATATATAGTAAGTCATAAATGTACAAAGGGTCAGATTGATAATACTTAATCTTTTTGTTTAGTAAAGTATTGTAAATATTTCCAATTTACAGTTTATATCTAATGCTATAAAACTTATAATACATCTCTATTTGAATTTTACATTCTTTCTTAAAATAAGAATAATCCTCAGAAGTGAAATTACAGGGATAAATAGTATAAACATTTTAAAGATTCCTGATACATATTGCCCAAATACATATCAGAATATTTTCTGATGTTTCTAATAGTCAACATAAATTTTTATAATTTTTTGTTTTTAAAAAAATAACATAATGAAATCACAGATTCTTTGCAGTTTTCCTATAGGAGAGTTATTTTAAGGTTGGATAATGTTCAGTTTGTATTTGTAAACTCACATAGCAACATGCTGAAGTTAGTAATATTAAATTACCCTTTATCTTCCAATGTCATTGAAAGTACAGAAGATAGCATTTAATATAAGCCAAATACGCAATGTGTAAAAGCTTTAGGGGTCTTTTTCTTTCTTTTCTTTTGGTCACAGTCTAATAAATTCCTAGTGGACTTTTGATTATTAAGACACAGTGCAAGGCCTGCCTTTTTAACCTTCCTTTCTGAATAGACTATTGATTCAACTAAACTGCTTTTTAAAAATTCAATATGCGCATCTGGGGAGTCTGCTACCTCTGTGCTTTACAGGAAGGTTGTGAGGATTAATACATTTATATAGCATTATGTGACTCTTGGATGAAAGGATTGGTATAAACAACAACTCTAGTATTGTTATTTAAAAGCGAACTTTCTTTGTGGAAAGTAAAAAAGGCTTTCCACAGTAACTTTTGATTAAAAGTTATGTACTCCAGTACTTTTTTTTTCCAAAGGCAATCTCCAAGGAAGTCTTGAAAATTGTATACCTTGCCAACTGCTGACACGATGCAGCAGAAAGGATAAGTGATATAGACTCATTTCTGTCCATCTATTTTAGGCAAGTATGGCCTTGATTTAGTCTCAGCTCATCTTAACTGCCCTGGGTGTGGTGTGTTGTGCTTTGCTTATGTTTTGAAGTAATTTCTTGATGGATTTTAATTGTTTAATTAGATCTAAATTCATGTGAATAATTTCCTAGCAGATCTCTCTCTTTCTCTCTCTCTCTCTCTCTGTTTCTGTCCCTCTTTTTACAGGAGGGATCCCGTGTGATCATGAATGCATGGGGTTTTGGTAGCTATGGTAACCACATCATAAACCTTGATGGATGGCAGGTGTTTTAAGTACTTCAACTATTAGAACCTTATGGGCACTCGATGTGTTCAGCCAAGAATGACATTTGCCCACAGGGATCGTAAAACAAAAAGAACCTCTACCCTTGATTTGGCAGCAAGGAGATAACAGACAATACTAACGAGGACATAATGAAACTGGATGAGGATTACTCTGATAAATACTGCTAAAAGGGTGAAACGGCGGGGGCTAAGGCAGAGAGTATAGTTTAACTGGTGAAGCAGTGTAATCATTCTCTGCACTGTACGTGTTTCTGATAGCAAACACTGCGTTTATATATTATTGTCTAGGAGCCCTGACATCCTGCGTTGTGTGTGAGTCACAAGTCAAATTTTAATGACCAATTCTAAGTCCAGAACTTTTGAAAATTAGAATATATTTACCTGAAATATGAGAAAGAAAACATAACTGTTAAGTTTTTAGATGACTCAGGAGTGAGAAAGAGGAGATGGTAGGCAGCCAGTTAGATGACAGAATATGGATTCAAAATCACTCAGATGAATGAAAGTGCACACTTCCATGAGTGTGGTTAACAGCAAGTAGAATGGTTTAAAAGTGATGAACCCAGTGCTCACACTAAGGGAGAAGCATTTTTAAAAGATATTTAATATGCAAAGGAGACTAAAAGTAATCAGGGTCCTGTAACAGAAAATATTGTATTTAGGAGAATGGATCACTGAGTGCTATCTAATAAATGAAGAAATTCAGAAAGTGGTAGGTTTTGATTGAGTAACAAACACAGCACCTGAGGTAGTTTCAGAGGACTGCAATAGTCCAGGATCAAAGGAAATGTGAAAAAAAGGCAAAATTAACAACAGCCTTCAACATGTTTCTGTCACTCCTGCTCAGTTGTTCCCTAGGTTAAAAGAAACAAACTGAAATGGAGTGAAAGAGGTTTTAAAAAGTCAGAAAGGCATTTTCCAGGCAGTAAATTCTGTTAAGTATTAGGAAAGCTTTATTGGGGAAAAGTATGAAATCATCCTCCTTAAGTGACTTTAAAAACAGGATGGTAATTTTGTTGTGTTATTAAAGAGAGGTAGAGTAATGACTCAGGCTGTAATGGGCTCTGTACATCTTCAATTCTCTCTTTAAAACATAGTTTCCTTTCTGATTAAAAAAAATAAAAATCTCAATTTTCTCTGTGATATTTGCCTATAAAATTCCACGGAATGCAAATCTAATCCACCATTTACTAACAAATTCTAGGCATCATGAGATTTCAAAGGGCCTTGTGATAAAATTCCCTCTTTGGATATCCTTAATCAACCTGAGTTGGTAATTTTTCCTTTGACTTTTCTCCTTGCAGCTTTTTCCTTACTTAATTGCATCAAATTTTCAAGCTCTGTCATAATATGAATAAGTGGAATAGTTTTTCTGACAGTTTAAAAAGCTATAAAAGAGACGAAAATTGCTCAGAGCCAATATAATATTTTATTAGGCTTAGATTTTTTTCCTCTGTTTGTTGCTACCATTTCATTTTGGTTTTAATCAGGGTTATGTTGGCTCACATAACATATGCCACTCCAAGTACCTGAATCAAAAATGGTAATTTATCAGTAGGCAATGAGAGAAGCTCATGGAACTAAAGGGGTGCAAGTACAGCTGAGCCTCACTGAAGGACTGAAATCAGGAGCTGGAACTGTATTGAGTACCAAGGCAATCCTCCCACATCCCCTTTTCTCCGTGTAGCTGGTGTCCAATGTAAAACCCTTTACACGACCAAGGTACTTGATATAAGACCTTGAGCTCCAGTGTCAAATTTTTATTGAGGCATTCTGATAAAATCAGTTTGGATCCACTTTGTACCCTTGAGCTAATCAAGTCCAGGAGAGTGCTGACGTCTGGCAGTGGCTTCTCAAAGTGTGGCCTTTGGACGAGCAGCATCAGCAGCATCAGGGAATTTGTTAGAAATGCAAATTCTTGAGCCTTACCCCAGATCTTCTGAATAAAAATTATAGAGTTGTGGCCCAGAAATCTGAGTTTTAATAAGCTCTTCAGGTAGATCTGAGGCAGGCTAAACTTGGGAAACTCTGAAGGGTGACAGCCCATCTGGGTTTCCCTTCTGATTTTAGTACTTTTAAGTCTGGCATCCCAGGAAACCTCTGAGTCCAGAAAAAACAAAGGTGGCTGACGATTTATCCTGGGTTTACTTCCTACACAGTAGGGCCTGTGGGAGCAGGTGTTCAGATAAGGGGGCCTGGAAGGTTCTCTCAGAAGGGGATGTAAGAGTGGTGGAAAAATAATTATAAATTGGTATTTTAAAGAAACTCCTCTATTTTTAATTATATTTGAGCAACTCCCTAATTTAATTGGAAAAAATATGTTACTAAAACAACCATCTTTAAGGTAGCCTAGCATTCCTAGCATATACCCTCAACTTTTCACTTGCGTGTTTTTAAAACATGATGAGCAACCCAAAGTTAGGTTATCAAAGCATCCTACAGACTGTCAAACTTCTAGGGCTGCCTTGTGTTTGCTAACTCTAGGAATTAAAAGGGGAAACTGCCCGAATTAAGCACAATAACAGTGGTGAAAAGAGAGAAGCTACAGCTTCTCTTGTTTTGAAAATGCAAGGTCAAAGCAATATATTTATGAATAAATTTTAATTTTTGAGAACCAGAATTTCACATTACAGAGCTTAAGCAAGTCAAGGAAGTGCTTTGTTGCCATGGTTAGTCAAAGGTATTCCATTATTGAACTCACTCCGGGGATGGTTACATTTCATTGTTTGTTCTTTCCAGAACTCTGAGACTCAAGGGAGTTATCATTCTACATTAAATCAAAAACCTCTAAACACCTTCATCGTAATGAAAAAAATCTTTCACAATGAACAGTTTGAAAGATGTTAAAGTTATTCTCTGTCACTGAGATTTTATGGGGAAAGCTGGTTTTCAGCACTACCTTTCTAAGCTTTCCAATAAATCAACACTATTGAAAACATTTAAAAGTGTCAGTGCAGCATAGAAATTATCCCCATAGAAAATTATGACTTTTTTTGCTTTTCTGTTGCTTCAAGAACACTTTACGATATTGCCAACGCCCGCCACTCCTCTGAACCCTACAGCAGATGTGAACAGAATCATATACCAGAAAACATGACAGCTGTGCATTCATAAGAAATTCTTATCGAACAAAATGCATTAACACTTCCTAGCTGCGTTGGGATTAATAGTAAATCACCAGGAATCACATTCTGTGAGATTTAAAAGAGGCGTAGAATCTCCCGATTTAAAAGACTTAAAGCTGAGCAGCTCTGGGGATTTATAGAGTTTTCAAATTTGCTAATACCGGAAATGCTACTATTCTATAAAGTCTTCATTAAGCAAAATAAACAACATCTTTTACCTTTTCAGGAGGAAACTTTAACTTCTAGGAGGAAAGTATTATGTAAGGTGTAAAACTTGCTTTAACATTCCATTCAATTGAAGAAGCTACTTAATGACATGCTACGGTTTAATTACTTTGTTAAAAGAGCCCATTGATGAGGGCTGATTTATCATTGTTTGATTTATGAATTAATCCTGGATCAAACAAAAATTGGCAGGAAAACCTATATCAACTTATGGAATAATTTTCCACAAACACCTTTAAGTAAAATATTAAAGTGTTTGAACATTTCTGAACCTGGGACAGTTAAACTTCCCAGAGGGAAGCTAGTTCTATATTTCTTAAGTGCTTTAATTATGCACTTGATTCTAAATAAAGACCTGAGAGAAACTTTCTACTTGGTCATTAAATTATTGTGTTGAAAGAGTATCTAGACAAGTAGGTCCACATTTTTTATTTTATACATTAGAAAACTGAAGCCGTGACTTGACCAACGTTATAAAGTGGAAGGTACTTATTTCAGGGGGAAAACACTGATGGTTAAATTTGATCAAAATGAAAATACCATATGTGAATTTCCTTCAAATTTTGGCCTATTGTTTGGAAAATGAAAATTTACCCTGAGAAAAAACAACTTTAGAATTCAATGCTGTGATATGTTTATATTCAATAGTTTCATATCAGGTATGTGCAAAATAGAACTCAACAAAATAGAATTTATTTTCTAATAAATTATTTTCCTTTTTGAATCTTCATTATTGCTCATCAGAAGATAATTTAAAGTTTTTTATTTGTACATATTCCAATCGCTTCCGGTTTAAAACTTAGTTTTTCTTAGGTCCATCAGATTCAAGTATTTTTTTTCAGTCCAATTTGGGTATAGTTGGCTCAGTCACTGTTTTGTTTCCAACACTGTTTAGTTGAAAGGTCTCCCCCTGCCCCTTTCCTCCCGCCTCCTTCTCTCTGTGTGTCTCTCTGAGCCTCCTTTCCTCCTTCCTCATTCTCCCATAACACTAATGATATCTATAGTAAGGGTCCTGCAGTGGAGAATTGGGGCTGGATGTGCATGTCCAAATCTTGGATTGGTTTTCGGGACAGACCATATGTTACCACCAGTGTCTTAGAAGTTGAGTCTTTTGGTTACTCTATTCATTAGTCATATTATTTTATTATGGGATGTCTCACTGCTCTTGTTCTTTAGGCTTCTGGAAAAATATCCACACCACAGCCAATGTTTATGATTCTTTCATAATCTTGTGGGGTTGAGTATTTCTATCATTCATGCTCCCTGTTACTTTTTGAAGAGGATTCTCTGGACACACACACACACACACACACACACACACACACACACACACATACACACACATACATACACACACACACATACACTCACCCTGCTGAATCATTTTCATCCTTGAAAGAGAGAGAGAGATATACCAGAACCAGACAGTGCACAGATACTTTCTTTTCTTAACTCTCTCTATTTAGCTGTGTCACCCTGCCATTAATCTAAGATTCTCCTTTCTTAGTGTCCAGCACCAAAGGGCATCTGTGGGTGCTGTTCCTTAGCCAAATCCTATAGAAACAAAAAGGCCAGTGAAATTTCCAATCACTTGGTCTTTAGGTCTCCGAAGTTTCATGCCTAGACTAGTTGACTGCCACCCTATATTGTGAGGACAAGCACCTTCCTTCTCCAAACTCCAGGCTCAAACATCTATTTATCTTCAAATCCTCAAAGACTGGCAAAAGCTAAAAGATTAGTACTGATTTATTTACATCTTTACTGGATTTAGAGGCTAACACCAATTGGTAAAGTTCTATTTGAATTTAGGTATTTTGGAGTAAGTATTATTATTATTATCATTTTTTGTTTTGTAGAAAGCAGTTTCTGCAGTGGTATATGCCCTTTTAGTTTTGCCACCAGAGGAAAGGAGAAATCAATAGGGAGCCCAGGAGAATAAAAAATAAGGTTTTTATTGATATTTTATCTTCCCATTTTCCTGTAGCTTTGGATAACCTAGTACGTATCAGCAGAGAAACAGTAACCATTTTAAACAATTGTAAAGACTTTATGGTCTGCATACTTAATACCAGTCATTGATCAAGCAGTTTGGAAGCCAATGGAAAGAGCGTAGAAATTTTCACTTTATTTCATGTAATAGCTGTGAAAGGTAAAATATAGGTATGTTTAGATATCTGGGAGCATTTTTAAAACACTAGCAAAAACTGTGTTAAAAGTGGGTCATGCCTGTCTACATCTGTTTTATGCTGCTATAACAGAAAGCCACAGATAAGGTCATTTATAATTAACAGAAAATTATTTGGCTCACATTTTGGGAGGGTGGGCAGTCCAAGAGCATTGTGCCATTATCTGGTGAAGGTTTTCATGCTGTGTCATCCCATGGTGAAAAGAGGACAACAAGAGAGGGCAAGAGCAAGAAAGCAAGAGGAGGCCAAACTAGATTTCATAACAAACCCACTCTTGCAATAGCAAACTACTTTTGAGTTAACAACATTAATTCATTCATGGGGTCAGAGACTTTATGACTTAATCATCTCTTATTATGCCCCATCTACCAACACTTTTGCATTGGGGATTAAGTTTACAGCACATGAACTTTGAGGGAGACATTCAAACCATAGCAATACCTCAATAAAAGGTATTTGTTTTTTAATATAGAATTTGAAAATACTATGATTCAAAAAATATATCTGGCTGACCAGAATGATGCCTTTTACAAATCACGGCCTACATTTAGTGAGCATTTATAATTGGACAAGCACTGTCCTTAGTATTTTATGCTTATTAAATGATTTAATCCTCACAACTCTGTATGGTAGCTTTGCTATTAATCCTCGTCAGTTTACAAATGAGGGTACTGAGGCTCAGTGGGATTAGATGACTTGCCCAAGTATGGCAGATAGTGAGTGGAGAGCTGGGATTATAAATCCCAGTGTCTGGTGTCAGAATCTTTGCTCATAACTACTATATTATACTGTATGGTTTTTCGGAGATATCATTACATCTGACAATTAGTATTACTTATGCCATCTTGGGGGTTAGATGTAAAAGGAGGTATCACATCATCCTATAGAGCAATTGTCTTTGCTGGGTCTGAGTAAATGTTCCCTACATTGCTCTTATCTCAAAAAGATAATGGTGCTTATTGTCTGCCTTCCCTGAGTATATTTAAAATATAACAACTCTGAAATCTGTACAAAGTTAATTCAGCAGGTTTGGTTGAAATTCTGGGGTCTGCATACTTTTGCTAGTGTCCAGGTGTTCTGATGATCATGCAGGTTTCTCTCTGGCCCTTTGTGTTACTAATGTACCTGTTTCTCTGAGTGTTGAGGCTGTACCCCTGAACCTCATGAAATGCTTTTCCGCACATTCCAGGGAGAAAAACAACCATGCAAAGGCCCTGGAGTGGGCTGGGAATAAGATTTTCATGTTAAAGATAGGAAAAAATGCCAGTGTGGGTGCAGCTTAGTGAGAAGTGGGAAAGGAATAGAAACTGTCATCATAGGGATCATATCATAGGGGTCAGATCACAGAGGGCTGGATAGGCTGTGGTATGGAGTTTGCATTTAATTGCAAATAAAATAAACATCATGGAGGCTTTTATGTAGGGACTGACATCATCAAATTTAATATCTTAATCATCGAATAAAATTAAGGCAGCTTTTTCATAGTAAAGCATTTTTACCAGGCTTTCCATCAAAGAGGAGATGGGCAACCAGACTACTTTTCCAAAGATGTTTAAGTTTGCTCAGATATTCTTAAAAGCTTTTTATCCCATATTTTATATGCAATATCATAGACCACTCTACTATGCAATTAAAAGTTATTTAAAAATTCTTTTTGCTTGTTTTTAAATATAAAATTTGAAAACACTATGATTCAAAAAATATATGTTTTGGGACTTACTGTGTGTATTACTTTTCAATTTATGTGGTGACAAATTACCACAAACATAGTAGCTTAACACATAGTTATTTTCTTACAGTTCTGTAGGTTAGAAGCCTGACTTAGATTTTGGTGGGCAAAGGCCGAGGTGTCAGCAGGACACAGATATGTATACATTCAATAGTTTCATATCAGGTATTTGCAAAATAGCTCCTTTTCAGGGGCTTGAGAAGAAACTCCTTTCCTTG